>NC_000003.12:45464545-45767575 GCF_000001405.40 Homo sapiens | reverse complement strand
GACTTTTTCATCCTGTCCTACAGGTCTCTTAACCTCTCTTTTATTTTTCCCATCTTTTTATCCTTTTTTATTTTATTGATTCATTTCTGGATATATCTTTCAGTTCACTAACTCTCTTTTCAGCTGCATCTAATCTGGTATTTAACTGTCAATTGAGCCTTTTAATTCAATAACTATATTTTTTATATAGATGCTATTTTTTTCAGATTTACTTGTCCATCCCAATAGTTTATTGATACATGTTTATTTTTGTAATGTTATCCTTTGTTTCTTTAAACATTTCATACGTAACTGTTTCAGTGGTGGCCATAGGCAAGAGAAGGAGAGCAGTATTTTAACACTATTTAGAATTGCTGGCTCATGATAATCATAAAAAGTATATCAACTTTTTGTAGATTTTTACTATTGTTTTTAAGTTCTCTACAAGTGATCACTCCCTTGTTGTCAGCACATAAAGCCAACTATTTTCAGTATGCCCCTGAGCAACTGGTATACTATAGAATTGACCTGTGTTCTTATATTAGTCAGTGCAGCCTGCCATAACAAAATATAGGCTGGGTGGCTTAAACAACGTAAATTTATTTTCTTTTATTTACTTTTAGTAGAGACAAGGTCTTGCTATGTTGCGCAGGCTGATCTCAAACTCCTGAGCTCAAGTGATCCTCCCACCTAAGCCTCCCAAAGTGCTGGGATTACAGGCATGAGCCGCTGTGCCCAGCAAAAAACAGGAATTTGTCTCTCAATCCTAGAGGCTGAGAAGTCCAAGATCAAGGGCCAGCAGGGTTTGGTTTCTGATGAAGACCTATTTCCTGGTTCGTGAACACCTATCTTCTCACTGTGTCCTCACATAATAGAGAGTTCTCTCTCTCTCTCTTCCTCTTGTTATAAGGCTACAGTCTGGTCAGATTAGGGCTCCAATATTATAACTCAATTTAACCTTAATTACCCCCTAAAGACCCTATCTCCAGATACAGTCACATTGGGAGCTAGGGTTTCAACATACAAATTTCAGGTGGACATGGTTCAGTCCATAGCAATTCTGAATCTGACAGTCCAACATCTGCCACCTCGGGGAGGGATGTTCTAAATCTGATTTCTTATCTTGCTAGTTCTTCACTCATAGTGACTTCTCTCCTTGTGGGTTTGTAAATCCCTGTTTATGAGCACTTTGCTCAATCTCTGGGAATCCTGTGCATCTAAACCGGGTGGGGGGGCTTCTACCCAGGGAGGGCTTGTTTTTGCTTCTTCTGTGGGTAGCCAGAGAGTACGCACAACCTATTATCCCTTTTGAGCCCCTTAGGGGATTTGTCTTTAAGCAGGAGTTCCAGCCTCAATTTCCATAGTTTAACATTTCCGCAACAGAGTTACCAGCACAGGGACGTGACCGCTGAGCACCTGCCCCTCCTGGTTGCCTGCTGACCAAGCTGTCTCCCTACAATTCTGCTTCCTGCTGCCCTGGCCCCGCCCTCCCTCCTCAGGTCCCAGCCACGGAGGTTTCAGGACACCTAGTCGGTCATCACATTAGAAGCAGAAATTATCCATTGTTTTATTATCTTTCATCCAGAATGTACGTAAGTTGGGGCAGGAGAGGGGAACTCAGTGTTGCAGGCTGGCTACAAGTTCTCACGTGCTTTGCATATATGAGCTCCTGGCAGCTCCCATTTCGTTTCAGCCCAGCTGAGTGTAAGGGGTTGATCTGCAGATGGAAGCTCCAACCTCACAATGTGGCTTCTCATGGCCACTTCCAAGGTCCCCCATGTTGCTTAGTACTGAGTGCGTGAATAAGACTATAAGTCCCTCTTGCATGTAACTGGTGTCTTCTCACCCTGGGCAGGCCGTCCAGGGCACTGGCCTGGCATTCATCGTCTACACAGAGGCCATTAAAAACATGGAGGTGTCCCAGCTGTGGTCGGTGCTCTACTTCTTCATGCTGCTGATGCTGGGCATTGGGAGCATGCTGGGGAACACAGCGGCCATCCTCACCCCTCTGACAGACAGCAAGATCATCTCCAGCCACCTGCCCAAGGAGGCCATCTCAGGTCAGCGGGGCCAGCCAGTGGAGGAGGCAGGGGTCAGGAGGGCCAAGGCGTGGGGGTGAACAGGGGAGAGCTCCCTCAGGGGTCATGGGCTGGTTCAGGTGGCTACAGGGGGTTGCAGCCACCTCACCACGGTCCTGCCATGTCTTCTCACAACCTGGGACCTGGGCCATGTGATTCACCCTGTGCGTTCCATTCTCCACATCACAGGGAAGTGAAGTGGCCACCCCAACCCAACTCCCCAACCTGACATTCAAAGTTCTCCAGGCTAGGAGAGAACTCGATTTTGTTTCTGTTCATTTTCATTGAAGTATATTATATATATTTCAGACGGAGTCTCGCTCTGTTGCCCAGGCTGGAGTTCAGTGGCGTGATCTTGGCTCACTGCAACCTCCATCTCCCAGGTTCAAGTGATTCTCCTGCCTCACCCTCCCGAGTAGCTGGGATTACAGGTGCACGCCATGACACCTGGCTAATTTTTGTATTTTTAGTAGAGAAGGGGTTTCACCATGTTGGCCAGGCTGGTCTCGAACTCCTGACCCCAGGTGATTCGCCCATCTCAGCCTCCGAAAGTGCTGGGATTACAGGTGTGAGCCACCACACCTGGCCTGAAGTATGACCATTATAAAGTGTACATTTCTTAAGTACAAACTCAGTGGATTTTACATATGTATCCACCCAAGGAACCACCACCTAGGTCAAGATACAGAACATTTTCCACACCCTAGACAGTTCCTTCACACCCCTTCCCAGGCAGTATGCACCCCTGGAGTTCACCTCTATTTCTGACTTCTACATTTTAGGGGTTTTTTTCCTTTTTTTTTTTTTTTTGTTTTTAAAGAAACAGTCTCACTCTGTCACCCAGGCTGGAGTGCAATGGTGCGATCTTGGCTCACTGCAACCTCCACCTCCCAGGCTCAAGCTATTCTCGTGCCTCATCCTCCTGAGTAGCTGGGATTATAGGTGCACACCATGATGCCTGGCTAATTTTTGTATTTTAGTAAAGATGGGGTTTCCCCGTGTTGGCCAGGCTGGTCTCAAACTCCTGACCTCAAGTGATCTGCCTGCCTTGGCCTCCCAAAATACTGGGATTACAGGCATGAGTCATTGCGCCTGGCCTTCCTGTTCCTGAATTTCATATGAACGAAGTCCTATTGTACACACTCTACGTCTATTGTCTTCACTCAGAATCTACCTGTGAGATCCACTCATGTTGTTTCGAGCAGCGATCGTCTGCCCCTTTTTGTGCCTATACAATAATCCATTGTAAGGTGACATACCACAGTTTCTTTATCCATTCTGCTGTTGATGGACATTTCAGATCTTAGGAAATGAGCTGGCTTTTCCAATTACATCTCTCATGGTTTCACTCCCTGGCCCATCTGCTCCACTCCAATCAGGCAGTGCCTCAAGGACCCTGTGGCCTACACTACTCCGTCTCTGAAAACACCATTCCTTGACATGCAGGATGAATCAAACCCAGCTCCCAGGCCATCTCCTTCAAGCCCCGACCACTCCAGTTGGAGTTGCCCCCACCTCTTCAGAGTGCTGCAGCACTTAGACCCCCTCCTCAGGCCTGGTCTTTGTAGCCAACACTAGGTGTGCCCATAGCCTTCAGCCAGCGCATGGCCCCTTTCTCCTTGTGTGTCCCCGTCGGGATAGCAGGAGGGCTCGGTAGCTGGCAGTGTACGGTGTGCTAGTGGAAAGGGCAGGTGTGGGCTCTAGACTCAGACATGCATGGGGTCCCCAGGGAAGGCAGCTGGAGGGGCCTGGGATGAAGGCCCAGGTTCTGGAGGCTAAAGGGCCTGGGTCTGAATCCTCACTCTGCCATGGATGTGCTATGGGATGTCGGGGGAGCCTTAGACATCTCTGAGCCTTGCCTTCCCATCTGTGAAAGGGGGCTCCGGACACCTGCCTCAGAGGCCTAAGGGTCCAACGCATTGCAAGTGCCTGGCACAAGGGAGGATCTGGGTGGACATTTGTCTCTTCCCTGCCCCACCCTCTTCTGGGTGGAGGCAAGTCCTCTCTAGGAAGTCCTGATGGGGCCACTCCATATTCAAGCCTCCTCCCCTGATTCATTTCTCATGAGCTCCAGGGCTGAGTTGTTGGGATAAACAGCGGGGGTTATAATTGTAGACCCACAGCCTGGGCGGGATCCTGGAATGACAGTGCCCACTACGTCTGCTTGTTCATTGAGCTTTAAGCTCTGCCACCCCTGCAGGGCAGCTCAGTGAGTCAACATCAGTGACCCCTGCCAACACGCTTCGGGACACCATTGTGCCCCCTGCCCCACACACGTGGCACACACCTTCAGAGAGTCCAAACCATGACAGCTCTTTCAACCCATGTGGATGAAGCAATCAGCCAAAATTCCCTGAGGGCCGACGACCCCACTGTCCTGTAGAGAACTGGTAAGCAGTAGTGGGGGGGTCTCGGGCAGGTGAGCAGCTGGTCTTGTGGCCCCCAGGTCTGGTGTGCCTTGTCAACTGTGCCATTGGCATGGTGTTCACGATGGAGGCTGGGAACTACTGGTTTGACATATTCAACGACTACGCGGCCACACTGTCCCTGCTGCTCATCGTGCTGGTGGAGACGATTGCCGTGTGCTACGTGTACGGGCTGAGGAGGTGAGGAGGCCCAGGACCCTCATTTGCATAGGGAAAACACAGCCACAGAGGCCACGCCCCTCAAGGAAAACAGCTGTTTCTTGATGCACATCTTCACCTCTTCTTTAAGCTTCGCATCATGACTCAACGTTTGTTCTTTGCCCGCAGATCTCAGCTTATGCTCTGCCTCTATTCCATGCTCAGTTTGCTTCAGTGAATATCTTTTTCTCTATTCCCTGTACTTTTGCTTTGTATCATAGGCTGTTTTAGGGTTGACCCTGCTGGACCCCCACAGCTTACTGGGGCAGGGAATTGTGCCTCCAGGCACTGGATGCTCTGATCATCGGCCAACATCAGTATTTTCCAAGAACCCTGACCAAAGTCCAGTTGATAACTTAGACCTTAGAAAATTTGGCAGATTCAAAATTTAGTCAGTGAGGTTCTCAATCCCAGTGCACAGCACGGGACTGGAATGTTTTAGTTCTCCCCAGGTGATGGAATGTGCAGCTGGGGCAAGAGCCACTGGTCTAGAGCAACCTTCAAACTCGAGTGTGCCTCAGAGTCCCTTGGGCTGGTCAAACACAGCTGTGAGACTCACCCCCAGGGTTCTGATCAGGCAGGCCAGGGGAGGGCCAAGAATTCACATTTCTAGCAGGTTCCCAGATGAGTCTGGCACCCACACTTTGAGAACCACTGGCCTAGAGAGCTTTGCTACCTCAAGTGTGGTCCCTAGAGCGGGAGCAGCAGCAACAAGGCGCTCGTTGGGACTGCAGAAGCTCGGGCCCACCCCATCCTGCTGAATCAGATCCTGTATCTTCACACTATGTCCAGGGGGCCTGAGGCACATCACAGTTTGGGCAGCGCTGCTCTAGTGGGTGCGGTTTGGGCGAGGAGGCTGTGCCACGTTGTTTTCTGCCCTCTTCCCCAGTCTTTTTGATCCTCTGTGCTGGTTCAGGGTGGGGAGGGAGACATTGACAACACTCTGGGAGGCAGGCATCCCTGAAGCAGCAATCCCTGCTGTGTCCCCGGAAAGGCCAGGGTCCCGTGCCATGCTGAGGGATCTCCCATGATCCATCAGGACATAAGTTAAACAAAGCCAAATTGATGTCTTTCCCGTAGGACTTCTCAGAATCTTAAAGACAGTTGTGGATCCCAAAGAGAGGGTTAGAATTGCAGCATTTCCAGACTTACTTGGTCAAGGAATGCCTTTTCACCCTCCTCTCACCCGACTCCCACCCTTAGCTACTAACATTTTGAGGACACTAGTGTTAAGGGGACCAACTCTCCCTGTTTCCCCAGGATTGAGGGGTTTTCTGGGACGTGGAACTTTCAGTACTAAAATTGGGAAAATCCCTGGTCACCTAGGAAATGCCAGTCTAGAGGGAGAAAGAGATTGGTCACTGAGAGGGTGAGTGTTTCAGGATAAAAAGAGAAGGTTGGGAGAGAGGAACAGAACCTAGGGCCCGCTGGAGGTCACTAGATGGGTGAGGGGCACAAGTCCATCAAAAAGGGGCTGGTGAAGGGAGACAGAGGCAGAAACAAACGTGCCTTGGAGATGTCGTAGGTGGACTGACCATGTAAGTGGCAGGAGGGGAGTGCTTCGGCTTGCTCAGGTGACACCGCCATCTAGTGACCACCCAGCAACAGTGTCCTGGGGCTTTTCTGCAGCCAGCTCTTCCCAACTTTCTCCATCCAGGAAAGGGGGGGGGGTTATGGGGGTGTGAAGGGACAAGAGGACCCCCAACACTTTTTCACCTGTCTGATTTTGAAAGCCCCAGGTTTTCGTGTCACATACATGAGCCTTCATGGCCTGCAGCCTAGAGTCCAACTACGTCAGCAGCAGCAAAGGGCAGGTGGTGGTCGCCACACAGCCTCGCATGGACACCCAGGACATGCAGCAGGTCCCAGGGAGGGAGGGGCTGTGGCTGCAGCTGGTGACGTCACACCCACACCACCCCAGCCCCTCCCGCCAAGGCTGCCTCTTCCGCTGTAGGGAGCAGGTTTAAAGGCTCTGGGCTGGAGGCAGGAGGCCAACCCAGGTTCTGGGCCTGGTCTTTACCAAGCCCTAAGGAAGAAGGCATCGCAGCCCTGGGCCTTGGTTCCTCCTGTGTGAAATGGGGAGTTTCGTTGGGCCAACATCTCCCAAAATGCCAAAGATACTTTTTATACTGTGTACGTGTATTCAAAAACACACGTACTTAGTTTGTCAAGTCGATGAGAAACTGGCTGCTGTTGTGCTGCTGCTAACCGTAGGTTTAAAAGTAAAGAAGAGGGAAAAGAGAGCTACAGGCATGATGGAGGTGGTGATGGTGGCTGTGGGCAACGCCTTTGGGACTCACTGCCCTGGCCACTCTAGACCAGCTCCAGCAGGCCAGGGCTACGGTCCTTCAGTCCGAGGTTGGCTCTTCCTCTGTCCCAGAAAACCTGCTCTGGTTTCAATGGACCAAGTGATTCTGCTCCGTGGTGTTTCTACTGGGAAAGGGAGTCACTGATTGACAGGGGCGGGCTGGGTAGGGGGGTGGGCAAAGCCGCCCAAGAAGTCCCTGTCATTGATGACCAGCCTGACAAATGTCCATCCCCTGCTGCCTGTGCCCACCATTCCTGGAGGCTGCCCTCTGGGCTATGCCAGCAGCCTTCATCTGAAGGCTGGCATTAGGAAGGCGTCTTCTGATGTCCACTCTCTGCGGGTTGCTTGCTCCGTCATCCCTTCTGGGCAGCCTCAGCCCTTCTCCCCTCCCCACCGCAGCACTCGTCTCTCAAGAAGGTGTCACAGAGGAGCCCAGTGGCCAAGCTCAGACATCCTTTACCACCTAGAACAGAATGTTCCTTTGTGAATAGGGACAGGCAAGCTGGACGCCCTGACCTCCGCAGCCTGGTTAATCCAGACTTTCTCTCCCTGTTTTCCAAATAGATTTGAAAGTGACCTTAAGGCCATGACCGGCCGAGCTGTGAGCTGGTACTGGAAGGTGATGTGGGCTGGCGTAAGCCCACTGCTGATTGTCAGCCTCTTTGTCTTCTACCTGAGCGACTACATCCTCACGGGGACCCTGAAGTATCAAGCCTGGGACGCCTCCCAGGTATCTACTGTCTCCGTAGGGCTGGCGCTGGGCCCCCATGGCCACTGAAAAGCATGGGCCATTCATTTTCCGAAACCAGGGGACTATTTCCATGGTGTGGGTAGGTTATTTGTCACGACATGGAAATATCACTGAGGTATTTTAGAAATAGTCCAGCACGGAGGAGCTGGGCTTTGAGCTTTTAGGTATGTGCTTCAGTGGGGCGAGAGGAAGGCACTCCTCCAGAGCTTCCCCATCCACCTGTCCCCCGGAAGCTGAGAAAAACTCCCGCTGCAAAGGCGCCAGCTCCTGCCTCCTGAGCAGCGCTCTCCTCCGCGCCTACCGCAGCAGACAGCACTGACAGAGAACGTTGCTACCTTCACGGGAAAGTCCCATTCCAGGCTAAGAGTAGTCGCCTACAGTTTAGGTTCCCTGAAAGTTGCCTTAGACATAAGGTGCTTGATTATTACCATGGTTATTCATTATGGGTAGCTCCAAACAATAGCTCTACACCCACTGGTTCAAGTAGTTACTATTATTCCTAGTTTATGGAAGAAAAAGAAGGTGAGGGCAGTTAGGCTCCTGGCACATTTGCTAGTGAATTGCAGAGCCCGTGGCCCCAGGAGTGAGGACACCGGCCCCACATGCTCTCTGCCCACGTCACATCACCTCCCCATCACGGATGGGCCCTGAGGCCCAGGGGCAGTGCTCAGCAGGTGCTCTCTGCTGACACTCAGTCTCTCCTTTCAGGGCCAGCTCGTGACCAAAGATTACCCGGCCTATGCACTGGCTGTCATCGGGCTGCTTGTGGCCTCCTCCACCATGTGCATCCCCCTGGCGGCCCTGGGGACTTTTGTTCAGCGTCGCCTCAAGAGGGGAGACGCAGACCCCGTGGCCTGAGATGTGGGCTTCCCAGCCGCTCACGGTTTTACAGATACTATTTACAGGCGGAAACTCCTCGGCTGCTTTTTCAAATGCTTAAGCCAGGAGTGCTCAGCCCATCAACTTCCTGAGTGTCTAAAGAAGATGAGGAAGGTGTGCAGGAAGAAAACTCCCTTGGGAGAACGCACACCCTCCCGTGGTGGCTGTTCCTCCCTGTCACCTGCCTCCTCATCATGGAAGGGGGTGGGCTATGAAAGCCGGTCTCAAAGATAACTGCATCCTTCATTCCAGGAAAGCCCTAGAATTAGGGCACATTGCAAACTGAAATATGACTATAATTCTTATGGGACCAAATTTAAGCAATTTTTGTTTTTGGCTGAAGAGACACCAAAATATTAGAGGACAAATATTTTTAGATCCATTTAAGGAGTTTTGAAGTGCCTAAGATGACCTATTTGTCAGTGGTGCAAAATTAATTCTCTTCTTTTTTGAGTTGTAGTGAATATGCAATTTCTGTGTTCCCCTTCCACCCTTTAAATCTTAGGATGACAAGTTATAAAGAAAGAAGATCTTTGTCTGGGACCCCCAAAGGGATCCTTTCTCTAAGGTCTCTGACGGTGGGTCCAGGACCAGACCTCTCTACAAAAAATTGCCCCAACTACAGTTTGCAACCCCAAACCACATTAGAAGTCTGTGCAGACATCCCTCCGTGGTGTGTGTCTTGGTGCATTGGAAAAGGAGTCAGGAGCCACTGTGAGGTGAGAATGAAAGTGGATCTCAGCTGGGCACGGTGGCTCACGCCTGTAATCCTAGCACCTTGGGGGTCAAGGTGGGTGGATCACTTGAGGTCAGGAGTTTGAGGCCAGCCTGGCCAACATGGCGAAACCCCATTTCTACTAAAAATACAAAAAAATTAGCTGGGAGTGGTGGCATAGGCCTGTAATTCCAGCTACTCTGGCTGCTGAGGCACAAGAATCATTTGAACCTAGGAGGTGGCGGTTGCTGTGAGCCAAGATCATGCCACTCCACTCCAGTCTGGGCGACAGAGCAAGACTCTGACTCAAAAAAAAAAAAAAAAAAAAGTGGCTCTGACTTTCCCATAGGCTTAATATTACATTTGGACATCGTGGCCAACTCTATCAAGACCACAAATACCACTTACAATTAATTTTAAATTATTCATCTGTACATAGTTTTCTAAAATGTATATAATTCAAACAGAGCATCTTGTAACTGAAGACACACCATATCTATGATATCGCATTAGTCCATGTGGGGAAAAGAAAGATCAGATTGTTACTGTGTCTGTGTAGAAAAGGAAGACATAAGAAACTCCATTTTGATCTGTACTAAGAAAAATTGTTTCTGCTTTGAGATGTTGTTAGCCTATAACTTTAGCCCCAACTCTGTGCTCACAGAAACATGCGCTGTAATGAATCAAAGTTTAATGGATTTAGGGCTGTGCAGGATGTGCCTTGTTAACAATATGTTTGCAGGCTGTATGCTTGGTAGAAGTCATCGCCATTCTCCATTCTCGATTAACCAGGGACACAATGCACAGCAGAAAGCTGCAGGGACCTCTGCCCAAGAAAGCCTGGGTATTGTCCAAGGTTTCCCCCCCACTGAGACAGCCTGAGATATGGCCTCATGGGAAGGGAAAGACCTGACTGTCCCCCAGCCCGACACCTGTAAAGGGTCGGTGCTGAGGAGGAATAGTGAAGGAGGGAGGCCTCTTTGCAGTTGAGATAAGAGGAAGGCTTCTGTCTCCTGCTTGTCCCTGGTAATGGAATGTCTCGGTGTAAAAAGCTGACCATTCCCATTCGTTCTATTCTGAGATAGGAGAAAACCGCCCTGTGGCTGGAGGTGAGATATGCTGGCAGCAATACTGCTCTGTTACTCCTTGCTACACTGAGATGTTTGGGTAAAGAGAAACATAAATCTAGCCTACGTGCACATCTGGGCACAGTACCTTTCCTTGAACTTATTCGTGATACAGATTCCTTTGCTCACATGTTTCCCTGCTGACCTTCTTCCCACCTGTTGCCCTGCTACACTCCCCTCGCTAAGACAGTAAAAATAATGATCAATAAATACTGAGGGAACTCAGAGGCCAGCGCCGGTGCGGGTCCTCCACATGCTGAGCGCCGGTCCTGGGCCCACTGTTCTTTCTCTATACTTTGTCTCTGTGTCTTATTTCTTTTCTCAAAAAAATTTTTCTTTTTTTAACTGCAATAAAGTAGGTCGTTACCCCTAAAGTGAGCGAGTCCCTTCCTGCTCTAACGTCCAGTGCTTCCTTGAGATCATGGAATTCTGGAGAGTTTCTGTGGATATATTTGCACAGATATCTTTGAAGACACAAACACTCACCTGGGACGTTGGCCGGAGATGTCTTTTTATTTTTGTGCTGTAAAATTCTCTTACAGCAAAAATAGGCTTTAGAAAGGTCTTCTACTGTCTTCAGCAACCATCTCATCTTCCAGCTTCACCTGATTGTCCAGTTATCATACATTTGACTTTCAAATGTATGAACCAGCATGTACCCCATGGATTTAATCTTATCTACCCCGTGGATTCAATCTTCTTATCAGAAGGTTCTTTTATGTCAAAAAACCTGCTGTCAAGGCTTGAAGAGCCGGCACACTCAATGGCAAACACAGCACCGAGTCTGCTCTGAATCCTGGAGGATCTGGCCCTCCTCTCAATCCCCACTCACAGTCACCGTCTTACAACTCAGGGCCACCTGGGATCAGTCATCAGTCAGGGTGCGTAAGCCTTGAATACCAGGTAGCCTCAGGAGTGAAAAGATAAATGTCCTAGATCATTACCTTATTCAGTGTCCCCACCTTGCAGCGCATTCCAACCACCTGGGAGCATTTAAAACTCCAGATGCCCACACCACACCCTGGGGCCACCCATCAGACCTTCTGGAAGCAAGACCTGGGCCTCCATGGCCCCAAAAACTCCCTAGGTGATCCGATGTGCAGCCAAATCTGAGAGGCCCCATTTAAAAAAGAAAGAACATGGGTGGTACATTGAGGAGTATTTACATTTTATAAAATGACTTAAAAATTTGAAGGCATTTTTGAGCATTTCCAATTATATGGAAGAGTTACTTCTACGGAATAGTTTTTGCTCATGGAACTCAAACAGATGAAGCACCACTGTTACAGAATAATGTGCTCCAGATGAAAATGTCTCGTTTCTGTGAATTTCATGAAGAGCAGAACATTTCTCAAGAATCCTCTTGAGCCAGTAATCAATCCTGTCTCAAAAAATGTTCTTTGCCATTTCCTAGATACTGCACAAAAGTGGCCATGTCGACATTTGTCCACCCACCCTCCAATAAGCTGGAGCGACAAAGGGACATTCCATCCCTGTACCCTTAGTGGTAGCCATGACACGATGGCCAGATCATGGACTCCGGAAAGCTTTCTGTTTTTACTGGAAACATAGCAAACCTTGATTTAGCTCCAAGAAATTGAGTAGGGAAATATTTGTTTTTTAGCAATTGTCATAGTAAATAAAACTCTAAGCAAGTGTATCTACAGTTTTTGGTTTTGGGTTTTGCTTTTGTCACTTACTGGATACAGTTTAAGACTTCTCTCAACACAAGATTTTCTCTCATGTAGAAACACAAGCTAATTTTGAAAAAATGGAAAATAAGTGGGGGGGACAAATCCATCCAACCTTTTTTTCTGTCACCCTTTTCTGCGTTTACCTCTTCATATAACCCGTGAGACCGCACCAATGCAGTGGATGAAGTCTATCATGGGAAGATGAGAGATAGATAGAGTCCACAAGAAAAGTTAGAAAAAAAATTTCTAATTGGCCGGATTTAAAACAGAATGTGAGCCCCTTGGAATTGCTGCAGAATCTTGCCACTCCTTTTGAGAGTGTCCCGGGCAGTCTTGCCCATCTCAGCGTCTCTTTTTGGCCAGGGCCATGCAGAACCACATTAGGTTTGAATGTGACCTCAGAGCCTCACCTCAGAGGGGGGAGTGTGTAAACTATTGTATTTGATTTTTGTATGAGTTACTTTACATGGAAAAATTAACTTATGCCACCTTATAGGTAGAAAAGCTGGGGTAGAGAATTAACTAAGCCGATTTTCTGCCCTACATCAGTCAGGGGAAGAAAAAAATAACAGATTTACACATCCCTTTGCAAGGCAAAAATTGCATCTACAAATAGCAAATTCTTAACCTGAATTTCCTGACCAGTCTCTTACATGTGGATCACTTTTCTATTATTCACCCTCCTGTAGGGTGGGTGGATCAGCCTTTTTTGAGATTACCCAACTAGTATATTACAAACCAGTCCCTTGGTATGCGCCGGGGGCAATGGTGAACAGGATAGACACAGTCGCTGGCCTTTATGGCACTTACATTCTGGAAAAGGAGACAGACAATGATGCATAACAAATAAATCATATGATTACAGACTGTGATCATGTCTAAGAAGGAAATAAATGGCCCGATGTGGTGGCGTTAACAGGACAGTACTTTAAGCGGTTGAGGAACTTCGTGAACTGAAATTTGAAGAAGAAGGAACGAGTCATTAAAATTCCTAGAAGGCCTGTCCAGGAGAGGTGACAGCAACTGCAAAGGCCCTGAGGAGGGAAAGAGCAGAGAGGAGGCCTGTGGTTGGAATGGGAAAGTGAGCGATGGGAAGTGAGCTTGGAGGAGGGAGCAGGGGCCAGATCACATAAGGCCTCACAGGCCACAGCAAGGAGCTTCATTTTCGTTGAAGAGAAAGAGAGTGCCACTGAGGGTTCACTGTGGGGTCTGGCAAGATCTGATTTATGTTTGAAAGATCACTGTTGCCATAGAGGATGGATGGGAGCGGGGCATAAAGGGAGGCTGGAAAATCACTCCAGAATCTACTGTAGTAAAGCCATGGAAGATGATGGCAGCATGGACGTGGGAATGGATATGGAGAAAAATAGGCAAGCTTGAGTTATACTTTGGAGGGAAAGTTGCCAAGTCTTGCTGATGGGTTGGATTCCCAGCTGAGGGAAAGGGGGATAAAGAGCTTTACCTGCTGGGGGGATGCTGGTGCCATTTCCGGAGATGAGGAAAGTGGGGAACAGAGCTGGCCTGCAGAGTAAAAATCAAGAGTGGTTTGACCATGTGAAGTTTGAGATGTCTGTGAATTAGGTGGAAATATCCAGTAACCTGTTGAACACAAGAATCTGGAGGTTGGGTTACGTCTGGGCTAGAGATATACATTTGGGAGTTACAGTGGAGAGATGCTATTTAAAGCCACAGGTCTAAATGAGGTCATCCAGGGTGAGTATACACAAAGAAGAGGGCCTGCGACCAAGGCCTACAGGAACTCCAATGTGTTTTCGGACATGGCCACATGTGATTTTCCACCTCTCCCACGGAGGGATAGGGTCTGTGTATTTAGGTGGGCTTGTGATTGCTTCAACCAAAAGAATATGATGGAAGGGACACCATTTGACATTCAAGGCTAGATCATGTGGCCATGCAGCTTCAACCTGGTTTGTTGGAACATTCACCTGGGGAGCCCTAAGTTGCCATGAATGAAGCCCCACCACCCTGAGGCTGCTGTACTCCAGCTCACAGGACCAGCTGAGTCCACCTTCCAGCCATGCCTGGGCACCAGACAAGCTTGGGCCAGACAGACCAGCCCATCTGTCAAATGAATGCCACTGAGTCACCTCCATCAGTGCCATCTGGAACAGAAGAATCACCCAGGCAAACTCTGCCTGAATTCCTGACTCACAGCATTGTGAAGTAGAGAGGAGAGATTAACAAGGAATGGAGCAGCCAGGTGTGGTGGCTCACACCTGTCATCCCAACACTGGGGGGCCCAAGCCAGCGGATCGCTTGAGGCCAGGAACTGGGGACCAGCCTGGGCAACATGGCAAAACCTCGTCTCTACAACAAATACAAAAATTAGCCAAGCCTGGTGATGCATGCCTGGAGTCCCAGCTATTCGGGAGGCTGAGGTGAGAGGATCACTTGAGCCTGGGAAGCAGAGGTTGCACCACTGCGCTCCAGCCTGGGTGACAGAGCAAGAACCTGTCTCAAAACAAAAAACAAAAACAAAAAACAAAAACAAAACCCAGGAGAATGTGTGGTCCCAGAAGCTCAGAGAGAACATCATAAATTCTGCTAAACATGACTTACCACTTAACACTTTCTACTTTTCCTAATGTTAGTCTATATTTGAACCCAACTATAATAGGAGCTTGATTTGGGACATAAAATGTTAACACAGTATTTTAGTGGATGGTACTTTAGGTTTGTACAACTAGAATAAAGGGCAATAGGCATGCATCACTGAAAATGGTGAATGGAGAAAGATGAACACCTGAACCTTTGACTAAACAAAAACAAAAAGCAAATTCATGCTCAGAATAATCTACCAAGGCAAGTGTTAGGAACAAACAGATCATCTAACTCCTTCACCTGGGACCAGGGAATTCACTTAAACGTGTCACAGCCCCTTACTAATTGGTCCCCCAGTGAGAGCACATCATGGAGCCTCTGCATGGATGTCCAGCCCAGAGGAACGAGGCCAGAGGCAGGAAAGGATGAGCGCTGGACACCAGGGAAGACTCCCCACTCGTAGACTTACCCGGATCTCTCAGCAGGTGTGTGCAGATGTGCATGTGTGTGTGCATGGCTCTTAAGGAATTACCACCTGGATGAGATTTTTAAAATTTATAATTGAGGGGCCATCAGATTCAACACTCAGGTGAGGTACAAATAGATTATAGCCCATGTTTCTCAGCTTCAAGGCCAGAGTAGTCACGTCCATGCTGGCCTTTCACAAAATGAATCCCATGGAAGGCTGGTCCTATGAGATGCTCTAGGAACAAAAGATTCTACAGGCTACAAAGTTTGGGTGCTGCTGCACAGCCGATACCTCCTCTAGGAGAGTCACTTTTCAAACCTCTGAGCAAAGTCCTGCAGGTTAGATAACTCTGTGTAATTCAGTGTTTGCATACAGTTCTCACTAGAGATCCACCGTCAGAAAACAAGTGTTAACACAGAGAACCCACATTACTCCAAAACTGCACTGCAGGTCAGGAAAATGCATGGCATCAAAGCTGTCTGCCTAACAGATGGAGGAGCCCAGGGCTCATGGCAGGGACAGAACCATCCAACAAGATGCGTTCTCAGCAGTGAAAACATACCGGCAAATAGATGAGAATAGAAAGCCCCAACACCCACAAGTAGAGCGGACCTGAGAGACGATAGGGGTGGCACTGCAGGCCAGGAGGGACAAGATTCAACAACATTCTCAGCAACTGGCTAACTCTACAGGAAAAAGAACACTGGACTCTGTCAGATGACATCATATGGTCTTACATAAGCACAAAATGTGCTAGGAAAATACTGGTCAATTCAGCACCATTTATACACTTCTTTCATCAAAAGTCATCATAAGAAAATGAAAAGACAAGCTAAAAACAGAGAGAAGATATTTGTAGTATATTAACTAACAGATAATTATTCTCTAAAATATAAAGAATGTCAAAACTATGAAAAGATGCTCAATCTCATTAGTGATCTGAGAAATGCCAAAATGAGATACGATTTTTATACCTACTGGATTAAAAGTTAGGAAGTCTGACAGTGCCAAGCATTGGTGATAATGTGGAACTGGGAGCAATATAAATGGCACAAGCAATTTAGAAAAGAATTTCATGTTACCTTATATATTTCAGGCTTATAATTCTACCACTGAGCATGGAGCATAGAGAAATAATTTCCTGTGTGAGCTGGAGACATATACAATACTCACAGCAGTACTTAGTGCAAAAACAAACAACCAAAAACAACCAGAATATCCATCAATATTAGACTAGACAAAAAATGATTTGTGACCGTCATAAATAGATCCAAATGAATACATATGTTGTAATACATTCATTCAAAGTAAACAACAGTTGGCCAGGCGCAGTGGCTCACGCCTGTAATGCCAGCACTTTGGGAGGCCAAGGCGGGTGGACCACTTGAGGCCAGAAGTTTGAGACCAGCCTGGCCAATATGGTGAAACCCTGTCTCTACTAAAAATACAAAAATTAGCTGGGCGTGGTGTCGCATGCCTGTAATCCCAGCTACTCGGGAGGCTGAGGCAGCACAATTGCTTGAATCCGGGAGGCGGAGGTTGCAGTGAGCTATTGCACCACTGCACTCCAGCCTGGGTGACAGAGAGAAACCCTGTCTCAAACAAACAAACAAACAAACAAACAAGGCAGACAACAACAGGGTGGACTCCAGCTATAACCGTCAGTGTAGATGAATCTTAGAGCAATGCTGAATTCAAAGGCCAGCTGTATCATGCATATGGAATGATGCCATTTCTAGACACTTCAAAAACAAGCAAAACGAAACAATACAGATATTACATATACATTATATAGATATTATGTATCTAGGGATACATACTATGTACTAAACTAGGAAGAAATGCAAGGCTAGTGGTCATCTGTGGGAAGAGGTAGGGATGGCAGTGGGAAGGAGACCATGGGCTTCCAAGGTGCAAGTTCTGTTCTCCCCAGTCATGATCCAGATGCCCAAAAGCATACAGAGGGAAACAGTAAAGCTTTAGATTGAGGTGGAATATTGAATTCTTACAAGCTAGGTGCCTTTCCCAACACTCCTTCCAAAGAAGGAAACATAGCCAGGAGTTAAGGATAATAGCAGAGTTGTGCCCTGGCTCTGGGGAGCTCAACTAGCTGCCTTGGATAGGGTGTTCATGGTACACCTGCTGTGTCTATGTCCCTCCTCTCCCTCCTTCATCCTTCCGTCCCCCTCTTTCTTTCTCGGGCTAATTTGCTACACAGCATTAGATAACCAGAACACCTAGGTCCTAGCATAAGCCCCACCTCCTCCAGGAAGCCACCTGACTCCCTCCAGCAACAGCTCTGCACTTTACCTTTGTATTCTCTCCTTTCTGACTATGGTCAGCAGACTTCTAAGACGGCCCCCAAAGATTGCCACCTGGTATTCATGTGCTCGTGTTATCTCCTCCTCTTGAATAAGCTGGACCTAGTGACTTCTAGTGCACAGAAATGTGGTGAAAGTGATGGGATAACAATTTCCAGATTAAGTTATAAAAGACACTGTGGGCTGGGTGCGGTGGCTCACGCCTGTAATCCCAGCACTTTGGGAGGCTGAGGCGGGTAGATCACCTGACGTCAGGAGTTCAAGACCAGCCTGGCCAAGATGGTGAAACCCCGTCTCTACTAAAAATAGAAAAATTATCTGGGCATGGTGGCAGGAGCCTGTAATCCCAGCTACTTGGGAGGCTGAGGCAGGAGAATCGCTTGAACCTGGGAGGCGGAGGTTGCAGCGAGCAGAGATCACGCCATCGCACTCCAGCCTGGGGGACAAGAGCGAGACTTTGTCTCAAAAAAAAAAAAAAAAAAAGACAAGACACTGTGACTTCCTCCTTGTTAGCAGACTCTCTCTTGCTGACTTGATGAAACAAGTTGCCATGTTGAACAGGCCCATGTGGCAAGGAATTGAGGGAGAGTTTCAGCTAACAGCCAGCAAGCGGACCAGTCCAACAGCCCACAAGGAACTGAATCCTGCTGATATGATTTGGCTGTGTCCCCACCCAAATCTCATCTTGAATTCCCATGTGCTGTGGGTGGGACCCAGTGGGAGATAATTGAATCATGGGAGTGGTTTTAGTGGTAGTGAATAAGTCTCATGAGATCTGATGGTTTTATCAGAGGTTTCCACTTTTGAGTCTTCCTCATTCTCTCACTTTTTGCCTGCCACCATCCACGTAAGACGTGACTTGCTCTTCCTTGCCTTCCACCATGATTGTGAGGCTTCCCCAGCCACTTGGAACT
The DNA here is from genome assembly GCF_000001405.40 of Homo sapiens. NCBI lineage: Eukaryota > Metazoa > Chordata > Mammalia > Primates > Hominidae > Homo > Homo sapiens. The sequence goes on along the minus strand of NC_000003.12, from coordinate 45,749,154 downwards.
GTAAGTCCAGTTAAACCTCTTTCTTTTGTAAATTGCTCAGTCTCATGTATGTCTTTATCAGCAGTGTGAAAACAAACTAATACACCTGCCAACAACGAGAGTGATCTTTAAAGTGGATCCTGCTCCAGCTGAACCTTGACTGGCGCCTGTGGGAGACCCTGAAATGGGGGACAGAGCTAAATTGTGCCCAAATTCCTGACCTACAGGAACTGTGAGATGATAAATACGAATAAATAGGGGTTGCTTTAAGCCAGTAAGTTTTGGAGTAATTTGTTATGCAGTGATAGATGCACTGAGGTCATTCAGAGCTGGAAGGTATCATACATCCCCTGCAGTCCCTGGTTGGGAGCACAAGGACACCTCATTAATTCTCAAATTAATGACCAAATTTTGAAATTATTTCACTAAGAAACTGGAAAAATGAATTATGGGAAGACAATATTTTAAATATTTACCCTAATTTATCCTGAGATTATATATATATATAAAAATATAATTATTATATAATTTATCCTCAAGAGAGATATATGTTTTTATATATATATATATATATATATATATATTTATATGTTTTCTGATCCACTGTCAGAAAACAACTGTTAATACAGAGAACCCACATTACTCCAAAAGTGCTCCAAAGTTCAGCTGGTGAGAGAGAGAGAACGAGATCGAGCACATGGGATTAAGAGCGAGCCATTTCCAAGGAATTTCATCTCACTTCCCACATGAGTGAGAGTCCTCCTAATGTTACAGGATCTTTGGGGTGTTGGTTTTCTGGCTGGAAACCTCTGTGGCCAGTGGTGCCTTTGCCCGTGTTTTGTTCAGGCCTGCTGGGCTTGTTCCGCCCACTCAGCCTGGCAGGCTGAGCTCGGCTTACATTACGGGCCTGGATCCCATGCCTGCCAAGGCCAAGTCAGGTATGGAGCAGCAAGGGGTATGTAAGCATGGGGCCCAACCACTGCAGTTACACACACCAGCTGCTGCAGTGGGGTAGGCAGCTCCAAGTGCTGGCATGGGTGCGGGCTCTCTGCAAGGCTGCAGCTGGACCAGGCATGCATGCAAGCAGCTTCCACGGCTGCCAGTGCGGAAGACGGTAGTGCCCAGAAGCTTAGAGATGCTAGGAACTGCAGGACCCCAAAGAGGGAGTCACAGCCCTGACTCAGGGAACTCCCAGGTCTGGGTTCCCTGAAGGGCTGCAGGTCTTCTCTCCTTCGCGCACAATGTGGTGAGCAAGGGGCATTTCAGCCCTGTTTGTTATAGCTCTTTTAGCCTCACCATTTGGCGGGTCCTGAGTTCTTGTCCTGTGGCCAGGAAGAATGAAGTATGTGGACAAGTGGAGGATGAGCAAGATGAAGAGGAGCTTTATCGAGTGATAGAACAGCTCAGAGGAGACCTGCAGGGAGTACCTCCTTTCCGCAGCCAGGGTGTTCCGATAAGTGTTCAGCTCCTAGCAGAGAGGGTAGCTGCTCTCTCCAGGCAGGTCATCCCAAGTGTTCAGCTATCAGCAGAGAGGGTAGCTCTTCTCTGCAGCTGGTTGTCCCATTGTCTCTGCTCTGCTTTGGCTGAGCCCAGGGCCTTTCTGGGCCTCAGGAGGGAGAAACTGAATATGCCAATTGGTCCGTGGGCAGCCATAGGTGGGACCAGAAAAGGCACAAGTTCCCATTCCAGTCAGGTCCACAGAACTGGCAGCCCAGCCCCCAGCTTCCAGGCCGTCCGTGGCCTGAAGGTGGGGCCTCACCAGGGACCCGCCCCTTTCTGCCCAGGAGCCTGTCTGCCTCCTGCAGCCATCCATGGTGCCCAGACTGCTTGACCAAGGGGCACCTGCAGGTCAGCACCGAGACACCCTTAGCCTCCCCCTCAGTTTCCCCTCCCCTCCACCAGTGCTTGTTGGTGCCCAAAGTCCAGAGGGGGCCGACGTGGCAGGAGGCTGGCTTTTCAGTGCTGCCCCAAGTGTGCACACACCCTGCTGAGCTGTGACAATGCCCAGCTTCGGCTCCAACCCCACTCTGAGATCTGGCTCCCGAGGGTGCACAGTGCGGATACCCAGGTCCTGTGCCTGGGAAGGCGAGTCTCCCACCTGCTCCATGGACGTGCAGGCGGCTCTGGCCATGCCTCCTCGCAGTCTGGGGTAGGGGTTCAGGTTCCTTGCTGGGCCCATGCTGGCATCTGAGGCAAGAGTGACGTCACCACAAGTTCTTCCTGTGGTCCCAGTGCTCAGGGGTGGCCTAGGGCTCTCCCTTGCCTGGCTCACAGCCCTGCCCAGCAGGAGTGCCTCCAGGAGCGGATTGCAGGCCCTGGGCCTGGTCCTAGGGAGCATCAGGCTCAGAGGTCACCCCGCTATGAGGCAGACCCTGGGGATCCGGCCCTGGGAAATCCTGCGCAGAGCCTCCTCCCAAGGCGCAGGAATCCGGCGCCAGTCAGCAGGAAGGGTGCGGTGGCCGTGCCACTGGCTGTGTCCCCAAAGTGAGCACCGCTCCCACTTCCCACTCCAGGCCCCCAAAGGACAGCCCCAGCTCCGCACCCCAGGCGCGGCCCCCGTGCTCCATGTGCAAGCATGGCACCACCCCGGGCCCAGCTCCGCCTGTGGCCCTTCTCTGCCTGGTCCTCCATGCACAATCACGCTGCTCCCCCGCCGGCAGGCAACTCAACCTGGCCACATTGCGGCGGCCCCCCGGGAGACAGGCTCCAGGGGTATCCCTGCAGCAGGCTCCAGGGACTCTCCGCCCTCCTGGCAACAGCAAGCAACAGTGGTGGTAACGCGGACCAGGGTCCAGAGCAGTGGTGGCTCCAGGCCTGGAGGCAGGCCCCACTCGGCCACACAGGGGTGGGGGCGGCGCAGTCGGCTGCCACAGGGACACGGGGCACAGGGAACGTGGGGCACAGGGGTCTCACCATCACCACGGCTGCTCCTGCAGCCACCACTCACACCTCCCTGCTACGGCCGGCACAATGGCAGCAGCCACTCCAGACGGCCCACTGCTGCCATCACTAGGTACCAATGTGTTTCCATCACTATTTCCCTCATGCTGACACCTTCCTGTGGAGGTGTCATTTTCTAATAAGCAATATTTTCCCACATCAGCTGGGATTCATAACATTTTGAAAAACAAATTACAATTTGAAGGTGGGGGACACCTTTTTATGGACATTACACTTTACTAAATATTTCCCTGGGTTTCTCTATAACTAAAAATAAAAACTATAAGGAGATACAAAATTTCTTAAGTGATCATAACTGGAAAGCAAAATTGCAGAAGCTACTGATTTTCTTGCTTACTCTAATTTTTCTATGATGATCATGCATTGCTTTGTGTATTAATTTGTCTTCACACTGCTGTAAAGAACTACCTGAGACTGGGTAACATATAAAGAAAAGAGGTTTGACTCACAGTTCCGCATGGCTGGGGAGGCCTCACAAAACTTCATCATGGCAGAAGGTGAAGGGAAAGCAAAGCACATCTTAACACGGTGGCAGGAAAGTGAGCGAGCAAGGGGGTAAATGCCAAACACTTTTAAACCATCAGACCTCGTGCAAACTCATGAAAACAGCATGGGGGAAACCATCCCCCATGATCCAACCACCTCCCACCAGGTACCTCCCTCAACACGTAGGGATTACAATTTGAGATGAGATTTGGGTGGGTGGGGACACAGAGCCAAACCGTCTATCATTTTGCATGATTTTTAGCATTCTAAGATCAAAAAGAAAAACATCACTTTCAAAGTACATGAATGATACCAATAATAGAAAAGAATATGACATTTTATTTTCACTTATGGACATACAGTACATGAATTTAGAAATAAAATCGTCGCAGGATTCTGAAATACTGATACCTTAAGATCTAACACACTGATATTAGTCCATTCCCTACAAAGCAGCCACATTAGCAGTTCAGATTTGGTCTTTGTTGTAGCTGTTGACATTAAGTTCTTTAAGTGAAATGCCCAGCAGCATTTAAATAATATTTTACAGCAGACATGAACTAAGTTTCAATATTCCATCTTTGGAACAAATTATGCTTATTTACATGTTAACAGGTGGCTATATTTACTTACCCTATTGTGAGTTTAATGACTGATTTTAAACTACAGAGGGTTTTCCAGCTATTATTTCCTTTAGTTTCTAAAAGTAACGACTTATATTAATGTTTTATAAAAGATAGTGATGAAAAAAAGGTAATGCTGAAATAAAGGCGCTTTTAGAAATATTTAAGGACAACATAAGGTATTAATATTGGAAAAAAACTGTACATATTTTCAAGCACAACACTGAAATATTGCAGCAGTGTTTAACTGAATTATTTAAAATAGTGGTAATTATACTACCTTACATACCGTTCTAATATTTAAATCTCTTAATTACAATTTGAATATACAATCTGACTTACAATTAGAACTATGCACAGTTTCCGAAGCATATTTTTCAGGTTTGTTTTTGCACAAAAATTAACGTTTAAGTTGGTCCTTGATTTGGAGTACTATAACTACCTGGAAGCACTAAGTTTTAGACACATTCATTGATAGCCAACAAAATCCTTGACAGAGTGAAAAACATCAAGAGTACCATGCGTGAAAAAGCAGCTGTTACCCTCCAAGTGCAATATGAAATCTAGAACAAGACCCTCTCAGAGGCCTGCGTGTCTCAATGAGTGACCCTCAAAGAAACCAAAATGTATAGGAGGAAGTAGCTGACCAGTCATGGGCATCTTCCACATTGGGATAATCTTTAAAACAGAGGCAGCTTTGGACCTCTAGCGTAAGAGATAGACTTTACATTCTTTGATTTTATTTACACTTTTTTAAAAAGATAAAGTATATCTGAATTCTCTCATCACACCTAAACTGCTGGTGCACTGGCAGTTCAAGCTGATTAAAGTCATGAGGCAGCCCACCAGAGACTTTAAAGAACCCCAGACCTCATCCTCCTCTTTCCTATCATGAAGTCACAGACTGTCTCATCAAACTACTTGATGTCTGTAAGAGACTTACATTTTATAAACACAGTTAGCTTATTACTGAACTTTTAAGAAAAGTCCAAAGATGTGTGGAAAAGTATGCCTGCTAATAGTGACCGCTTCTACAATGACAATAATGAAACTGAGCTACAAAAATAATTTTGCTGTTTTAAATAATGAAAGGAGCTAGGTTTTTAAAATATATTACTTATTCTGCAACAGCTAATTAAATTGACAATCAATAGAATACAATGAACAGATTCAGCTTCCATTCTGCAAGCTGAATTCAGGTTATATTTTAATTACAGAATAGCTTCAAATTATAAATCTAACTGTCCCAATAGTAAAGAGACCATCAAGGCAGTAACATCAGATCAATTCTGTCATCATCCTGCATGGAGCACAAGATGTGCTTTTGGATAAAGGCATTAAAAAGACCTTGGGCTGATGTGGAAAGCGGGTCAGTAAAGACTCCAGTTCTGCACAATGGAATCTTCCAAGCCAAGCCGCTTTCCACAAATACAAATTCAGTCTATCTTTTCTTTCTGGACCAGTCTGGGAGCATCGACAAAATCTTTGCCATTGTAAAGAATGATAAAAAATGTTCCAATGCTTGCAACTCCCCAGAAGAGCACATAGGCCAGTGTTTCTGTCCAAGTGTCACCTGTTGATATTAAGAAACAAAAAGCTAAATAAGTCGTTTGTTGATATCAGACCCAGTTTTCAGCTGTTTAGCACATTTTGGCAACATTAAAGTTTACTAGCACATTCACAGGAAAAATATAAGAACCTCTTAATTAAGGTTTAAACCAGTGGTTCTCAAACCCTGGCTAGTACCAGAATCTTCTGCAGGGCTTGATAAAGCATCAACTGTTGGGCCCCAGGAATCTGCATTCTAGCAAGTTCCTAGTACCCAGGTGATGCTGATGCTACCGATCAAGAGGCTACACTTTGAGAACCACTGGACTAAATGATTTCATATTATATTATACAAATAATAATGATCACTTTTAGTATATTTTAATAATACAAATAACTATTAAGTTTAATTCATAGTTCTATAACAGATATGAGCTATTGTCAAAACACCTGCACAAAAAATTAATAGAATATTCATAAATACCAAACATAAGTTATACATAACTTTTCTGAAGTTATGTATATTTTGTAGAGTATTTTTTGCATATACACAAATATATAAAACAAAAGTCAATAACATTTTCTTTAGAGATGGGGTCTTGCTGTGTTGCCCAGGCTAGAGTGCAGTGGCTATTCACAAGCACCATTCCACTACTGATCAGCATGAAAGTTTTGTCCTGCTGTTTCCAACCTGTACTAGTTCACCATTCCTTAGGCAACCTGGTGATCTCCTGCTCAAAGAGGTCACCATATTGATGCTGAACTTAGTGCGGACATCCGATCAGCATAACACACTACAGACCAGAACTCCTGGGCTCAAGTGATCCTCCCACTTCAGCCTCCTGAGTAGCTGGGACTATAGGCACACACCACAGCACCCAGCCAATAACCTATTTTAATGACATATTTAACCCAACTCTGCTGATATGCATTTTCCAAAGTCCGAAGTTCATAAAGGTTAGCAGCAAGCCGGTGGGCAAAGATCTACTTTGTTTTACTCCTTGAATAGCTGAACCTAGAGAATAGCTTCTCTCTCTGCAACACTACTGGCCTCATTTGCAGAAGGAGAAATACATACAGGGAATGACAGCCAGTGAGCACACCACGGAAGAAACTAGCATCCAGACTCCTTCCTAACAAGCCCTCAGAGATCATGCTACATTTGTTTTCTATTCTCTTTGAAAACCACAGCAGGAGCTAGAAATCAGATATTACCATAACCAAACATCACAAAGTTTATCATAAGAATAAACTGACATGAGAAGTTACCATCCACAGCATCCAATCTCTTTTTACTCAAAATATACTCGAATTTGCATAATTGCTCATTTTCATGGCTCTGAAGTTTAAAATTCTTCTTGGACAAAAGAAGAAGGGCAGTTCCTTGTTAGCCACTCTGCTGGACACTCCCTAAAGGAATCATCCGTTTCATTCAAGCAGAGTTCTTGGTCTTGACTTTCCTGCCTCTCCAGAGGTTCTTTAAGTAAATGTGGGTATAGTCACAACAACAAAATGAACTAATTTAACAGTAGAGTGGCTCCCCAAAAATGGCATGCGCTGGGCAGTGTTTTCAGGAAAGAAGGCAGAGGACCCAGAGAGGAAATGAAAGCAGGGCTGGCCGCTGAGGAACCGGCACATGCTGCCTCTTCCTTCCTGCCCTAAAACCTGCAGTCATGTCCCAGGCAATACCTGTGCTTCAACCTGTTTTTGTATTGTAAGGTAAGAATGCTTTTTACATTTTTAAATGGTTATAAACACAAAAACAAAGAATGTACAGCCATCCATAAAGACAAAAATATTTACTACCTGGCTCTTTACAGAAAAATTTTGCTAACTATAATAATAATAAGATGGCTCTTTCTTTCCCCCTACTCAACATTTCAGCATTTAGTTAAAACTATGTCACGACTGTCTACAGGGCTGAGCACTGAGGGGAATACAGAGATGAACAGGTAACTGAGCCTCCCTATCAAAAAGGTGACAGAATTAGTGGTGGTGGTGGAGTGAGTCCTTAATTCAGCAAACATTTACTGAGGGCTCACTATATCCTGGACAAAGGAGATAAAACAATGAGTAAGACACAGTCTTTACCTTCAAAAAGTTGCTGATCCAGTGAAAAAAACAAACAAGTATGCAAATCATTACCATCCAAAAAGAAATACACACTGGGTATGTCAGGTACACCAAAGAGGTATACCACCTCTGAAAAATAACTCCCTATGTATTAATGAGGTTAAAAGAGGAAAGTGCTGGGAGAGAGGACCAGGAGTGCTGTGGAAATCCAGACAGAAGGTGAAGACTTCTGTGTGGGAGAGACACTCTGTGAGAGGGGAGCATATGAATGGTGCCCTGAGGATGGTGGAATTCAGACAGGCAGAGAGAGGTTGGCTCAACGAATTCAGGATAGAGGATGAAGGCTGGAAGGTGCCTCTTCTTTCAGAGTGACTAGGATTGCATCTCCAACGTCCAATACACCAAGTCTCAGACTCAAACCTCCAAATTACAGGACATTACTCAAAGGAGAATAAAGAATACATTCTTCTCACTTTAATCTTAAATGCTTTATTAACTCAGTAACATAGCAAAATATTAAGAGAAAAAAGAAAACCAGTAAAGACCTTGTCTCCTCAGGTTCTCAGGCAATTTTACTCTCAACCTTTAAAATGTAATGATAAGTAATATCTTAATCCATTAACATTTATTTGAGTTGGTTAAACTATACATCCATAAATGGAATACTTTGCAGCCATTAGCAATTAAGAACATGGGAAAACATACTGCTCAGTGAAAAAAAGCAGATAATGAAAATACGTATCTCACTTTTGAAAAAAAATCACAGACACTTATAAAGATTAAAACATCAAAATGTTAAGAGTGGTTAGCTTCTCTCTCAAAGGTATGATGATAAATAATATTTTCTCCTTTTCTGCCTACGTGTGCTTTCTATAATTACTATGTATTACTTTGGTAATGTGAAAGGAAAATAAAATCTCAGGACTCCAAATTTACTATGCCAAAGGAAAAAGTTAAACTTGGGAACTGAGTCTCACAAAACTACCCTCCTTTTGTTCCTAAGTAGACAGCTGCAAAGATAGTGGGCCACATATCCTCACAGATGGCCACCCTCACAAACTGTCACAAGCAAATTCCTTGTGGGCCCCAAAATCTTTACCCTAAAAGACAGTCCTGTTGAATCTCCCTCACCCTGACAATGTAAATTAACAGTTTATTTTCACAGGTATGGGACAAAGACAAGACTAGAAAATCATCCCTCCGCCCACCCCAAAACAAATGCAGATCTGACTTCTTTATCTACTCTATGTTTACTTTGTCTTACATAAAATGCAGATTTACTGAGCAGGAGATGAATGCATAATTGACTGTTCCTCTACCCCGTCCTTTCACATGTAACATGGATTCAGTGAGTGCTAATCAAAGCCTCACAAGAATGTGACCACTTATCTTACTACCTACCCTCCCCTTTTGTTTCCATTCCTCCTTCCTCTCCTGTACACTCTTTCCCCATTTAATACTGAAGTCCTTAAAACCCTCTTTGGAAAAAGCACAAGATACTGATCCTACTGTATCTTGTGTCTCTTTTTCCTGGGCAGGTCCTCAACCTTGGCAAATTAAGCCTCTAAACTGACTGAGACCTGTCTCAGACACTCATTGGTTTACAGTAATAAGAAAAACATGTTTTTAAAATCTGAGGTTAAAAAAAACGACAACCATCAAACTACTAGGTATGTTATTTTTCTTCCTGTCACATCTAATGACAATCTAATGTCACATCCACTTTACCCATTAAATTTAATAGGGAAACATCAAGTGTTCGGTGAACTCAAAAACTTAAGATGTTGTAAAAGAAAGGTCAACATTCTAACTAAGAAACAAATGTGTGGAGCAGACTTACCAGCCATAAGCAAACAGATAATGCACATTGAAAAGGCAACAACCATGATAATAGGCAACTGGAAAAGACAATAGAAAGAGATCATCATTTAAGAATGCTAATCAATGGCAGCAAAATCAGTTGTGCATGCATTGCTTGGGAAAAGAATAAAACTCATCTGTCAGCTAATACACAGCTAATATCTTTTGTCAACAAAACATTATTATTTATGGGTTCAATCACAACTGCCCTAGACTTTAGATGGGGGATGTGGTAAGATCGGAAGAAGCATGCTTTTGCTCCAAGCCAAAGGGTGCTAAATGGAAGGAGGATGCCCAGATGAGGACCTAGAACACTAGGCCTCCCTTCCATTCCAGAGCACTTGACACACTGGAAAGAAAATCCAGAGCGGCTCTTGCAGGGTCTGGTGAACAGAGGAGTCAAAAAGGAGAGAAGCATCAAAAATAAACTTTGCCTTCCATGTAACACGTTTGTCTCTGGCAATTCCCTCAATGTAAGAGAATTGAAGTTTTCCTGAAATGAGAAAGCTTCCACATTCCCTTTGCTTATGTTACTTCACATGAAAAGGATGTGTGAGAGTCTGAGGAAAAGAAAACAAATGCTCCACAGTTACTGTACTCCTCAGCCTGACCTCTTTGGAAAACTTAAGTATTTATATTTCATGTAATGAAATATAAAACCACATATAACGTTTTAAATTGAGACTGAAACCATCTATACCTTCAGACACAATGCTTTTAAAAACTTGAAAAATACAAAATGGTTTCTTACAGCCAGGAATTTCCAGTCCCTTGGAACACTTAAAGGACTATGAGATTCTAATTCATCCACTGAATAGTTTCCAAGAAATAAGTCTATGGAATCCTAGAACAGAAAGGAAGAAATTCGTAAACTCAGTGTGAGATAACATTAGTGATGAACAATGCAAAGATACAACCACGTAATGCCAGGAAAGCATCAAATACAAACTTACTTGTCTAAATCCATCGGAAAAGTTGTTCTTATAATATCGTATCATTGAGTTCCAGCCATCCATTATAAGTCCCAAATGAGTTCTCTTTCCAGTTCTGGTTAAAGAGGTTAAATTTTAAGTTACAGGTTTGTACACTGAATTCTCACACTGTTTTATGGCCAATAAGCATAAGGTATAGAAATAAGTGAGTGACAGATTTTAAAAACTATCCCTGAAAATACAGATACTTCACAAAAGAAATCACTTGTAGGTCCAAGAAATACCTATTTTCTTTCTAAAATATTACCAAAGGAGGCACAAAGAAACACACTAATTCCAGTTGCAAAGACAAGAAATATGAAGAGAAATACATAGCCCAGGTTAAGTGGTAGGACACAGCAAAGCAAACAGACTAGAAATCTTATTCTGCTCCCAGGGAACCCACATAGCAGAAAAAGAGCCACTGCATGCATAATACATTCAAAATGTTCTCATTAATGTCCTCATTACTCAGTGCAGTCTTTGAAAGCAGCATCAGCATCACCTGGGTGCTTTTTAGAGCACATCTCAAGACTGGTGCTTCAGGTACACGGTAAGGTCTGAGGAGCACTGTGGAGCGGTGGCTCTCAACCCTCCCCAAGCATCAGAATCTCCCAGGGTGGCTAAGAACACACCAGTACCCGGGCCTCACTTCCCAGAAATCCTGACTCCACAGGTCTCAAGTGAGGCCCAGATGCTGGAGTCTTGCTGTTGTTGCTGCTGCTGTCTGAAAGCTGCCCAGGTGATTTTTAAAAGCACCAGGACTGTGAACTACTGATGTGGAATGCTATTTTAAAAGCATGGCTTGCCTGGTAAAGTCAGTCTTCAAGGCACCAGTTCCCGCATATTGCTTGGCACAAGCATTTGCGTTGTCAGCCCAGGCTGTAGAAAAAAGTAAAAACAGCTGATAATTATTAAGATGACAAACAAAGTTCTAAATCCAGAATATTAATTTATTTCAAAATCTGACCAACTTTGTCTATATTAAAGAAATGACCTACCATTTTTGTAAATCTTCTCAAATTCATCTTGTTCTTCAAGCTTTTGTCCCACATGCAAAACTCCTAGTCTCTGGAATAAAAAACCACACCCAGATTTATGTGTAATAGATTTTAGCAGACATGGTTTAGGAAGAAAAAGCAGTCCCCAAATTTTATCTCATGGTGCCTGGTTGCTGGATGCAGGCCAGAAATGTCTGTTGTCTATAGGGGGCCCCAGCTCACAGCAGCCCTCTCCTGCCCAGGGCAGACTGCAAAGCCTCTCCTGAGGGCACCTTTGCCTTGCAGCCCCCGCACTCCCTTGAGGGATAGCAGCAGGACTATACTCAGGGAGAGGGTCAGAAGAGAGAGTGAAAGCTGCTATAGGATTCCAGCCGCTACTTCCTCCCTCCCTCTTACCCCCAGTCTTCTACTGCCTCTACCCCTTGAGACCCCCTCACATGCATCATCCCTCAACTTCTTCACCCCTGAGTCACCCCAGCCTTACCCTCTGTCCCAGGGACCTTTAAGAATCTGATGAGTGCCACCTAATCTACCTCCCCAAAAGTGCACACACACAGACATAGAATATCCCAGGGTTGCTGGGCCCCCTGAATCCCCTCTATAGACTCCCCTTTGGAGACCACCAACCACAGATGACAAGTCCCTGCCTTGTCTCAGACCATCACTTCTGAGAACCACCATCTTCATTGCTTACCTCAGATGACACCTCATCTCCACCTCAGAAGGAGTCATTCCCACCCTCAGACACAGCACAGGAGCCACCTTGGTGACCTTTAGCTGGGTAAGAACTCTGCCTTCACTGGCAGACTTGGAGAGGCACAAGTAGACAGCCCCTACACTAGTAGGCAAAGCTGCTGGAGAGGCTCCTGCCCCCACTCTCTGCAGGTTGGTTAGGTTTCATAATACTATATATAGCATGTAAAATTGTAAAATATGGATTGCAGAGCCTAGTCAAGTAAGTTTTGGTTAATCAGCCATGGAACCAAACCATTCCTAATATTGTTTCTATTAAAAACTACACTTAGAAGACCTTCCAACAGACGAGGACATAGCACAATACAAACTACAGACTACTCCAACAGGGACAGCACTCCTCTGGCAGGTGTGACTTTAAGATTCAAGAACAATTCATTCTGAAGGGGGTATTTTACCTCCATAATTTCTTTCTCGGTATCATACAATTGTCAGAAATAAAGCTGAATGCTTACTAATTACCTGAACAGGAAACCATGTGGTATGCATTTTGTCTGCCCCTCACAACAAATGCCAATGTGATTTAAAAATTGGGGCTCTACATCTTTTTCATTCCAAATATACACAGAAGAAAAAAACCATTTTTCTCAACAGCATAGTCTAGTGGTAAAGCAAAGCTGTGTCAGAAACTTTTTACTTTGGAGTCAATATTCCTTGCTAGTAATAAGAGAGAGATAAATAGAAACAATCTTGAGGTGCTACTTTTGTATTAACGAAATAGAAAAAAAAGAGGCTAGACACAGTGGCTCAAGCCTGTAATCCCAGCACTTTGGGAGCTGAGGCAGGTAGACTGCTTGAGCCCAGGGGTTTGAGACCAACCTGGGCAACATGGTGAAATCCTGTCTCTACAAAAAAAAATACAAAAATTAGCCAGGTGTGGTGGCACATGCCTGTAGCCCCAGCTTTGTGGGAGGCTGAGTTAGTAGGATGGCTTGAGCCCAGGAGGCAGAGGTTGCAGCAAGCCGAGACTGCACCACTGCACTCCAGCCTGGGCAACAGAGCCAGACACTTTCTCAAGGAAAAACAAAAAAAAAATTAAAATATCAAATGCTGGGAAGAGTTCAATGAAATGGATTTACTGATTCATTATTGGTGTCAGTGTAAACTGGTATGACGCTCTTGGAAAATAATATATTTATTCTCTTTAACCCAGTAATTCCACTTCTAGGAATTAACATGAAGGAAATAATTCAAGTTAATAATAACATATACAGATATATTCTCTACGGTGTTATTTATAAACCAAAAATGTAGCAATCTGAATGGCTTAGTAAATTACGGCACAACAATACAACCACCAGAAACTGTGATTACATAAATGCTAAGGGAAAATGGCAAAAGTGAAAACTGTGCATACACAGACTGACCCTAGTTATGGAAAATGTGACATCCATGGGCAAGACACAAAAATAAAAAGAGCTGGGTTAGGGTGTGGGCAATGTGAATATTTTTTGTTACTGGGTTTTAAAGATGTTTAATTTTTTGCTGTGTTGTTTTTCAATTAAAAAAAAAAAAAGCATTCGCACCTGAAGTTGGGCCTGAAGTGAACGACGAGCTAACAAACTCTGGATCACATTGGTTCTATCTAGACAATCCATGCAATTGCTTCGGAACACGCCTTCCTGGTTTGCCACCACCTGGCCAGCAGAGTCCACTAGAAAATAACTAAAACATATTTGTATAAACACTCTCATACCAAAGTAGGTCAGATTTACTAAGGACTTAACTCTTATAACATGGGTCTCATTTCAGTGACATTATTAAAAACTGTAAATTAAAAGGTCAGACAGGAATGTGTGGTCAGGCATATGTGATTATCCTAGACCAAAAAGAAGTCTAAATGGCTGAGGCAAGACAGCCCTCCATCCAAAAAATGGCTGAAGATTAGAGATCATCTCACCCCAAAGATGTGAAAAAGTAAAGTTAAGAGTATTAAAAAGGTTGCTGTGCAAATCAATCATGTTTCCCAAAGCCAGATGAGGGTTTCCTCTAACATAATTATTCCAACTATATCCCTAGATGTCAGGGCTTTATGATTCATATACTATCTTTAGAATCCTCTGGGTTGCTTGTGAAAAAAGATTCCTGGCCTTGAGATCAACTGAATCAGAATCTCTGAGGCAAGGATTGAATATTTTGCATTAAAAATACTTTTAGCTGGGCGTGGTGGTGCGTGCCTGTAATCCCAGCTACTTGGGAGGCTGAGGTGGAAGGATTACTTGAGCTCAGAAGTTCGAGACCAGCCTGGACAACATAACGAGTCCCTGCCTCTAAAAGAACAAAAACGTAGCCAGGCATGGTGGTGCCTACCTGTAGTCAGAAGGCTAAAGTGGGAGGATCACTTGAGCTCAAGGGTTAAAGGTTGCAGTGAACTATGATCACACCACTGCACTCCAGCCTGGGTGACAGAGCGATATCCTGTATCTAAATTAAAAAAAATTTTTTTTAAATACTTAAAAATATTTTTTTTCTTTTTCTTTTTTTTTTGAGATGGAATCTCCCTCCGTCACCCAGACTGAAGCACAGTGGCATGATCTCAGCTCACTCCAACCTCTGCCTCCCAGGTTCAAGTGATTCTCCTGCCTCGGCCTCCTGAGTAGCTGTGATTACAGGCACCCACCACCATGCCTGGCTAATTTTTGTATTTTTAGTACAGATAGGGTTTTGACATGTTGGCCAAGCTGGTCTTGAACTCCTGACCTCAGGTGATCCGTCTGCCTTGGCTTCCCAAAGTGCTGGGATTACAGGCGTGAGCCACAGCCCCCAGCCAAAAAAAAAAAAAAAAATTCTTAAATGGGTAATACATGCAAATAGTACAAGATTTATAAAGAACAATTGGGTATTATTTGAAAAATCAGTTTCCCTTCCTCCCCTTAAACATCCAGATGTCTGCACTGCAACCAACCACAGTTACCAGTTCCCATGTTTTCTTTAACAAGCTCCTTGATAATTCTATGAATTCAAAAATCTGACAACACACAGTGTGGTGGTTAAGAATATGGATGCAGGAAGCAAACTATCTGTTTGCTAGCCTTAGCATCATACGCAACTTACTAACTCTAGAACTTTAAATAGTAAGCTTTTTCATCCACAAAATGGAGGTAACAGCAGCACCACCATTAGGCTTCTCTAAGGTTTGAATGAGATAACACATAATGCACATAAAGTACTTAGCACAGTGTATGGAACACAGCAAACAACGAATACTGGATAATGTTAACTATTGAAACTATTCTCCAAAATCCAAAAGGAGGAAGAAAATGCAACAGATTCATCAAGGGCTAAATACAAATCATGACCTCAGGAACAAAAGCGTGGAAGAATGTGTTAGGATGAAAAATCTACATATGGATCATGCAGAATTGGTAAGGTTCGTTTAGAGTTGGTGTACATATATATGTGTGTGCAAGGGTGTGTGTGTCCGTACCCCATGAATACTTATAAAATCCTAGATATGTTATAAACATTATCGCTTAAACTATACAGTAAGTTATCATCTTCACTTTACAAATGAAGAAACCGAAGTCTGAAGATAACTAAGTGGCCCTGGGTCATATTACTACTAAGAGAAAAACTTAAATTCAAACCAAGGTGTGTTGGATCCCAAAGCCCAGATTCTTCCCACTACCCCCAAAACCCTTAGAAAAAAGTCTCGAGAGATCATCTGAAAGTCACCAGTGAAAGCTCTGCTCTCCCTGTGGACCACAGTGAACAGCAACGAACACAAACTCTGGAGTCAACTCTCCTTCTTTCTTACACTCTTGTACGGCAGCAGTTAATGGGTGAACCCAAGGAACTACCTCCTCCAACAACATGCCAGGGCCAGCCAATGTTTTCTCTAATTGCCCAACAACAGGAGGTCAATTTCCCTTCTGTGTTCATGGCAAAACGTCACAGAAAAAAAGCAGATTTAAATAACTGTAGTTGATTACCTAATGTATATAAAAAGATATTTTTGAAAACTGAGCAAATGTCTATCCAAGAGGTTTTACTATATTATTGTGTAACAAATTAAAAAGTGCATTTGGATTGCCAGGTTTAGAACCATCACACACAGGCAGAAGAAAATGGTAGTACGATTTACAGATTCCTTCTTCTGGCTTTAAAATCGGTAAAGACTGGCACGCATAGAGTATGGTAAACCTGAACCAATATGATAATATAGTACTGCAAAGACATTCAGACCCTTTGATCCATTAATCCTACTCTGAAGAATTTTTTTAAAGAAATAAATTTAACAGATGTAAAATATATATAATGATTCATGGCACCACAATCTTTCATGATAGAAAGAGGAAAGGAAATAAACCAGGTGCTCAGGGTGAAGAAAAGCACTTTCTTAGAACTATGTTATGATAAAACAGAATATAGAAAAGCCATTAAACACTATCATTACAGACGCTGTACAGGTTAACAACAAAATACTTGTGATAGAATGTCTAGTGGAAACGACAATACAAAATAGTAGTAAACCAAGTTCAATTATACAAAAATTTGTAAATGTAT
Organism: Homo sapiens; assembly: GCF_000001405.40. NCBI lineage: Eukaryota > Metazoa > Chordata > Mammalia > Primates > Hominidae > Homo > Homo sapiens. Next base: position 45,732,393 of record NC_000003.12, on the reverse strand, counting down.
GGTAGATAATTTATAAAAATATGAAGATATCTGGCCTTGGGTCATTTTTAAGAATTCAAAAATATTTTGAAGTCACCAAGTCTCATCTTTCCAGTAAAGAAATTAAAAATAATAAAATAGTACAGACAAGCAATGACAATCCAGTGAACTGTACTTGTAAGTCTGCTGGATGACGCATAATAAAATATGACTGATATATATACCTCTTCCCTCTACCTCCTTAAGGAAATAATATAGCTTACCTTAATTCATCTTGCATTTCTGCTACCTGATCCAATAAAATACTTAGTCGATCCCATCTCATATTTTTACATTCCTTATGGAAGTCAAAGGCAATGTATCTACCAAAAGAAAAGATATTCAGAAACCGACCAGAGATCATTCATTTTCCTTCTATTAATAATACCTTCATAAGCTGATTTTCCTCTTTATATCAGTGCATACATATTTCTTGGGAACACTAGAACCTCCTTCACTCTGGGTTTATCACTATACATATACTACATGCACACACACACCCCTTCTCATGCTCATACCTAGCAGAGGAAAAAATATATATATGATATGTGCAGATATAAACATGAAAATATATGCATATATATCTATCCTCACAGGTTCTTCTGGGGCCCTCAGGAGGAGTAGAGGAGAAACACAACAAATGGTAGTGAAGTAAGCTCAAGTACAGCAATCAGGTATGCACTGCAAAGAGGCCTAGTCCAAATTCCTTAAGGCAATTCTAGTGGCAAAGTATTATCTATGGAAACTCTCTGGAGCACAAAGCCTCAATGAGGGAATTTTAATCAGAGACTAAACTCAAAACTTGACTGAAAAGAAGTTATTCTGCAACATAAATTATGCTAGAGAAATTTCAAGCCAACAAAATATCATGCTTTGATCTACTATTGAAAAAAATGCAAGCTGAAACATATGTCTAGTGAGCTCTATGTAATCATGCATATATGTAAGTGCACATCTGATCTGAAAAGACCTGCAACAGATTTCTAGTGAGGTACCTCATCATTCCACTTCCCAAGGAAGACACCATTGTTGCAAATGTCTGCTCAAGTGGCTTCTCCGAGCCCTTCTGGTTAATCTGTAAAAAATTTCAAACACCATAGTTTCCAGTTTATTTCAAAGGAGAGAATGGTATCAGAAAAAGGACAAACTAGGAAGCTCTAAGCTCTCATCATTCTCCCACAGAAACATCAAAAAAACCCAGAAGCTGTCTGAGCCAACTTTGTAGGAGCTCTGAAAAACGATTAAAGGTTTTATAGTAACCCACCCAAGCACCCAATAAAGTAAAAGTCACTTTCAAAATGGTGGGAAAGTTTTGTGGCATTTAACTTGTCCTTGACCCAGCCCCTCCTCAGAGTGGTGACAACCTTAGTCTTACAAGGGAATAACCGGGTTCTCAGTTCCCCTCATCAAACTAGAGGAGGCAGACCAGACCTTATTTGCATATAATTGTGTACATCTGTTGTAACATGAAGGACTAACTCATCTCTGTCCCACGTATCTCTGAACACGGGCAGTAAAAATGGTGACCACTGTTTGTAAAAGCTACAAGAGGAACATAAACCAATGGATGCCTGAGGCAAAAAATTCTGGATGGAGACATACAATAGACCATCTAAAGGCTGGAGAAGAAGCTTGGTGATATTCTTAGGAAATTAGGACTTTCAAAAGCAGCCATGTATATGAAGGAGTTTTGAAGGCCACCCACATAACCAGGCAAGATGCATGCTGAAAAGAGTCCTGAGAAGACCTTAAACCTTTACCACAGACTGATCCCTAGGCTCACAGCAAGCCTGGCTACTCAGCAAAGGACTGCCCCAGCATACAGCAAGTCTGCAAAGAATGGGGGACAGGGTTGTTCTCTCATTTTTGCTTTCTTTTTTTGTTAGTTTGTCTATTTCAGTTCTTGGAATTCAATGAAACCTGTCAAAACAGCTGAATAGAAGCAAAAGGAACAGACCTCAGTGAACATACACAATAAGAAAGTTTTGGCAAAAATAGTTTGGAAAAGTCTCAAAAAAAAAAAAAATGGATTAGCAGAGTCTTTAACAATCAAATAAAACAAAAAAAACCCCAGCAAACCGTAGGGGAAAAGGAGACTCTGACTTCCAGAGTTATGATATTATAATAATCAAACATATAATTAAAAAAAAAATCACAGGTACAAAAATAAACAGAAAAACATGACTCATTCAATGGAACATAAGAAATTGACAGAAACTGTTCCTGTGGAAGCCAAGACAGGACTTGGCTTATTAGACAAAGACTAGACTTATTAGACAAAGACTTTAAAGCAACTGTCTTAAAAACACTCAAAGAGCTAAGGGGAAACACAGACAAACAACTAAAAGAAATCAGGAAAACAATACATAAACAAAATGAGGATATCAACAAAGATAGAAAAATTATTATAAGAAGCCAAAAAATAATTCTGGAGCAAAAGAGTACAAAAAGTGAAATAAAATATTTAGCACTATGGGAATTCCAGGAAGAGAGAGAGAAAGGCAGAGACAGATTATTTGAAGAAAAAAAAAATAGCCAAAACCTTCCCAAATGTGATGAAACATATGAATCTACAAACCCAAGCTCTGAACTCTAAGGAGACCCACACCAAAAACATTATAATCACATAGCTGAAAGACAAAAACGGAATCCTGAAAAGCAGCAAGAGAGAGGAGACTCATCACACACAAGAGATTCTCAATGGGATTATCCGCCAATTTCTCATTAGAAATCTTGGAGGCTGAAGACAGTGGGATCATATATTTTAAATGCTGGAAGAAGAAAAAACTGTCAACCAAGGATTCTGTATCTGGCAAAACGTCCTTTAAAAATGAAGGAAAAATTAAGACATTCCTAGATAAACAAAACCTGAGGTAGTTCATTATCATTAAACCCAATCTGTAAGAAATGCTAAAGGGAGTCCTTCAGGTTGAAATGAAAGGATGCTACACAGTAACTTGCAGCTATACAGAGATATAAAAATTTCCAACAGGCTGGGCATAGTAGCTCACACCTGTAATCCCAGCACTTTGGGAGGCCGAGGTGGGCAGATCACTTGAGGTCAGGAGTTCGAGACTAGCCTGGCCAACATGAAAACCCTGTCTCTGCCAAAAATAAAAAAATTAGCTGGGTGTGGTGGCCCACACCTGTAATCCCAGCTACTCAGGAGGCTGAGGCAGGAGAATCGCTTGAACCCAGGAGGCAGAGGTTGCAGTGAGCCGAGATTGTGCCACTGTACTCCAGCCTGGGTGACAGAATAAGACTCTGTCTCAAAAAATAAATAAATAAATAAATAAATAAATCCAAAAAGGTAAAGACAAGGGCAAATATAAAAGCCAGTATTATTGAAATCCTGGTCTGTAACTCCAATTTTTATTTCTACAGGATTTAAAAGTCAAATGCAGTCAGGAATGGTGGCTCACATCTGTAATCCTAGCACTTTGGTAGGCTGAGGCAAGAGGATGGCTTGAGGCCAGGAGTTCAAGACCAGCCTGGGCAATATAGTGAGACCCCCATCTCTATAAAAAACAAAAAAATTAGCCAAGCATGGTGGTATGTGCCTATAGTCCTAGCTGCTCAGGAAGCTGAAGTGGGAGGATTCCTTCAGCCCAGGAGTTCAAGATTACACAGAGCTATGATCATGCCACTGCACACAAGCCTGGGCAACAGAGTAAGACCTTTTCTCTAAAAAATAAATACATATATACATAAATAAGAGCCAACTGCATAAAAATAATTATATATTGATGTTACTGAAACACAATATATAAAGATGGAATTTGAAATGTCAACATAAAAAGGAAGCATGAAGGCTTTACAGGAGTAGAGCTTTTATATGCTTCTGGTATCAATCCAAATTAGATACTTATAACATTAGGATGTTATATGTAATCCTCATGGTAACCACAAAGAAAACAGCTATAGAATATACACAAACGAAAATGAGAAGGTAATCAAAATATATCACTACCAAAAAAAATCAACTAAGCACAATAAGAGACAGTAATGGAGGAAATGAGGAACAAAAAGCTATAGGACACACAGAAAACAAGTAACAAAATAGCAGAAGTAAATCCTTATCAGTAATTACTTTAAATGCAAATGGATTAACTCTCCAGTAAAAATAAGTAGACTGGCAAAATGGAAAAAAATATGATCTAACTACATGCTGTCTCTAAGAGATTCATGTTAGACCTAAAGACACATATAGGTTGAAAGAGAAAGGATGAAAAAAGATATTTTGTGCAAATAGTAATCAAAAAAGAGCTGGAATAACTACACTAGTATCAGACAAAATACACTCTAAGTGAAACATTGTTACAAAAGACAAAAAAAGAACATTGTTTATTGATTAAATGGTCAATTTTCCAAGAAGATACAATTATAAACATATATGCAACAAACCATGACCGCCTGAAAATATAATGAAGCACACTGACAGAACTGAAGGGAGAAACAGAAAATTATATAATAATAGTAGAGGCTGGGCGCAGTGGCTCACGCCTGTAATCCCAGCACTTTGGAAGGCCGAGGCGGGCAGATCACGAGGTCAGGAGATTGAGACCACCCTGGCTAACACGGTAAAGCCCCATCTCTACTAAAAATACAAAAAATCAGCCAGGTGTGGTGGTGGGCGCCTGTAGTCCCAGCTACTCGGGAGGCTGAGGCAGGAGAATGGTGCAAACCAGGGAGGCATGCCACTGCACTCCAGCCTGGGTGACAGAGTGAGACACCATCTCCAAAAATAAATAAATAAAAAATTTAAAAAAATTGTAGGAAACTTCAATACCCTACTTTCAACAACAGAACAATCAGACAGAGATGAATAAGAAAATAGAGAATTTAAACACCATCATAAACCAATCAGACCATATTACTGTACCCAACAGCAGCAGAATACACATTTTTTTACAAGTACACATGAAATATTCTCTAAGACAAACTATATCTAGGCCAAAAAACAAGTTTTAACACATTTTTAAAAATTCAAATCACATTAAGTATATATTCTGATCACAACAGAAAGCTAAAAATCAAGAATAGAAGGAAAACTAGAAATTTCACAAACATGTGAAAAACAAACAACATACTGAACCACTGGTTCAAAGAAAAAATCCCAGCAAGAGAACTTAGAAAATACCTGAGACAAATGAAAACAAAAATACAATATACCAAATGTATGAAATAAAGCGGCCGGGCGCGGTGGCTCACGCCTGTAATCCCAGCACTTTGGGAGGCCGAGGCGGGTGGATCATGAGGTCAGGAGATCGAGACCATCCTGGCTAACAAGGTGAAACCCCGTCTCTACTAAAAATACAAAAAATTAGCCGGGCGCGGTGGCGGGCGCCTGTAGTCCCAGCTACTCGGGAGGCTGAGGCAGGAGAATGGCGTGAACCCGGGAAGCGGAGCTTGCAGTGAGCCGAGATTGCGCCACTGCAGTCCGCAGTCCGGCCTGGGTGACAGAGCGAGACTCCGTCTCAAAAAAAAAAAAAAAAAAAAAAAAAAAGAAATAAAGCAAAAGCAGTGCTGAGGAAAATTTGTCGCTGTAAATGCACACATTAAAAAAGAAAACCTCAAAGCAATAACCTAATTTTACACTTTAAGGAACAAGAAAAAGAAGAGCAAACTAAACCCAAAGCTACCGGAGGAAATAATAAAAATCAGAGTAGAGATAAATAAAATAGAAAATATAAAAACAATAAAGTCAATAAAACTAAAAGTTGAACTTTGAAAAGATCAACAAAATTCACAAACTCTTAGCTAGACTGACCAAAACAAAACAAAAGACTCAAATTACTAAAATCAAGAGTGACAGTGGACATTACTAGCAATTTCTGAGAAATAAAAAGGATCTAAGAGAATACTATGAACAACTGTATGCCAACAAGTAGGATAACCCAGATTGGCAAATTCCTAGACATATAACCTGCCAAAACTGAATCATGAAAAAATAGAAAATCTAAATAGACCAATACATAGTAAGGAGATTGAATCAGTAATGAAAACGAACAGAAAAAAAAAAAGTCTCCTAACAAAGAAAAGCCTGGACTAGATGGCTTTACTAGTGAACTCACCAGTGAATTGTACCAAAATTTAGAGAATTAACACCAGTCTTCCTCAAACTCTACCAAAAAGCTGAAGAAGAGAGAACACTTTCTAACTTATTCTGTAAAGATAAGATTATCCTGATATCAAAACCAAACAAAGATATTACAAGAAAACTACAGGCCAATATCCTTTATGAATATTAATGTAAAAATCCCCAGCCAAACACTAGCACACCAAATTCTGCAGCATATTTAAAAAGTATATACCATGACCAAAAGGATTTATTCCCACAATGTAAGGCTGGTTCAATACACAAAAATCCATCAGTATAACATACCACATTAGTAGAATGAAGGGAAAAAAAACAAACGAGCATCTCGATTGATACAGAAAAGTATTTGACAAAATTCAACACCTCTTCTTGATAAAAACACTCAACTGGATAACTTAGAAAAAGAAGAAAAGTTCCTCAGCATAAAGGCCATTATGTGAAAAACCCACAGCTAGTATCATATTTAATGATGAAAGACCAAAAGCTTTTCTCCTAAGAAAAGGAATAAGACAAGGATGCTTGCTTTCACAATTTCTGTTCAACATAGTATTAGTAGTTCTAGCAACACCAATTAGGCAAGAAAAAAAAAAAGGGCATCCAAATTGGAAAGGAAGCATAAAATTATCTCTGTTCACAGGTGACACGATCTTATATATAGAAAACCCTAAAAATTCTGCAAAATATCAATTGGAGATAAGAAATTCAACAAAGTTGGAGCATACAAAAATCAAGACACAATAATCAGTTGCATTTCTATATACTAACAATGAAATATCCAAAAAGGAAAGTACAAAAACAATTTCATTTACACTAACGAAAAACAAACAAACAAAAAAACACCATTCAGGCATAAATACTCAAAAATAAATTTAAACAAGGAGGTGAAATGCATGTACACTGAAAACTGCAAAATATTGCTGAAATTTTTTAAAACATAAATAAATAAAAAGACATCTGAGTTGATGGACTAACAATATTATTAAGACGACAGTACTAGTCAAAGTGATCAATCTGTCAATTCAATGCAATTGCTACTAAAATCCCAATGACATTGTTTGCAGAAATAGAAAAACCAAGCCTAAAATTCATAAGCAATCTCAAGGGATCTCAAGTAGCCAAAATAATCTTGCAAAAGGAGAAGGAAGTTGGAATTATCACACTTCCCGATTTTAAAACTTATTACACAAAGCTGTAGTAACCAAAATAGTGTGATCCTGTCATAAGGACAGACACGGAGACCAATGGAATAGAACAGAGCCTCAAAATAAGACCTTATATATATGTTCAACTGAGTTTTTATTATGGTGACAGACCATTCAAAGGAAAAGAACAGTCTTTTTATAAATGGTGCTGGGAAAACTGGATAGCCATATGCAAAAGAATGAAGTTGGACCCTTACACCTACACCATATACAAAAATTAACTCATGTGCAGTTTTAAGAAGTAATACACAGACACACATACACGAAACAAAAATCAACTCAAAACAGACCAAAGACCTAACTGTAAGATCTAAAACTATAAAGACTCCTAAAAAGAAAATATAGGGGTAAGTTTATGTTATTGGATTTGGTGACAATTTCTTGAATTTGACACCAAGAGCAGAGGCAACAAAAGAAAAACTAGATAAGCTGGACTTAAACAATTTGTATACCAAGGACATTGTCAAGAGTAAAAAATCAACCTAAAGAGTGGGAGAAAATATTTGTAAAGCACCTGTCTGCTAAGAGATAAATATCCAGACTTCATAAAGAATGACTACAACTCAAACAAAAAACAACCTGATTAAAAATAGCGAAAGGATTTACATAGACATTTCTCCAAAGAAGATACACAAATGGCCAATGAGCACATGCAAAGATGCTCAAAATCACACAAATCATTAGAGAAATGTAAATCAACTCAACACCACTCCACACCCATTGGGATGGCTATCATTAAACACACACACACACACACACACACACACACACACACCAGAAAACAACAATTGTCAGCAAGGATATGAAGAAACTGGAACTCTGGTGTATTGTTGGTGGGAATACAAAATGGTGCAGCCGCTATGGCAAACAGTATGGTGGTTCCTCAAAGAGTTAAACATAGAATCACCATATGATCTAGCAATTCTACTTCTAAGTATAAGCCTAAAAGAACTGAAAACAGGGACTCAATCAGATACTTGCACACCACCAATGTTCATAGCAACATTATTCATAATAGCCAAAAAATGAAAACAACCCAAATGTCCATCAATAGATTAATGGATAAACAAAATGTGGTATGCATGTATATGTGTGTGTGTGTGTGTGTCTGTGTGTGTGTGTGCATATATGCATACACATACACAATGGAATATTCCTCAGTCTTAAAAAAAGAATGAAATTCTATACATGCTACAAGATGGATGAACCTTAAAAACATTAAAAAAGAAAAACATTGTATTATTCCACTTACATGAGGGTACTTAGAATAGACAAATTCAGAGAGACAGAAAGTAAAATAGAATTACCAGGGGCTGTGGGGAGGGATATAATAGGAAGTTAATTGTTTAATGGGTAGAGTTTCTGTCTGGTATGATGAAATGTTGTGGAAATGAACAGTGATGATGGCTGCACATTATGAACTACTTAATGCCACTGAACTGTACACTTAAAAAATGGTTAAAATAGTAAATTTTCTGTCAAGAAAAAGTTAAGGCTTTTTTTTCCCCCCAAGAAACATAAGAAACATACCAGATTGATTATAACTTGTTTTCCATAAATAATTACTTGGGAATCAAAATGCCTTTGGAAACCGTCCATCTAGAGAGGAAAAAGTTACATATTTTACTGGAGTACATTATGTAATTTATAAATATAATTTAAATATTTATAATATTTTTAAAGGACCTCCTTAAATGTCTTATTTCTATATTCAAAAGAAAGATGTCAGGATGTGAACTATGCCTTCTAGCTATTCTAAATGTCATCTAGTAATCATAAGCTATTTTACTCTGAGCTGCAACACTACCACTTTAATTCTGAGTACAACCTCAGTGGAATATATTAAGTACCCTAAAAAGCATAAAGTTACAAATCTTACTGAGATCTCTCAAATCCTTACTTGCCATGCCATTCAATCATAGTTTGTTTTTCTATATTTCTAACATGCCACCCACACACCTTTTGGTTTAGGGGTTTACTATGTGCCGGAACCAAGAAGAATAGCCTCAAAGATGTTGAACATTGATTTATGCGGAATAAATACATTCTTTACATGCAAATTATAATGCTATTAAGCTTCTATTTTTAACCAACAAAAAAGGCATGCAAGATACACACGTGATTTGCTACTTTGCTGATCTGTGGCAGTGGTTTGTACTTGAGGTTTGGTCTTTGGGACCAGAAAACAGGTATTGATCCTCGAGTCTAAAAGAAAAGAGAGAAATGTGAAAAGAAACACAAACATACTTGTTTTTCTCACCTTACTTATTGTCAGGGGTGTATATATTAATGAATATGCAAGGGAAAAAACTAATACAATCTACCGACAACTTTAAAAGTCCACGTGTATCTGCTCCTAAAGTTCATATTTTATGGAAAAACATTTAGAACTTTTTCTCCTTCTAGTTTTATATACATGGCATTTGTGTAGTAGACAGTTATTTCCTTGAAATTCTAAATTTATCTATGAGTAAAAATTAACAGGTTACATCTGTTATATAATTTGGCATTATGAAAAAATTAGAAAATTGCTTTATTCATTTTCAAATGAATATGTTTATGAACATATGAATGTATTTGGCCACTAACGCTCTGGAGCAGCAAGTGGTGTACAACTCCATAAGGCAACAGAAGAGACATCTCACAGTAGCAGGTAAAGTCAATTATAAGCCATCAGCTTGTCCTATCATCACTGCCCTTAATACATGTAAATGGTTCAATAGACAGATGGCTCCATTTCCATAACTCTCTTCGCACCTCCTAGCCTACCCTCTCCTCTAGGGATTTAATTTAAGGGCAGGAAATGGCAGCAGGTTAGTGCCAGATTAATGGATTTTCCTTTTTTGGGGTGAACTTTTTCTGCACCATAGATAAAAATATTACATAAGAACAGAGAAGGGAAAAGAGGGAAATTTCAACATGACAGAAAATTATAATCCAAGCAGAAAAGGCCAACTCGCTGACTGCCTAACAGACATAACAACTTGCCTGTACAAACGAAGCTTTGCTCCCATTGTAGTGCACAATTTGTTCTGTTTCTACAAAGTTAGCTGCATGGCCTTCCGAATCAATTCCTAAATAGAAAAAAAATTAAGAATTAACTATACTGATTACACAAAGAAACACATCAGAAACCCACTAATTCAGGTTAACTTGGAGAGAATTAAGTCAGTTCAAGTTAGTGGAAAAGTCATTATGAAAATACAATTCAAACAAATTCATTATACATGATCAGAAAACTAACACAAGCTTGCTCACTTTAAACAGGCTTAAAGAGGAGTATTAAAAACCTATTAATAAACAGATGAAGTTGGTTGCTCTTAAATACATTGTTTCTACATACAAAATTCCTCTAAAGTAGTGTTTCTCAAACTTGAGACATCTTTTAAAGAAAAAAAAAATCTCAAAGACCCCTGAGAAAATGTCCATAGATCCTAATTTGAAAAATACTAGTTTGAAAGGTAAAACTATCAATTTAGGTAATTATACTTAGTAACAACACAATACTCAACGTAAAGATAGGCCATTTTATTTTTATTTACTTATTTTTTGAGACGGAGTTTCGCTCTTGTTGCCCAGGCTGGAGTGCAATGGCATAATCTCAGCTCAACGCAACCTCCGCTTCCCGGGTTCAAGCGATTCTCCTGCCTTAGCCTCTCAAGTAGCTGGGATTACAGGCATGCGCCACCACGCCCAGCTAAGTTTTGTATTTTTAGTAGAGATGGGGTTTCTCCATGTTGGTCAGGCTGGTCTCAAACTCCCGACCTCAGGTGATCTGCCTGCCTCGGCCTCCCAAAGTGCTGGGATTATAGGCGTGAGCCACCGCACCCGGTGAATATAGGCTAGTTTATAATATTTTGTTATAATAATGCAAATGGTCTCCAGCAGATGCTTATACTGATTTTAATTATCAAAATGAAAACACAAAATCTGTATGTGATCCTCTGTAACTCCATGAATATGCTCACAAAACCTAGTTTGAAAAGCAAAGTGTTTGGATTCTTGATGCTGTTTAGTTCTTTCAAATATTTGAAGCATTCCTTTAAAAATTTGTTTACGTAATCTATTTTTACAAAGAAACGCTTGCTAAGCAAAGGCAACTTTCAAGCTAGTCCCTGACCCAAATTACCAAATTATCAGAAAGAAATCAATGTATTTTTTAACTGTGCCAAGTATTTCCTAACATCCTTTCTGACATATTTCTTACATATAACATTTGCAGGTATATGTGAAGTATCACTGTTTTAGTTACCATATCACCAGAAGGGGCCAAAATTATTGAGCCAAATCAGCAATGACATGACTCCTCAATACTTTATGAGATTACTTGTCAGAGGCACAGGCTATCCTTGCTTCCCTTCGTAATTCCCACTAAGGAACAACATCCAATTATTTTTAAAAGTCAGAGTCAGACTGAGAGACAGTATGTGTGTTTGTGTGTATGAAAGAAAGATCTTTATGAAAAGATTTGCAAAAGATATGAAGGAAAAAAAGGAAACAAGGTGCAGAAAAATGTGCACAGAATATTATCACTGTCTAAAAAAGGAGGAAGAGAAGGGCACATATCTGTATTAGCATAAAAATTATCTGGAAGGATAAACAAGAAACTAACATCTGATTAGCTGGGAAGGGGGTAAGAACCAAGCAGATGAGGTCAGAAATGGGAAATATTTTTTATTGCATTAAAAAAATACTTTTTGATATTTGAAATATGTAAATGCACTACCTGTTCAAAAATTTAATCAAAAACTATGTTTCCATCCAAGAAAATCTAGTTACAACAGAGTTGCTAACTTTAATTTTGGTTTGTGATCTTTGCCAGGTCACTCACTCAATGTTATTCTTCCTCTGCTATGAGAGAGATTAAGCAAATAATTTCTACAACTTTCTGGCCCCAAGCTACAATTTATTTAATGGCTCACAGCCATAAAATATGCTGATATATTCTGGTTAAAAAAAATACAAAGGTTGGAGAAACTTCTTTTCATAATGACAGTAAGCTTTAATACAGATTTTTAAAGTTTAGTTTAGCAAAATAAGCATGTTGCTAGTACAAAGCCTAGAAAATAAATGCTCAAAATGTAAATGTTTACAAAGTTGAAGGCACAAAGCCAAATGACTAGCTTCATGCATGCAAAAAACCTAAAAGCAATACAAGAAAATACTTTCTAAGTTAGGTTACTGAAAACTACACTGAGTTCAGCTGTGCTTTCGGACATCCAGCAAACAACATGATCAGTTCCTCTTCAAGCAGTAAGCAGCAGCCTACAAGTATCACATTAACATTTGCAATGTAATTACAGTAACTGAAGCACGGAAGACCTACCTAATTATTACAATGAAGCAGGAGATAAATACTTAGCAAGGCTATCAAATGATAATGAAAACAAATAAAATACAAAAGGTTACATTCGTGTCACCGTAAGACAAAATATTAATTACAGATATGACCCATGCTGACAAAATTCTCACCTCTTACATAATAGCGCACACCAGCTCTGAAACAGCTCCTCCTCGAGATGAGAATCCAATCAAAGTATTTTCCATTAATAGAACATGAATGCATGGTAATAACTTAACCACATTAAGAAAAATATAACATATAATAGAAATCATAAGCATTGTTTCTAGATTGTTTGCATCTATCTATCCTAATGATGGTCTTTAAGAGAAAAAATGACAAGAGTATACAAATCTTCATGAATATTCACAAGCCCTTAGTACTATAATCAACTGTGAAGTTTTGTCAAGTTAATAACCCTATGACACGAAGGTAGTATGTTTAAGAAGTTCACTATGGTGTTTTTATTTAAATGATATGCTTCCCTTTTCCTGATATTCTCAATCACTTTCTAAAGAATTAAGTATTAACCACATCACTGAAAAATCTACTCTGAATGGAAAACATAAATTTAAAATAGATTAACTTTCAAATAAGAAACACAAAATGGGGAGGGAAGGCTAGGCTACTGCAGCTAAGGGGAAAAAAAATGAAATGCATGACACATAATTATAAATTAGCCATGTAACAGCTGGTAAGCATATGAAGATTCACAGATCAAAGTGAATTAAACAAAGGTTATCTAGAAATGGAAATTTTGACTCTACCTTATCCTTGAAATAGAAAAGGTGAACCTCAGTATGAAAGACTGTATCTCCCCAAAAGCCTTTCTTTATATAAAGTTATTTCCCTTACTACTGATAATAGTATATGGTATAGGACACTTCCTACACCATTCAGTAATATAAACAGTCATACACCTAGAAATTCTAAAGGCTGATCTCTCCACTTCATTCCCAGAGTAAAGGGTTGCAAAAGCCTTTGGAATTGGCATACCTCTTACATTAAATGTTTTTATTATGAAATATAATAAACAGTAAAGTATAATGTGTGTAACTATTTACAATAGTTAAATACCCATTTAGTATGGGGAGTTGATATTAAATGGGTAAGAATTTCTTACTGGAGTGATGGAAACAGGATGCTGGTTGCACAACACTGTGAATGAAATTAATGCCACTCACTGAATTACACATCTAAAAATGACCAAAAAGGCAAATTGTTTATGAGGTATATTTGATCATAATTTTAAAAATTACACATACACACACCCCTTTGTACCCACTAGCATCTCTGAAGCACCTTTCCCTGTGGCTCCCTTACTGCCCTCTAAGAAGTAACTACTATCCACTCAGTTCATTATTCCCTTGTCTTTCTAGTTTTGCCACTAAACAAATTCTTGTTTAGTCTGAACAGCTTTTGACTTTTTTTTTTTTTTAACATAACAGGAATTAATCTGTATGTATTCTTTCAGTTTTCTTTATTTGCTCATTATAGTCATGAGGTTCATTTGCTGCTGCTATGGCTGTATAATATTCCACTATATGACTAGATTACAGTTACTTATCCATTCTACTGTCCATGGACATGCCAGCTGTTTCCAGTTTTACTATTATGAACAGTGTTGCAATAAACATCTCTGTACAAATAAGCAGAAATGGCTCTAAGGAGCAGTACTGCTGGGTTACAGAGTATACTCCTCATCTGATCTTATTAGGAAATTCCATATTGCTTCAAGAATTACTTTGGCTTCTCACCTTTACCAACATTTGATGTTGTCTGCTTTTTTAAAAAAAATTATTTATGTATTTATTTGAGAGAGAGGCTCTTGCTTTGCTAACCAGGCTGGAGTGCAGTGGCACCATCATGGCTCACCGCAGCCTCAAACTCTTGGGCCCAAGCCATCCTCTCACCTTGGCCTCCCAGGTAGCTGGGACTACAGGCACATGCCACCATGTCTGGCTAATTTATTGTCTGCTTTTTAATGTATGCCACACTGTGGCTGGGGAGCAGGGGGGTATGACAGAAAGGTTTTATTGTTTCAATGGCCTTACTTTTTCTCCTTCCACATTTGTTTAGGTTTGGTTATGGTATTTTCTATATGTAACACTTTTTCTTAATATAATTTGATGCATCCATTATAAAGTATAACAGCATAATAAAATAAATATTTGTGAACCTACCATCCAACTTCAAAACAGTACCAAAACCCTGAATCTATTTATCTGCTCCTTCCCTATTTTATCCAATTGTGTTCTCACCTAGAAGTAACTATTCTCAGGTTCATGGAGACCATTCTCCTATCTTTTTAGTTTCATCACATGCAACCATACTTAGAAACACGCAGCTTGCTTTTTTGTAAAAATGAAACTACGCTATTTATAAACTTCAAGCCCTTGTGACGTTCATGGTATTGCTCTAACGTGGTACTGTGAACATTCTGGAAAGACCTCCTGGTATGAATGTATTGGGTATGCATTGGAGAAGTGCTGGCAAATTCACAAGAGAACACCAAATGCTTTTCAAAATGGTACCTAATGACATCAGCAATGAGTTGAGCTGCTAATGACTCATCTCTATTACCTGGTATCATCAGACTTGATAAGGGCTCCTCTTGAGCTCCCAATTCACTTTCCTTTGAAGCCCATAGCACTAGAGAAGACTCCAATGTAATATTTGCTCCCTTACCCAAATTATCTATTTCGAGCCAGGGCACAAAAATGAGCAGGGCAGATAAGCCTGCTCTTAGAGAGCTAAATCTAGCAGAGAATATGACTGACTGCTTTATGAATCATGTTCCTCTGATTACAAGACAAAAACATCTACACACTTTAGAGAATCCAGAAAGCATGGAAGGAACAAGAGTAAAATAAAAACTGAATCCCATCAGCATAACTTTTAAAATGTGAGTGTATTTACTTCTAGTCTTTCATCAATCAGTTACTCCCAGGGCCATCCATGCCTTCTCTCCAGGATGGCATTTCACATACTCCCCTCAACATGCAACATTTCTCCCTCATCCCCCTCATGGCCCATTATGACACTTTATATGGTGCTGTAAAAATAAAAGCCCTCCACAGGCCCCGATCACATTTACACACCCATCAGCAACCACATCCATCTATCTGCTTCCCTTCTACAGTGGTAGGTGAGCAGCCCACACCAGGCCCTCTACCTGTGCGCTGACCCCCACCCACCTCACACATTCTTGGATATCACTCTAGCATGCACCTTCACCAATTTTCCCCTTCTCCAAAATCTTTTGAGTAGAGGTCTTGCGCTGTCACCCAGGCTAGAACACAGTGGTGTGATCATAGCTCACTGAAGCTTCAAAATGGGGTCAAGTGATCCTCCTGACTCAGCCTCCTGAGCAGGTGGGACTACAGGCACATGCTACCATGCCTAATTTTTAAAAAATTTTTGTAGAGACAGGGTCTCACTATGTTCTCCAGGCTGGTCTTGAACTCCTGGCCTCAAAGGATCCTCCTGCTTCAGCCTCCCAAGGCACTGAGATTACAGACATGCGCCACTATGCCTGGCCCCATCACATTTAAAGTAAAAGCCACAGTTCTTCCCATGGCTTATAAGGCCCTGAGTCATCTGGGCTGAGCTAATTCTCTGAACACAGCTCCCGCCTCTCTGTCCACTCTCTATTCCAGTCATGTTCCTGTCTTGGGGTCATTTTACTTATTAATGTCTCTGTATGTGTGTGAAACATATGATTTTACTTCTAGTCAACAAACTACACTAAAGAAAAGCTCATTTAAAGCTTTCAATTTAAAGGTAAATGAGTAAGCTGTTTCTAAAATTGCCTAGAAAAAAAGGTTCTATAATCTCACTTAATATTGTTTGTCCATTCACAATCTCATTTTGAAAAAAAAACAAAAAACAAAAAACACCATAGTTGGCCCAAATCATTTAAGGCACTAAATAAGGATAAACACTTTTTTTTTTTTTTTGAGATGGAGTCTTGCTGTGTCATCCAGGCTGGAGTGCAGTGGCACGATCTCGGCTCACTGCAACCTCCGTCTCCTGGGTTCAAGCAATATTCCTTCCTCAGTCTCCCGAGTAGCTGGCATTACAGGTGTGAGCCACCACGCCCAGCTAATTTTTGTATTTTCAGTAGAGACAGGGTTTCACCATGTTGTCCAGACTGGTCTCGAACTCCTGACCTCATGATCTGCCGGCCTTGGCCTCCCAAAGTGCTGGGATTACAGGCATGAGCCACTGCACCCGGCTGAATAAACACATTTATTCTTATTTTATCCTTAGGAGAACTTGGAAAGCTCGGGGTGGGGAAACAAAAATAAATGAGCTTTTATCATGAAATTTTCTAATTTTTATTTCCCCATAACTGTGGAACATGTTTCCTCCATTACTTTTTGGGTTTTCTTTAAGTATAACAAGCATTAAGTTTAGTGAAATTATATTAACATACTGAATAAATAAATAATAGACTTGTATTGATAAGCTTCTTACATGTGCTTGATAGATGTCATCACCGTTTTCTTCAGGGCACAATCCTGATTACAGTCATGCATCACTTAATAGGGGTACATTCTGAGAAATGCATCGTTAGGCAATTCTATACATTATAGAGTGTACTTACACAAACCTAGATGGCACAGCCTACTACACACCTAGGCTACACGGTATAGCCCATCGCTCCTTAGCTACAAACCTGTATAGCATGTTACTGTACTAAATACTGTAGGCAACTGTAACACAATGGTATTTGTGTATCTCAACATATCTAAACATAGAAAAGATACAGTAGAAATATGGTATTATAATCTTATAGGACCACCTTCATATATGTGGTCTGTCACCGACTGAAATGTCAGTATGTGGCACATAACTGGATAGGCACTCATGAGCATATTGTGCTTATATATCCTTTAAGAGCCAGCTCACTTGGCTGCTTTATTTTTATTATGATGTCTATGACATAGATCTGTTTTTAACATGAACCTACAATTAGATAATCATTACTCATTTTGTATCTGTACTCTGATTTCTCCCTTAGGCAATATTCTTTGTACTCTACTTATTTTCATTTATCTGTCACTATTTCAAATGACAAAATTTTTAATGGTAATTCTCCTCTCCAACTTGTTACCCACACTAGTGTCTGAGTCTCACTTTTTTTGACCCTGTCACCCAGGCTGGAGTGCAGTGGTGCCATCACAGCTCACTGCAGCCTCAAACTCCTGGGCTCAAGTCATCCTCCCACCTCAGCCTCCTGAGTAACTGGGACTAGAGGTGCAAGCCACCATGCCCGGCCTAAGTCTAACTTTTTAAATTATGTACTTAGGAAAGTTTTCAACAGCCAGGTCCAAACTACTTATGTGTAATTTACTGATAAAAGGTAACATCAAATAAAGGCAAAATACAGTACACATATTCCTTTTCTTTAAACAACCAACCCCAGAACTCTTGAACAGAGAGAGAATCGTATAGTCTGAAAAGTTCATTCTAAAAAAAAAAAAAACAAACAAAATAGCAATGAGTTTGATTTTCTTATCAACAGCAATTTATATTAATTCTGAAATACTCTCCTTATGGAGTATTTGAGACTATCTCTAAATCTGCCTTATAATAAAATTTAAATAAAGGCATCTAGAAACTAAAGAGTAATATCATGTAAGGATACAGCCATGTAACACTGGAAGGGCAAACCGATGAACCTGAAATGAAGATATATATTTAGAATAAATATACTTTAAAAATAAATAAGCATTATATAAAAATATTTACACATAGGGAGGTAATATACAAACATAACAAGGTAGTAAACTTATGGGTAATATAATTTTTAAAAGATTTCTCTAATGTAACATTAAGTATGCATTACAATCATTTGAGCTTGAATATTCACAGATTTTGGAACACTAATAAAGCTACATGAAGTTACAGAATGTTTACCTCCTTTTCAGTCTTTGCCTACAACAACTTCACTCCTCCAGGGAAAAGATATCCCATGCTAATTGTTTGCAGCTCAAACTACTTTTCCAAAAAAAGCATAGCAAATGACAAGAAATAAAGCAATTAGACACATCTATTTACCTAGATTCAATAATATATCATGTTTCCCTAGCTGGGCCTCCCTGTTTATACCTCATATGTGTAGACAAAGGACAGAAGAGGGCGGTGCCTGTGCATGTCTCTCCTGGGTGACTGAAGGGAGTCTCATCCCCAAAGGAAGACAAAAAAGAGCTCTCCCCTTGGCCAGGAAACTTGGCCCTGGCCCCTCATTTCTCCATTATCCATGTACCAAGATCCCCTGTATCTCTCTTAGTTAGACAAAGCAATGTATTTTTATTTAAGGCTTCTATAGAAGATCAGAGTAAAATAGTTAGGCTTCTTCAACCTAGAATGATGTGACAGGGTAGACCTGATCCAAGTTTGTAAGTTATAAACAGTTAAATTAGAATTGTTTCTCGAAATTCTTGGTGATTAGGAAGTCACTTTATAGCATGCATTGAATTAAAGCTTGGACTGTAACAATTAAGCAGATTTTATTTCGTGTACATTACCTCTGGCTGTGCAGAAAGTTCTCTTAGAAGATGACCATTCCATACAAACCGCTGATCTGCCTGAGAGAAGTTTTAAAATTTAATAAAATATCTCCTGCCAAGCTTACTTTCTACAGAAAGAAAACTACACCAATCAATGTCTCTTTCTGATGGCTAGAAGCCAGTTTCTTTGACAGGCCTCAAACAAAATACATCTCCCCCGCAAATCTGTACCTCCTGTGGGCATTTCTGTCTCATTGTCTCAGGCCAGACAGAAACCTGGGAGGAGTTTTACGGTATTTCTTTCCCTTACATTTAATTGTCAAGTACTAAATCTCCTTCAAAATCCATATTTTTTACATTTCTACTCCCACTATCTTTACCAACATCTGACTCCAGCCTAACTAACACACCTTCCCTTGCCTCCAGTTTAGGCATTAGCCCTCGCCACTCATTTTTCCACAATGCTACCAGCAGGAGTTCTCTAACATGTCCTGTCTCCTATCTGCTCAAAATTCTTCAATGACTCTGTCATCTAAAGAACCAAATCTCTGCATGGCCTAATCAGTCCTAGGATCTGGCAGCCCCTAATTAACTCTCTGATCTCATCTCTGGCCACTCCAACTTTCATAAATACAGAAGAGGCTCCCTCAACAATCTATATTTAATCAACTCTACTTAGGGCCAGACGTGGTGGCTCATGCCTATAATCCCAGCACTTTGAGAGGCCAAGGCAGGCGGATCACTTGAGACTTAGGAGTTCGAGACCAGCCTGGCCGACATGTCTCTACTAAAGATGCAAAAATTAGTCAGACGTGGTAGCACGTGTCTGTAGTCCCAGTTACTTGGGGAGGCTAAGGCACAAGAATCACTGGAACCTGGGAGGTGGAGGCTGCAATGAGCCAAGATCGTGCCACTGCACTCCAGGATAGGTGACAGAGCAAGACTCTGTCTCAAAAAAGAAAAAACAAACAAAATAACTGACTCTACTCAGTAGATTAATCAATTCTATTTATGAAGCATACCAACTGAACCACCAGCACCGCCGACTCTAAAAGTCACAGGGAATGGCTTTTGCACTTGACCACAACCAGCTGAATCGCACTTCCTGAGATTCAAGTGTGTGTTCCTGAATTTGTACCAGTCATACTTATTATTATTTCATCATTATATAGTTTAACTATTTTATAAACCAATGAAATAAGATGAAAAACACACTGCTGTTTCTATAAAGTTAAATGATTTGGAATGTAACTTGATAAGAGGCAAGTTGCTAAAACAAAACTGCTGTTGAATTTGGAGTGGGAGTGGCAACTAAAAAAATATAAAAGAACATAGTAAAAATGTACAGGATTCTGCACACAGATTTCTCTGTAAGTGTCAAAGTCTTTAAAGTGGCCCAAATGGGAAAGCCCTATGGATGTAATTTACACAGGGAAGACAATTCAGAATCAAGGAACCAAAAACAAAGAAAATCCTATGGCCGTACATAAAAACATTGACCAATGTAAAACTTTTAGGTTTTAAGTTAAAATATTTAGGGTATATATGTTCCATTTATCACTTTTATGATTCCCTATGTTAACATTAACTTTTTTTTTTTAGACCGTCTTGCTGTTGCCTTGGCTGGAGTGCAGTGGCGTGATGACAGCACACTGTGGCTTCTATCTCAAGTGAACCTCCCACCTCAGCCTCCCGAGTAGCTGGGATTGCAGGTGCGTGCCGCCACACCTGATTAATTTTTAAATTTTTTTGTAGAGCTGTGGTCTCCCTATGTTGCCCAGGCTGGTCCTGAACTCATGGACTCAAGCAATCCTTCTGCCTCGGCCACCTAAAGTGTTGGGATTACAGGCATGAACCACTACACTTGGCTAACTTTCTGTTTAGCTGACAAAACATTCCCATCTCATCCCAACAGATGAGATGGCTTTTTCTGCAGCTTAGCCTCTGCCACCACCTCTGCCTGGAACCCCCCGGCCCACTGTCACCTGACCAACAAATCTTCATCAAGTCTCAGCTCAAAAGTTACCTTTCTGTGTAAAGTTACTGTCCTCTGTAGATACCTTACTTTATAAAGTTGTCCCTGACAACCTCAGGCAAAGACCCTCATTCCTTCAGGATCCCACCTCACTTTGGTACATATCACCATTATAGCAACCATTCTTTGACTACCACTTCCCCAGCAGACTGTAGGCTCCCACAAGACAGGGTCCACAGCTTCATTCTGGGTCCCCAGGGGCTAGTATAGTTCCTGGTACATGGCTGACGTTGTAGAGATGTTTCATAAACAAATGGAGAATGTAGCAACTGCTTTTAAAAGCAAGTCTCTTTGTAGTTAAAAGCCAAGTTTCTTGAATGCTTAGCCTGCACCTAAACTTCCATCTAAGCCTACATACAATTTTACCAAATTAGAGTTGAAAATCTCACCCAAAAAAGCCAGTCAACTAAAATATTAATTTAGGTTGAACCACATGAAATAACCATTTTTATTGGTCAAAAATGGTCAATTACTGGCGACTTCACATTGTCCAACCTAATAAGTAAGATGGAGCGACCTTTTAAATTCTGTCTTCTCATTAAACACTTCTAAGGTGTGTCAAAAAAAAATTCAGGTAGCAATCATCCAGGTTCCTGAACAAAAGAAACTTTAAGTTGAGATCATATGAAACCTAATTTTAAAGATATATTCACTGTATATTAAAAAAAAAAAAAAAAAAGGCAGACTGGGCAGGCACAGTGGCTCACGCCTGTAATCCCAGCACTTTGGGAGGATGAGGTGGGTGGATCACTTGAGGCCAGGAGTTCAAGGCCAGCCTGGGCAACATGGCGAAACCCCATCTCTACTAAAAACTAGCCAAGCGTGTTAGCACACGCCTGTAATTGCAGCTACCTACAAGGCTGAGACATGAGAATTGCTTGAACCCAGGAGGCAGAGGTTGCAGTGAGCTGAGATCGCACCACTGCACTACAGCCTAGGTGACAGAGTGAGACTCTGTCTCAAAGAAAAAAAAAAAAAGCAAAATAAAAAAAACCTTAAAAGGATATTTTCCAAGTTCTAGTGACTTTTGTTACATTTTTAGTTATAAAAATTATAAATAAGCATCACTACAGAAGAAATATCAACTGTTAGAATATGAATTTTATAAGCCTAATTACACTGCTAATGTAACTGCTACACTACCGAACACTGAGAGTTAAGAAATTACAAATGAATGCAATGCTAGTTTGAAGATTTGACATCTGAGAGTTAGCACTTGGTAGCCTGGTAATACTTATGCAGAAATACAAATTCTGAAAGATTTTCCTCTAATAACTTACATGTGTGTTTATACAAAGATTTCTGAATATCTACACCAGTGATTCTCAATTCTGGCTGTATATATACACAGATTCAAGGACTCACACACTGGGATTGTGATGTATATTTAAAACAGGGTATATTTTCAAAGCCTCATACATGATTCTAAGATAGCCAGGACTGAGAAAAATCAATATAAATTTTTATGCATGAAACAGAGACATGTCCCTTTTAAAAACCTAAAAATAAAAATAATTGAAGATCAAGCTTACCCTTTCCAAGAGACTCATTTCTTGGAATTCAGGACTAGTGTTGGATAGCCGCTGCAAAGTATGGGTCAAATCATATGTTGTTGAAAAGTAAAATCCATCCACATTCAAGACATGGTTTAGCATCGCTAGGAAGGTTTTATTATCTTGTAACTATAAACAAAGAAAAATCAGTATAGCTCATAATTGAAAAGGAATCTGCCAGCATGAGAAAAGAATACAAATTAAATCCTGTTAAGTCCAGTCTCATTAAAGACTACTGGCACAAGGACTGAGCCAGTGAGGGGGATGCTCGCCATTTCCCTGGGATGTAGGACAGTTCCTGACACACAGAAGATACTCAATAAACACTGTAGGGTACTATTAGGTAACTTGATTAGGTAGGACTCCTCCCCTTTGTATCCTTTACAAATTTTATTCTCAAAGGCAGAAGAGTAGTTTTAACAAAACATCACCTTCGGTTATGACCTACTGTGTGCCAGGTATTTTCCAAAGATTCCCTTTAATCTTCACAACAGCCCTGCTAAGTTAGCATAGCTATCTTCGACAAATAAAACACATAAATTTACGACGGGCCCAATAATGCAAACAGCAAATAACAAGATACTAACATCATCCACATTCTCAAGAAACGTTCCCTGGTTTGGGATGGACGAGAAGTAAAATGGAATTCTTTTTCTTTAAAACAAAGATTAAAAAGTCCAGTAAAAGCAATATTTATCTTTATTTTTGGGAAACCATTTTAACTAGCTTTCCCAATGAATACTAAGATTGACATTTGTTTTTATCCTTGTTTTAAAAAACAATTGTTAATGTTTGGTAACGTTTAATCATTACTAAATGATTAACTTGTTAATCTACATGTTACAAATCTACATATACAAAATTTTTTATTTGTGCTCAGACATGTTTTTAAAATTAGCTACACAGCTTGACAACAAAGAATAACAATCGAGAAGAAATTGTCTAAGTAAATATGACTGGTCTATTAAATAAATACAGCTGTTTTTATTTCTTTAAAATATGCCTAGTAGAGAATGAAGATATTGATATATATTTCTTGATATATATAATAAAAAAGAAATTCTAAAGTATAAAAAGCATATCCTGTAGTTTTACTCAGGTAGGCAGTGCTATAATTTTATTTTTTAAAATGTTTATCCTAAGTTATATGTTTTAGAATAATATATTTTCTTCTAGAAACATTCTTATAAATTGGGTGTAAAAATACAACTTAAAATTTTTAAATAGCAAACATGTAACTAAAATTACATTAAGAAAACAATCACTCTCAACAGGTATATATATCTCTAAACAATGTTGACTTTAAAAAGTAAGTTTCAAAGAATCAGAACAGGGCAATGCCATTCATGTAAGTTTCATACACACTCCGAGCAAAAACAGATCCTGTTTAAATATGAATACAGGCAGTCTTTACTTTGTAAAGTGGGAATGTAAAAATTACCATGTTATTTTCATCTTAATAATCTTAAGCTATCTTAACAGTCAATTGTAAAAACTATGACTGTTTCATGACCTTTAAAAATTTTTTTTGTCAAAACATTAAAAACTCTATTGTAAGTTATAGATATTAGTTATAGATATTAACTTATATAGTTACGTTGTAGATGTAACTTGTAAGTTATATATAGTAAATTATAAGCATAAATGAACAAATTGTAAAACTAATATTTAGCACACTATAATTTAAAACATTAGAAACACCGAGAATAAAAAATATTTTCTTTGTAAAAAAATTTATCAAGAGACTTGAACAGTGCTTGCCGCCTTCTTGTCATATAGATTAAGATACAGAATATTTCTTCTATCCCTGGTGAACTGTCATACACCTTCCTAAGTCTAAACCAACTTCTGACATTTTATCCTTTGCACTTTCAATGTTGGGAAATATCTCCAAGGTTTCCTTTAATGGGAAGTCTGTTGCAGGCATCACTTTCTCTGGGATACTGTCATCCCTTTCGTCACAGCCACTCCATCATTAATGTCGGTCAGTTCGCCTGCACCAGGACCTCTGGCTGCATACCTACTGTCCCTTGAATGGTGAATAGTGTCAGCATTCCCATGGTCAGCTACTTCTTCTATGCTCCATTTATGTTCAATTTCAATTTCTCTTCCAGAGTTGTTGCTTTTTGTTTTTTTGCACCTTCATCTTTGGTGGGTTAATTCTTCAGTTAATAAACTGGAGTAACTGAAATTTAAGCCATGCTGTTTGGGTACTGGTGTTAACTAAACTATGGTTACTGAAATCTGTGCATACAGGAATAGTGCAAAAGGAAAACTGCCTGAAAGAATATATACACATTTCATAAACACACACACACACTTACATTCACATGTGGTAAAAATAGAGAAAACCTCTCTGGGAAAGAAGGGAATGAGTTAAGAGGAGTAGAACTTCAAAGGTATTTATATTTTATTTCTTTACAAAGAGGATATGAAGTTAAATCTGGTGTTGAGTACCCGTGCATTTCTGTTTTCCCTTCTCTCCATATGAAATTGCATAATTTAAGAACTGAATCTTTAAAAAAAAAAAAACAAGAGCAACAAATGATTTAAAAAATATTTTTTATGCCTAGGTAGAAAAGTAGGTAGAGTGATCTTACTCTATAGGTTGTTAAAATAATTATAGCATTCTTTGTATTCCACAACACCCTCACCCTCCTCTCCCCAGCCCATGCTACTTCTTTGGGCGCTGCAATTAGTAACAATTTCCAGTTCTTACCTGAATATCAGTTAAGTGCAACATTGTCTTCTTATAAGAAAGGACATCAAAATCTGTTGCTTTCCAGACTACATGACTGAAAAATTCACCTACTTTTATCTTTTTGGTAATGACTATAAGATAATTACCTGCAAAAAGCAAGCCAAACACACATAATTATAAAAATAGTAACTCTAAAGGTAGAAATAGGAGTCCTTATTGTTTAACTTTAAAGGCTAGTAGAATGAGACTATATTGTGCCACTCAGATAAAAGGCCCATTTTTAAAGCAACCTTACAATTTATGAATAGAAAGGTCAGCATATTATTTAGAAAAATTCTTACTGAAAGGTCATGTTTTTCTCAAAAAAGATAAAAGCAAAAGCTTTTCATAACCAAAGGATTTGTCTTAGTAAATGGAAAGTAGAGACAGAAAATACTTCTCTTTCTCTCTTTCATCACCCCCAAGGGATACAGACCTCTGCTAATCATTTCCCAGCAGGCAGCTTAAAGCATCAGGACGTGAGATCTGACACTACAGGGCAATGTCCCTTCCACACCACTCCTATGTCCTTCATGTCTCTCTCTAAATGGTAGAGAAATGTGCTGGGGCAGTATACCTAACTGGCTGCTGCAATATTACAAGGATGAGTGGTCAGGAATCAAGGAGTCATCACAACATCATGCACAATACACCAATCCTGACCTTGCCACCTCCTCACCCCAGAAATACATAAAACAGAGTAACCCTTTCCTACTCAATTAATTCTTCAGGTCTGTTCAACATTCTACCCACAAGTTCCCCCTCTGAAAGTTTTGCCATGTACATGTCTCTCCTGGAACTTGTCACACTGTACTGCAGTAATTTACTACTTACACGCCTCTCTCACTAGACTGTGAACTGCAGGGCAAAATGGACTTTCAGCCTTTATAACTCAGCATCTAGCATGATGCCTGAAAAAATAGGAACTTCAAACAAGCTCAATCAAATTAAATCTAAACAAAAATCACCTTCTTAACAACTCAGAACCAAGTAACATTTGCTAATATGCACTATGTCCTATTACTACAGGGCTGAAGGTGTAGAATACCCTGTTCCACTGATGCATTGAAAATTTTATTTACAGGATGGGCGTGGTGGCTCATGCCTGTAATCCCAGCACTTTGGGAGGCTGGGGTGGGTGGATCACCTGAGGTCAGGAGTTCAAGACCAGCCTGACCAACATGGTGAAACCCCATCTCTACTAAAAATATAACAAATTAGCCGAGTGTGGTGGCAGGCACCTGTAATCCCAGCTACTCAGGAAGCTGAGGCAGGAGAATCACTTGAACCCGGGAGGCGGAGGGTGCAGTGAGCTGAGATCATGCCATTGCACTCCAGCCTGGGCAACAAGAATAAAACTCCAACTCAAAAAAAAAAAAAAAAAAAAAAATTTTATTTACATACTCCATTTGTGAAAATTATCTAGCTAAGGATTTCAACTCTAACTGAAACACAACAAAATACAAAACTTTTTTTTAAATAATAGAAGCTCACGCTGATAAATTTTACCATTTGGGGAGTATTTCTTTTAAAAATTAATGATAAATACTTAACCAAGAGATTTACTGCTTAAAGCATGATACAAAGTATTACTTCATCGTATACTCACTCTAATATTAACAATTTAACTACCTTGCTAATTACCTTCTTTGCCCATCTTAGCTTATTTTCTCTTACCTGCCACCAGATGGATTGTGCCCAGTATACCAAATATTGGTCTTGTGACAGCTGAAGGAGGAACATCTTTCTTGACTTTAAAAGAAAGGAAAGAAAGAAAAATCACATACAAAAAGCTCACCAACAGAAACAGAAATTTAGTTCGATTTCAATAGTTACTTTGACTACATCAATTTGCATGATTTGTTCTAAGAAAAGCAACATTCCTTAACTTAAATGCACTATTGATAGAGCTATAAGTTATGTAAACTGGAGTGTAACAGCAATAAAACTGTGATAACTCCTAGAATGTATGTTAGGTTTTTTCATGGAAGAAAAAATAATCCCATTAGGAATAACATAGTCTGCATTCGCAGTGGTGAAAAGAAACTGGCTAAGAAACTGTCAGCAAGTCAGTCGCTCATCAGTACTGACTTTGCGTGGAAGTATTTTATCATGTGTCTTACTGATGACTGTTTGGCATCATCATCTTTACATTCAAACTATTCATGACCTTTAGCTTTTCAGTCTATTCAAATGGGTCTGCAATCTCTACCTACAAATAAAACATTACTGAAAGATCAAGGATAACTGAAAATACACCCACATTAAAGCTCTTGTAAGACACTAGGTTGTATCAACATGGTATAAAGAGTAGTATAATTTAAACTTTAGGAGAAGTGTACTAACACTAGTTAAAACCAGTCAGCTATCTTGAGAGAGCAGCCACCAAGCAACAGACAAATAGGAAATGTCAAATTATCAAACTAAAACAGAGCTCTAATTCCATTTGATCAAAGACAAACTATATATAGTACCTACCAGAATTACCACATAATCAAAAAAACAGAAATTTTATAGCCATACTTGTCTTACACCCCATTATCTCATGGAATATATTTTCGTACTTCACTTCACCCACTCAAAGGCTATTTACTGAATGCCTACTCTATGGTTATTCAAATATTGTACTTTAAGAAAAAAATAAATATAGAACTCTGGGGGTGAATAGAATCTTTAAACAAGTGAAATATGAAATTCTAAATATGTTATCACATGGTATATTAATTTGCCACCAAAATTATTTCGTATTTATCTATTTGGAAAGTCAGGGTGTTCCACACAAGTGAAAAAAAAGTTTGTTTTTCACATCCCAGAAAAGCATAACCAAAGTATAACTGGTTAGGTAGATAAAACTTAGAAACATCATTTGCCTAAGAACACCTACAAGTTTTAGTCAGTGAAGTATATTTTATTTTTCATTTATTAAATTTCCACATAGTCATGAAAGCTTTCAAAACAAAAGTAGCTGTTAAAATTCCATACTCTTAAAGCTGAAACAACTTTTTCACTCTCAAATATCTTAAATCTTACAGCTAGAAAGAAGCTTAGCTATCTAAACCAATCCTGTTAAAATACAGCTAAGGGAAAAAAATAATAAATATTATGTTTTTAAATCCTTACGGACAGTAAAATGCTACCTAAAATTTTCAAGATCATTTCTCCTTTTCACAGAAAAGGAGATAGCATAAAATTGATGCACCAACCTATGAATGAGGTAGCAAGAATAAAAATTTTAATAAGAATGCACTCAGAGATCCACACACTGACACACCTCTGAGTGATGTTTTTTAATTACTGTAATTTATGTATAAAATCTTTCTCCCTAAACTTCTAAATCTGGCTGTAAAATACCTGCAAGGGTAACCTCTGTGGACACACGGTCAATGGTAAGTACGTCATCTGCTCCATCATCACAAGCTTCCACATAAAATTTTTCAGGTGTGATATGCCTAAGAAGAAATGTAAAACATAAATAACTAACCAAATGAAATGAAGACTTCTAAAAAACTACTTATTATGACAATTACAGAGTATAAATTTGACATCATTTTCCCAGCTTCTAAAAGGATGAATCTGTTAAGTTTGCTGTCCTTATGAGTTCACTGCAACTCTTTTCACTTGTATATTTGATGCTGACTAGGTTTTGATTTGCTATGAAACCATCAATTTAACATATACAAAAAAATGCCATAATCAAATCTAGTTTATTATATTCAACAGGGTACAGAAGGCAATGTAGCATAGTAGGACCAGAGCCTACAGAACCAGACTACCAGTAGTGTGACCTTAGACAAGTTACTCATTCTCTCTGATCCTCTTATTCCCTTTCTGTAAAATAACGATAATACCAGATTCATCACGCAGCATCGTGTGAATTAAATGAGCTAATCTTTGGTAAGTACTTTGAACATCTGACGCATAGTAAGCAAGAGGTATTAGCTAAAAACAGTAAGAAATGCATTTTAAATAAAATATTTCCAGGAAATTTTTAAAAACAAATTACTTTAACATTCAGGTGGGGTGTTTTTTTAGAAACCCATATATATGTTCCTGAAAAAAACTCACTCTGGAAAATAAAAAATAAAGGAGGTAGAAACACGGTTGAGAGAGACTACTTAAAATTTATGCAACTTTGTAATTAGAGTCTAACAAAAATAACAGTTGGTTTCTCAAGAAACAACTTAAATAGTTCAGGCAAGCAACTCAGCATGGTGAGGGACTGACTCAGGATATACAAAATATTAACAGAATAAAGTAAAACTGCGTTTTCATTTGCAGGCACTAAAACGATGCAGACTGAAGTAGAACTCCAAGCCACTGATGGAGACTGCTGTTTTAAGGTAGGCACAGGAGAAGATACAACCTTTCCAGAAGCTGAGCAAGGCTGGGGAGGGAGGCTGAGTCCAAGAACTATTTCTTTTTCCAGAAACTAATCTTTATTGTTCACAAACCAGACTTAAAAGAATTTCTATCTGTTCTATCTGTGCAGCAGCCAATCTGAGGGCTTTTTCTTTTCCTTTTTAATTCTACTCCCACTTGCCTATGAAAAATCTCATTCAAACCCACACAACCATCATGGACATCATTTTCTATTTACCAATTGTGTATAAGCTATTTGGCATTATAGAAAAATGTCCTGCAGCAAAACAAACTTTTGACTCTTTTTTACTGCAAGTTCTCTGAGGAATAATCAATCCTTAATTACCCAAATATAACTTACAACCTTCTATGGTTCATCTGTAACTAACTAAATATTAGGCTAGTTTCCTTCATTTGGGGGGATATGCTAAGTAAAGGAAAATCAATACAACAAAGAAAGCAAATCTGCTTCAAATACAGCAATCTTCAATTTAACCTGAACACAACAATTCATTCCTTTTTATTACTGAATAGCATTCCATTGTACGGATATATCATAATTTGTTGATCCATTCATTTGTTGATGGCTATTTGGTAACTTTGGTTTTGGGTTACTATGAATAAAGGAACGGTTCTAGGAACATTCTTGTATAAAAGTCTTAAGGCAGATGTTCACTTCTCTTGGTTAACTCCCTAGAAGTGGAACAGCTGGATCATATGGCACATATATGTTTAACTTGTGCAGGAAGGGAGAAAAAGGAGGGATTACAGGCACGAGGAAACGTTTCAGGGTGACGGATACGTTCAATATTGTAATACTGGCAATGGTTTCATGGGTGTAAAAATGTCAAAATTTATCAAACTGTACACTTCCCTTTTCCATGTGTGTAGTTTATTGTATGTCAATCAAACTTCAATAAAGCTATAAAAAGAAAACAAAGTGAAAGGTCCTAAAACCAAAGAAATATAAAGAAATTCGAGACATCTAGTCTTAAGCCATTTTTTTTAAACCCACTATTTCAGTCCGTATCTACAGAAGATGTTTTATGGAAGCACAAGTTGCATTCCAAGTGTAAGCCATTAACATTTACCAAAAGGCTACCGCATACTAAGCATTATGCAAGCACTAGGGGCTATGCGGCAGGTGATGAATACATTCCAGGGAAAGCTGAGCCAGGAATTTCAGTGCTTTGTTTTGGGGACTCACTGATGGTAGGCACGGAATTGAGATTCAAACCAGTTTTGTAAAAGTCTAAAGGCTATAACTTTTTCTTCACCATACTCTATTACTACAATTTGAAGACATCATCCTTTGGTAGGCTGGCACAGATACATTGTTGTGTTCAAAATTGACCCTGGTTAGTAAAAAAAAAAAATTAAAGAAATGTTTTTAAAACCCAGGTTTAATAAAATTTAAAGTCTTTCCACTTAAAATAATTTTTTAAAAGTTTTGTCACCTCGAGACCCAAACACCAAGGCATCTAAAAATTCATTTGAGGAAAGGATTTCATTCCTTGCTGCCATTCTCAGCCTTCTCTCCATTAAAAAGAGATAGAGGCTGGGCGCGGTGGCTCACGCCTGTAATCCCACCACTTTGGGAGGCCCAGGCAGGTGGATCATTTAAGGTCAGGTGTTCGAGACCAGCCTGGCCAACATGGTGAAACCTCATCTCTACTAAAAATACAAACATTAGCTGGCCATGGTGGTACATGCCTGTAGTCCCAGCTATTGGGAGGCTAAGGCATGAGAATCGCTTAAGCTCAGGAGGCAGAGGTTGCAGTGAGTTCAGAGTGCAGTGAGTGCACACCACTGCACTCCAGCCTGGGCAACAGAGTGAGACTCTGTCTCAAAAAAATAATTAAAGTAAAATAAAATAAAAAGAGATAGAACTGATAGGTAAGGGTGGATGACAGAATACACATGATATGCTCAGCACTAAGAGGGGACTCCAGGCATTATTAAAATTTTACTAAATGGTTTCAGAACACTGGGTTTTAACATTGTTTTTTTACCCTTCCACCGTCTTTAGTGTCTTGACAAAGCCATCACCACTGCTCCTATTTGGCTGCTTTACTTTTACATCCAGGACAAAGTTACAGGTTTCAGAAAGGTCTCAGGAAGGTGACACAGTTTTGACCACAGAGTGAAGTCCATGGGCTTTATTACAACCATTTTCTTCATAATACTCAGAGGTCTACATCTTTTAAGTTCACAGCTGTATTTTGGGGGACAGTTGCCATAATTTATTTCTCCAGACAAAGGGTGTGTTACCTGTTCAATAACTAATGCTATTTTTAACATAAAAAGATTATTATTCACCAAGCTCAGAAATCGAATTCCTCCACTTTTTTATATTAGGCACAAAAACACAAGGCTTGCATCTAGATAAACAGCCAACAGAGAAATGCATATTGCTTGCCCTCGACAGCTCACCCTTCCTACACTCTGACCACCTGTATTTACATAAATGCATTTAAACTCTCCTCACCTGTAAGACCTTTAAAATGAAAATTATTTGGACAAAAATCAATGAACTGAAAAGTCACACTTGTTTCCACATACAACTTTGGAGGTACAACTTAATAGGTACATTTCAGTCAGCAATAAAGTATTTATTATAAAATCAGCTGTTTATAAGAGCACAAAAGTCAAACGCACACACAGAAAAAAAACTATCTCCATTATAAGCAATTAAAAGTTTTTCTCGGCTGGGCGCGGTGGCTCACACCTGTAATCCCAGCACTTTAGGAGGTGGAAGCGGGCAGATCGTTTGAGGTGAGAAGTTTGAGTCCAGCCTGGCCGACACAGTGAAACCCTGTCTCTACTAAAAATACAAAAATTAGCCAGGTGTGGTGGCGCATGCCTGTAATCCCCGCTAAGGCTAAGGCAGGAGAATTGCCTGAACCCAGGAGATGGAGGTGGCAGTGAGCCAAGATCATGCCATTGCATTCCAGCCTGGGCGACAGAGTGAGACTCAGTCTCAAAAAAACGTCAAGCAAATAACAAGAACCAAGGCACTTTTTAATTCTAGGAAATTAAAAACATTTAATTTATAATTTTATAAAATTTATATAAATTTATAAAAACAAAACATTTTTATAAAGAAATGTAATTATGATACACCATGAGGCTTCATTTGAACCACAGCTACATAAACCAGAGCCCAGCCTAATATGAGCATTTTTTTATTTTTTTATTTTTACCATTACTGCTACTATTATTTTTTTATTTATTTATTTATTTTAATTATACTTTAAGTTTTAGGGTACATGTGCACATTGTGCAGGTTAGTTACATATGTATACATGTGCCATGCTGGTGCGCTAGATATGGAGTAAAATACCAGAAGTTGCTTAAAAAAGTAGATGCCTCTGTTATTATAAGCTTTGTATACTACTTACTTTTAAACCGTATACATAAGATTGAAATAAAAATAAGATTTAAAAACTGTATTACAGGCCAGGCGCAGAGGCTCATGCAAAATCCCAGCACTTTGGGAGGCCGAGGCGGGTGGATCACAAGGTCAGGAGATCGAGACCATCCTGGCCAACATGGTGAAACCCGTCTCTACTAAAATACAAACAAAAAAATTAGCTGGGTGCGGTGGCACGTGCCTGTAGTCCCAGCTACTCGGGAGGCTGAGACAGGGGAATCGCTTGCTTGAACCCAGGAGGTGGAGGTTGCAGTGAGCTGAGATCACGCCACTGCACTCTAGGCTGGTGACAGAGCAAGACTCCGTGAAGTTAGGAGTTCAGTCAAGACCAGCCTGGCCAACATGGTGAAACCCTATCTCTACTAAAAATACAAAAATTAGCCAGGCATGGTGGCAGGCGCCTGTAATCCCAGCTACTCAGGAGGCTGAGGCAGGAGAATCGCTTGAACCTGGGAGGCGGAGGTTGCAGTGAGCAGAGATTGCGCCATCGCACTCCAGCCTGGGGCACAAGAGCGAGACTTTGTCTCAAAAAAAAAAGTATTATAACAAAGTATACAAATAAGAGTAATTATGGATCAAGGTAGAGATGTCTCGCTCAAAAGTCCTGAGGCCTTTGCTTGATCTTCTCTCTCTGAGAGATGCTGTTGGAATCTAAATTGCTGATGCTGCCATCAGGCTATTCTGATAATGTCACTGAAAGTGGTATCTCTAGGCTTAAGAATTGGAGCAATGAAAATGTGAACAGTGACTGCCAGGGAATCAACATTTCTAGGGATGCTCATTAGAAGTAATGACTCACAATTCTGTTAACCATAACAGCAGGTATCATCCTAACTCACGGCACCTACATATATGCCCTTACTGTTCTCTTCCTCTCATTTCCCACCACTTTTGTATTGGTCTTAATACTGATCTGAAGCATAATTGTTTTATGTAATAAATTTTATTCTATGTTTTATGCTTCCTGGGCTTCATTTCAAAAGCCAGTGAAATTAACTTTAACTCTCTAGCATTTAAACCGTCAAAAACAATTAAGTAAACATTCAGTGGTATAATTTTTCCTGGTGTGTATTGTTTTATTGCTATTTTTGTGTTTAAATCTTTACCAAACAAGCTATCATATTACTTATTTTATGAAATGGATTTCGGAAGACAAGATTCGATCCAAGAAGATTATTTGGTCATTATCTATACTGTTGATAACAGATCTCTAAGGTTCAAAGTAATACTGTATACTAAAAAGGGTTCTGGTCCTATATAAACTATCTGGTGAGGTGATTAGCCTCCAATTCACTATTAACTCTAACTGAACAAGAATCCTACCAAATATCTGTCAAGACAAGGGGATCCCATACCTACCCAGAGTTCTGGTTCCCATTAATAAGACACATACTATGGAAGATATATCAAAATAGCATAATACTTGTATAATAATTGCTCCTATTTTGACTACCTTCATTCAGTTCGTCATTTTGCTTTTAAGGATTACTGTCCAAGCATGGCATAAAAAAGAAAAAGTGGTTGGATACAGTGCTCATGCCTGTAATCCTAGCACTTTGGGAGGCTGAGGCAGGAGGACTGCTTGAGCCCAGGAGTTTGAGACCAGCCTGGGCAACATGGCAAAACCCCGTTTCTACAAAAAATGCAAAAATTAGCCAGGTGTGGTGGTA
Organism: Homo sapiens; assembly: GCF_000001405.40. Classification (NCBI taxonomy): domain Eukaryota; kingdom Metazoa; phylum Chordata; class Mammalia; order Primates; family Hominidae; genus Homo; species Homo sapiens. The sequence continues at coordinate 45,697,424 of NC_000003.12, read as the reverse complement.
TGCACCTGTGGCCTCAGCTATTCAGGAGGCTGAGGTCGGAGGATCACTTCAACCTGGGAGGCAGAGGCTGCTCTGAGCCAAGATCGCACCACTACACTCCAGCCTGGGCAACAGAGCAAGAGCCTGTCTTAAAAAAAAAAAAAAAAAAAAAAAAAGGAAAAGAAAAGAAAAACAAAGCAGGAGGATCTTGAGGCCAGGAGTTTGAGACCAGCCTGGTCAACACAGCGAGATCTCATCTCTACAAAAAATGTTGAAATAAAAAAAAAAGAAAGAATCAACACTTAGGTTGCTTCCTCCTTTTTGACTGTTGTGAATAATGCTGCTATGAACAGGGGTATACAAATCCCTCTTTGAGACCTTACTTTTAATTATTTTGAGTATCCCAGAAGTGGAACTGGGACTAAAAGCTAAATGCAACAAAGGCAGTTCTGGTATTACACTTAATACAAATGCATTTAATCTTATAGTCACCTGGGATTCAACAGCTCTTAAGAGTGTTTTTTAAAAAATTAGTCTTGTTAAATTTTAAGAAAAGCAATATCTTTAATTATAATATTAACATCAAATATTTTTATTTTCTTTCAGTGTTGGCATTGCGATTTTCTAGTGTCTGAAAACATTTATCTCTCATGTAACATTCACGTCTTATTTCAGACAACTGATCTCTTTAAAATCCTGTCAAATCAATGAGTAAAACTGGCCCACTACAAAAACATTACTACTTACCAACCTCATACCCATTAAAATGGCTATTATCTAGAAGGAAAAAAAAAACAAACCCAGGATAGAAAATAACGAGTGTTGGCTAGGATGCGGAGACACTGGAATCCTGGTGCTTTGTGGGTGGGAATGTAAAACGGTGCAGCCACTATGGGAAAACAGTATGGTGGCCCATTAAAAATTAAAAATAGAATTCCCATATGACCCAACAATTCCACTTCCGGGTATATACTCAAAATAACTGAAAGTAGGGTTTCAAAAAGGTATTTGTATACTCACATTCATACTGGCATTACTCACAATAGCCAAAAAGGTGGAAGCCACCTATGTGTCTATTAACAAATGAACAAACGAAATGTGGTACATACATATAATGGAATATTATTCAGCCTTAGAAAGGAAATTCTGGGCCAGGCACAGTGGCTCAGGCCTGGAATCCCAACACTCAGGGAGGACGAGGCAGGCGGATCACGAGGTCAGGAGATGGAGACCATCCTGGCAAATGCAGTGAAACCTTGTCTCTACTAAAAATACAAAACAGTAGCTGGGCGTGGTGGCAGGCACCTGAAATCCCAGCTACTTAGGAGGCTAAGGCAGGAGAATTGCTTGAACCCAGGAGGCAGAGGTTGCAGTGGGCCGAGATCGCACCACTGTACTCCAGCATAGGCAACAGAGCGAGACTCCATCTCAAAAAAAAAAAAAAAAAAGGAAATTCTGACACATGCTACACAATGGATGAACCTTAAGGACATTATGCTAAGTGAAATAAACCAGTCATAAAAGGACAAATACTGCCACTTCATGAGGCATCTAGAGAAGTCAAATTTATAGAGACAGAAAGTAGAACGGTGGTTGCCAGGGGCTGGGAGGATACAGAAATGGGGAGTTGTTTAATGGGTACAGAGTTTATTTTTGCAAGATGAAAACGGTTCTGGTGATGGATGGTGATAACGGTTGTACAACATGAATGTGCTTATTGCCCCTGAACTGTATACTTAAAAATGGTTGAGATGGTAAATTTAATGTTTTATTTTACCACAATTTTTAAAAATAATGAAACCACTATTTTGCATAGGAGCCACAGTGATATGTCATAAAACTGTAGCAAGAACATATTCCCTCAAAAATCTTACGTAAAGAATTTGGCTGGGTGCAGTGGCTCATGCCTGTAATCCCAACACTTTGGGAGGCCGAGGCAGGTGGATCACTTGAGGTCAGGAGATCAAGACCAGCCTGGCCAACATGGTGAAACTCTGTCTCTACTAACAATACAAAAATTAGCCGGGCCTGGTGGTGCATGCCTGTAGTCCCAGCTACAAGGGAGGCTGAGGCACAAGAATCACTTGAACCTGGGAGGTGGTGGTTGTGGTGAGCCGAGACTGCGCCACTGCACTCCAGCCTGGGCAACAGAGTGAGACCCCATCTCAAAAAAAAAAAAGAATTAAATCAAGGTCTTAATGATCAAATTTAATACATCTCTGGTTGAAAAGACAGAGGCACAACACTTTACTAGGTTTGGTGAGCAAAAAGAAAACAACTTAGTAAAGAAGGATCCCCTGCACATACTACACTCATAGGCAGAAGGTGCTCCTACCTCCCCCATTCATCCTCCCTTTGGGTATCTCCTCACTGAGCCCTCCCTGGTTGCCTCTCCTATAGCTCAAGTTCATCACAGACTCCCCAGGGGCACAACCCAATTCCAAACCAGTTGGTGTTTCTAGAAAGACTCATTCTAATGCTATCCTCTTTCTCAAAACTCTGTGTTCCCACCTATATCCTATTCCCTGAATGCCCTAAAACCCATTCTCTCAACCAGACTTCTTCACAGGACTAGGTCCAAATTCCACCTAATCTGAAGCTCTAATCCACAGCACAATCTACCAGAGCCCCATATCTTCCAAAGAATTCTCTTCTACCAGCATGTTCTGGTCCTAACTCAGCTATGTATGCCCAGCCCTAAAATATTTCAGAGTGCATAAAAACTACCAGGATAGCTAGTTAAACTTGCAGATTTCCACCGCTCATCCCCAGAGATTTTCACTCAGTAGGCCTAATGTGGGGCCCTGGAATACGCACTTAAAACAAGCATACCAAGTCATTTGATGTAGCCTAGCACTAACCTAGGCTAGCCACGTGAGCCTAGGTAAGCCTGAACTAGCCTGAACTCCCAGCCAACTAATGCTTTGGATACAAACCCCATATTGTCTGTGCTAAAACTCATGAGAATAATCTGAGCTGCCCTACACCCTTCCCTCCACCGGGAGACTTCTGTGAATAATATGAATGTTCATTATATTGAACAGATTATATGTGTCTGTATCACAAGGTAGCTTAGGTTACATCTGTTTTCAAGGTTGGATCATATCTGCCCTGACTGATGACCTCACAGTTATGAGACTCTTTTAAAAATGGCAATTTCCTGAGGAAACAGTACTCTTCAGAGGCATGCTGCAGCCTGATGCAGTAACTAAAGGATTCCCTGCCTTACACCTAGTTTCAACTGACCTTTTAAAAGAAAAAGAAAAAAAAAGAAGAAAAAATGCTTTAAATGTATCCAATAATTTTGCACCTCTAACTTTCCACTGAACCTTTTAGAAAGTTATTATGAGCTTGAGGTCTGAGGGGCCTAAGAAGTGCCCAAACCACATTTGATGTCATTTCCCTGCAAAGGAAATGTGACACCTACGCCGAACTGCCAAGGTATTTTAGCTTATATACAGGGATAGATAAGCTTCTTAAAAATTACATTTCCAGTCTAATTATTTTGCAATTTCAAATTTATCACTGTCTGACATTATCCATGCCTATACAAATGGCTTAAAAAGAAAAATGGAGCCTAACAGGATATTTAGAACTGCCTGGAAGTTTAAAAAGTATGAATTTTAAATTCTGAGCAAATCAATATTCTGTTTTCCACATTAAACATATGGAAATTAATATGGACATGTCAACTATATTTGGTTGTAAGTGACTCATTTCAATACCTGGCATGTCTGAGGACTAATGCGAGAGCAATCTGGTAAGAGAAAAAAAGGTCATATGGATAATGCAATGAAATGGAAAGATCACTGGACTCTGGACCAGCCGTATTCCAAGGCTAGCTCTACCATGGCTTGGCTGTATGATCTGACTTTGTGGCCAAGGGCAATTATGAGACTGTTTTCAACAATGACAGGATACCTATCAACCTATGACCTCACAGAGACACTGGGAAGACAATATACATGAAATGACTTTTAAGCTGTGTTTCTTCAAAACGATACATTCCAAATTACCCTAGACTGTGTTCTTTTTGCAGTGCTAGTACGTGGTCTATACTGGAAAGTTCCTTTCATTTACTCAGTTGATTCACTGAGGAGCTGCTCTGCACAAGGCTCTATGTTAGGTACTGAGGAGGACTAGAGAAGAAAATGTTAAGGTGTAAACTGGTTGGAGAAACAAAGTACAGCCATGTGCCATGTAACAATGCTTTGGTCAACGACAGACTACACATATGATGGTGGTCCTATAAGCTTATAATACCGTATATTTACTGTACCTTTTCTTGTTTATGTATGTATACATACACAAATCTTTACCATTGTGTTGCAACTGCCTACAGTATTCAGTACAGTAACCTGCTGTACAGGTTTGTAGCCTAGGAACAACTGGCTATTCCATATAGCCTAGGTGTGTAGTAGGCTGTACCATCTAGGTTTGTGTAATTATACTCTGATGTTTGTACAAAGAAGTTGCCTAACATATTTCTAACATATTTCTCAGAATGTATCTCTGTCAGTAAGAGTCACATAACGGTGTACATAATGATTTCATTTCTAAGTGACAAAATGAGTGGTTCAAACAGTACTATGGATTGACCATTCTAGCTTTCCATCCTCTTGTCCATGAGAAAGTAAATGCACTGTAAACTGATCCTAAGAGACAGAATACATAAATCATGTAAACATTTGGTGTCTAACCCTGTTACAATAATTTTTCATTTTTGGCTTTAAAAACTGTTACCAGAACTCAGTGAAGGAAAAGACATGGAAAGAAAACATTTCTCAAAGAAGGTACCTATGAGGTACACTAAGTACTTCATCTAAACTCTCTTTGGGCCAGGCATGGTGGCTCATGCCAGTAATTCCAGCACTTTGGGAGGCCAGGGTGCATGGATCACTTAAGACGAGGAGTTCAAGTTTCAGCAACATGGCGAAACTGAAAAACAGAAAAAATCAGCCAGACATGGTGATGTGCACCTGTAGTCCCAGATGCTTTGGGGGCTGAGGTGAGAGGATCACTTGAGCCTGGGAGGCTGAGGCTGCAGTGAGCTGAGCTCACACCACTGCACTCCAGCCTGGGTGACAAGTGAGACCCTGTCTCACAAAAATAATAAAAAAAAAAAAAAACTCTCTTTCAAACCTTACAATAATCCTGTGAAGTATCAACATTCCCATTTTACAGACTGAAACACCAATTCAGAAGGATTAAGTACTATGCCCAGGACACAAAACAAGTAGTCAAGTTAAGATATGAATCCATATCCATTCTGACTAACAAAACCTGAGATCTCTTGGCTCTACCATGGATGTGACCAGTATGTAAAGAGAACAGAGAGGAAGAAGGCATTCTGGGTAGAAGGATCAAAATAACACCCAAGTTTGAAGCTAGAAGGGGATGAGCCAAGTTTTGCAGAAGTGGGGAAAAGGCTCTGGGCAGTTACGGGAAATAAATTAGGCGACAGATTATAAAAAGGCTAGAATATACAGATGGCTAAGAAATGCAAGTTTGATCCTATAGGTCAGTAAGATGGAACTGGAAATTGTAAGCAGGAAAGTAGAGGATAAAACCAGAGCATTAGAAAGGTGAAATTCAACAAGGCAGAGATGGGCTGGAGAAAAAGCATGGCATAATGCAGACAGAATTATTATTTAAAATCCGAAGTAGGACAGGTGTGGTGGTGTGCATCTGTAGTCCTAGCTCCTCGAGAGGCTGAGGTGGGAGGCTCGCTTGAGACTAGGAGTTAGAGGCTGCAGTGAGCTATGATCAAACCACTGTACTCCAGCCTGGGCAACAGAATGAGACCCCATCTCTTTAAAGACAAAACGAAACAAAAGAAAAAAAAAACAAGCATTTCAACATTTAAATAAATCCTTTTAGCAATCCTTTTGTAATAAAATAATCGAACTATCTCTTTTGCATGGATATTTCTTAAAACACATCTCCAGACACATTTTAAAAAATGGCTACTATCTCCTACCAATTCTTACACAGAAACCAATTTCACTTCTAAATGCATCCAAAAAAGAATACTCCTTAGGGCAGGAGCCACATTTGAAAACCTTCAACAGCAGCCTCAGAGCAGGAAGGGCCAAAAGGAAGGAATAAAAATGGAAACTCTAACTCATAAACCCCTTGGTAAAGAAAAAGGTGCAAAAAAGTTGTACCTTCACATTTACAGAAACACTCTAAACTTTTTTTTCAGGGGGAAAAAAAGCTAGGACTGACAAATGAGAGAATGACTTTCACATAACCCCAGTTTGACTTTATCACCCAAATAATTTAAGAGTTTCCACTTCTCACAAAAATCAATACAAAAACATCATTCTTACTACTTCAGGGACAAATTTCCTTTCTCTTTTATGTATGCGAGGATTTGGGTTTGTTTTAAGGTCTGAACTGGTTAAATTTAGTGTTCTGGCAGCTGAAAAACAATCATCATAATTCTCAAGTTCTCCATCCTATTCAATCTTTGCCACGCTAAGCTGCATGAAGCCATGGCTCCATATGGCTTAAACACATTTGAGACCTGGTGTAGGATCACATTAAACCCTTCAGTGCCTATCAGATACACAATAACCTAATTAGCTAGCAGAGCACATGTGACAGTGGCCTGGCCAGAAACGCAGTGGAAGACACTTCCTTCAACTCTTTCACCAAAGACGAGGTGAGCACTTTGCAAAGGGGAACTGGGAGAAAATAGGGAAAGGTGGAGAGGAAAATGTGGAGGGAAGTGTGCAGCTAGGGTTTTCAAAGAACATTACAGTAAACAGAAATGGCACCCACAGGGGGTGCACTGTAGAAAAAGCAATCATCTTTTTTGCAACACATACAATGTGGAATAGATGACCTCTCTGAATTTTGCACCTCTAACTTTCCACTGAACCTTTCAGAAAGTTACTAGTGAGGTTGAGGTCTGAGGAGCTTAAGTGCCCAAACCACATTTTGGTGTCATTTCCCTGCAAAAGAAATGCGGTATCTATGCCTAACTGCCAAGGTATTTTAGCTCATATACAGGGATAGATAAGCTTCTAAAAAATTACATTTGTTTCTCCTACCAGATATTCCCAGGCTGTGGCCACCAGATTTTCAAACAGCCTAGGGGTAAAGCATTAAACACGAAGTGAGTACAACAAAATTATTCACAGACAAGAAAAGTGTGGATGCTAATGGGTAACACTAAGGGAAATAAACACATGTTGTTTTTAATCCAAGACAAACCAAAACCCTTAAAAACACCTATTTTATAACTCTTAACAACCACAGCCTCTGTATCAAAGACTCAAGAACTTGGATTTACCGAAAAGTCAATTTGCAGTACCAAAATTACCGAGATTAGCCTCTGGCTGTCGACACTGACTTAAGAACCTGCTTTAGGCTGGAGCTGTTTAAAATTTAAACCAAAGTAAACTCCTTCAGGACCTTAAGACTACTGACTGTACTTTAAATTTTTTCTGCACACTGAAGAGGGGGCAGGCAGGCTTCGGTACCCAGATAGGCTGTAAGCAAAACAAAGATTTGTTGATTTGTGCGTAGACTCTAAATTGCTGCTGTAGGTCCGTTAAGTAAGAGAAAACTCTTTTTCTCTGTTAAGTCATACAGATAAATTTAGTCGGTAGCTCTGCATAGAAAGTGGGGACAAGCGTGCCCTGAAGGGCCGCATCATAACGCCGACCCCGGCTCGGTGGGGGCCAGTCGGCAGCTTCTCTCTTCAGCCGTGGGCGCTGGGGCCGAGCACGGTGGAGAAAGGCCGGCGAGCCGCTGGTTCCCGGCCTATGGCTACTCGGGCGAGGCCTAGGAGAGGCCGCGCCGGCTGAGGAAAACCGGTAAATGCGAGGAGCTCCCACACCCTATCTGCAATCCGGGACTCAGAAGCCCTCCCCGAGGCCAGGGCCCGCACCTGCCGCCCCGCCCGCCGCGCCTCAGGCCTCTGGCCCGTGGGACTCACAGCTTCAGCTGCTCGTAGGCCGCCGTCGCCATCCTGCACAACCACCTCCTTCCTTCTCTCTCCGCCCGCCCCGCCCCGCGCCGCCACCTCGGCTACAACTCTACCGGTCACCCTGGCACAGCGGCCGCAGCTCCCAGCCTCTTCCCACCCCTTTCCCCGCCCCGCAGGAGAGCCGGCCTGAACGGGAGGCGGTGGAGGACAAATTAGTGCGCAAGCAAGAGCACGCGAGAGATGCCGCCGACGCGGCGGGTTGGAGTGCGACGAAGAGCGCCGTGACGAAGCCGCTGCGGATTGGTGGGGCGCGTTTTGGGGAAAGGCAGAGCAGCGGGAGCGCGGCGCAAGGGCAAAATGGATCGTTGGTACCCGGAAGCCCGTTCAAACTGTATAAGGGTGATCAGCTATCACGGAGAAGGCTTTAGCAAGTCGGGGCCAGTGGCGCAATGGATAACGCGTCTGACTACGGATCAGAAGATTCTAGGTTCGACTCCTGGCTGGCTCGCGATGTCTGTTTTGCCACACTTGACCCATGTACTACTGGGTCTTGTAAAGATGTATATTCACAATGTGAAAGTATTACAAGACCTTGGAAAGGTGTATGGTTAGAATGTGAAAGTTAAATATCTGAAATTTTGATGCCGCTTTGCTCACAATGTCATCCTTTATCCTTTAAACCTGGAGTTGTCTGAGGTGGTTTGCAAACTGCAAAGCGCCCTGTTCCCAATGATGCACCTGAGAAGTCTGTAAATGGGGTAAATTTAGGCAAACACACCTGGAAAAGTGGCATTTTGGAGTGGGGAATGCTGTGGCCGGAGGTTAGCAACCGGATGATGCAAAAGCGTATTTAAGGCAGCAGTTCTGGCCTTTCCCCGCCACGGAGCAGAAGCCCCCATAGTGATGTGAGAAGCGGCGCTGTCCCAGTTTACTAGGATGGGATGGGCTTTGGATCTAACCAGCAGCGAAGAAAACCTGCGGTGCGGCTGCGCTCGGTAGTAGGGGTCCACAAAGCGTCAGAATCTGCAGCAGCCCCGGCCTTTGCGAGCTCCAGCTCCGAAGTCAACCCGGCCCCCAAATTCCACTGGGAAACCTTAAGACACCGGTGTTTTTACCGTAAGAAGACCTCAGGTAATCTAGTATATTACCCCTCATTGTATGGATGCGCGACTTGGACACCCGAGAAGGCGCGAAACGTCTGCGGCCTAAAGGGACTCGAACCGGGGGATTATATGAGTCATCGGACACTGTCCGTTAACCAATCACTCAATCGATCAATTAATTTCCGCAACATAACGTTTTCCCCTGATAAAATTATAGATTTTTAAAATATATAAAATTATTGGGAATATTAACGCGATTCCCACCCTAAATCATTACTATTATTTTTTTTTTCCTTAAAGCCTTTTTTTCTTCTATATTTTTTAACATGGGCATACTTGCACATGTGTTTTTCCAAATTGGGGTTGTACGGAAATGGGTTCCTCATTTTGTCTCCTTACCTTTTTGTCTGAGATTTAAGGTCATTAAATATTCTTTGAAGATATTTCATCAGAGAGCTAGATATTTTAAGCAGAATCCTTATGCTGGGAATTTGGGTGGTTGTCAGTTTAACACCTAGAAAAAATGATGCTGCTTAGGAGTTCGAGACCAGCCTGGGCAACATAGCAAGACCTCATCTCTATTTACTAAATAAATAAATAAATTTTAATTAGCCAGGTGTGGTGGTGTGCACCTATAGTCCTAGCTACTCAGGAGGCTGAGGTGGGAGGATCACCTCAGCCCAGGAGGTTGAGGCTGCAGTGAGCTGTTACCATGCCACTGCACTCCAGCCTGAGCAACAGAATGAGACCCTGTGTTGAATTATTATTATTTTGAGACGGAGTCTCGCTCTGTCACCCAGGCTGGAGTGCAGTGGCGTGATCTCGGCTTACTGCAGTCTCTGCCTCCCGGGTTCAAGCAATTCTCCTGCTTCAGCCTCCCAAGTAACTGGGACTACAGGTGTGTGCCACCACGCCCGACTAATTTTTTGTATTTTTTAGTAGAGACGGGGTTTCACCGTGTTAGCAAGGATGGTCTTGATCTACTGATCTCGTGATCCGCCCACCTCAGCCTCCCAAAGTGCTGGGGTTAGATGTGAGCCACTGTGCCCGGCCGAATTATTTGTCTTACAAATTTCTAGAGGTGGAACGACCAGGTGGACATCTGTAAGGTCCATTTTATGGACATTTTTAAGACTTTTGTTACTTTCTGACTGCCCTCCAAAAAATTAAACCAAAACACACTTCCATCAACAGCACCTGTTTCTCTGTTTTCGTGCATGCTAACCAACACTGGCTATTATAAATTTAACCGTGATTTGCAATTTTCATAATTGGAATATGGAACTTCCTTTTACATGTACTTTATATATTTTCTCTTGATGTATTGAATTTTTTCTTACAAATTTGATTTTTTAATATATTAAGGGTATTAACTCTTAAATACGTTGCAATCTTTTTTCCAGCTTATGATTTACCTTTTCAAAATTTTTTTAACGGCTGGGCACGGTGGCTCATGCCTGTAATCCCAGTGCTTTGGGAGGCCAAGGCAGGTGGATCTCTTGAGGTCAGGAGTTCGAGACCCGCCTGGCCAACATGGTGAAACCCTCTCTCTATTTAAAAATACAAAAATTAGCAAGGCATGGTGGTGTGTGCCTGTAGTCCCAGCCACTCAGGAGGCTGAGGCAGGAGAATTGCTTGAACCTGGGAGGTGGAGGCTGCAGTTGGCTGAGATCACGTCACTGCACTCCAGCCTGGGTGACACAGTGAAACTCTGTCTCAAAAAAAAAAAAAAAAAAAAAATATATATATATATATATATATATATATTTGAACTTGTAGTAATTTTCACTTTATATATTCACACTTACTAATATTTGGTTTCTTCTATTATATGATTTTTTAATGTTTTGTTCTTATGTTGTTTTTACCATTTACTTTAATCCATTTGTCATTTATTTTGTTGCCATTTATCATGATGTAAAGATCAATTAATCTTAAAACCTGACACACTTTATTGAGCAATTACTTCATGCCAGAAACTGCTCTAATTCCCTTACTTGGATGAATTCAATCATTCCTTACAACAATTGTTGTACCTGAGCGAGTTAGAAAAACGCCACACTTTAAGACGAATTAAGAGTCCTTTATTAGCCAGCGACCGAGAGACGGCTAACACTCAAAATTTTCTCAGCCCTGAGGAAAGGGCTAGATTTTCTTTTATACTTTGGTTTAGAAAGGGGAGGGGGGGGTCTAGTTAAAACAATTTTACAGAAATAAAGTAGGCAAAAAGTTAAAAGGATAAATGGTTACAGGAAAGTAAACAGTTCCAGGTGCAGGGGCTTTAAGACTATTACAAGGTGATAGACCCGGGGCTTTGGGCGTTATCAATCAGACGAATTCCTGGGAATTGCGGATATAGCTTGCCACAGTATCTTATCAGTTAATTGCATTCTTGGATGTGCTGGGAGTCAGCTTGCACAAGTTAAGTCCTTGAGGAAGGGGTGCCAGTGAAAGAGCCAAGATGGAGTCTGTCTGGCTGTCTTAGCTAAGGGAGAGTCAATTCAGGTGGAAACAAGGCTAGGTGATTAAAGGAAGAGGGAGAGTCTAAAAACAGGGTTAGTAAAAACAAGGTTGGGCATTACACAATCCCATGAGGTAAATTCAGTTGTTATCCCCATTTTTACAGATGAGGGAACTAAATTGGCTTAAGGTCATGGAGCAATTGAGTTATGAAGCCTGAGATAGAATGTGAGTCTGGGCTCTTGACTCCAAGGCCGTCCTGCCCTGTGGACTCACTGTACCCCAGAAGACACCGCATGAGTAGGTTCAAGGACAATTCCCTGTCTGGGCATGGACGGCAGTCACATCTGCCACTTACCCCTCACCCCTACTAATTAGCAACAAGAAGACCCCATTTCTAGTCCTTATGATGCTTTTACCCACTATCTCTGGGCTCTTGGACATTTCCTCTCCTTTAATAAAATAGGGGTTTAAGTTGCAGCCTGTCTCATAGGCTTTAGGGGGAAAAGAAATGCTTCCATATGAGCAACTGCCACCCATTGTCATGTAGAAGGAACTAAGAGAGGCAAAGTTTGACGTTTCTTTACCAGTTGGGAACCATAAACCAAGGCCTTTGTGACATTCAGTGAGACTGAAAACCAGAAAATAATCTGGCAGAAACCCCATTCTTCTGGGGTTTTTAAAGGCCAAACAAGCCAAAATCAGATTCCAAGGAAACCAATGTTCAGGATAAGGAACCAGCCAATGATGGGTAATATAAATTCATATCTGTAGCCAAGTTTTTCCTATAGTAAAATTGTTATATAACTTTTTACAAAATCTGCCAGAGGCCTTCCAATGGAGACAGTCCAAGCTGCAGATGAAGCTTGTTGGCACATCCAAATAATCTCTACAACCTACTTTTAGGGCCAGCTCCCACTTACAGACCTTTTAATATAGTAGTTAAAAAAAATTTAGGCAGATAGGGTACAGGAGTCCTTGGTAAGGCTTTTCTTTTAATAAAAAGCAGCCCCCAAAACCATTTCTTTTCCAACAGAAAGCAGCCTGAAAAGTCAAGCTGCAAGCATAAATAAGCAAGCTAGAAGCTTGCACAGATAAATGCCGGCAGCTGCACCTGGAAGACAGGTGCATCCAATATGGAAGATTTCGCCTCCCTTCTGTTTGTTGCCATGTGTGCAGGTGTCAAGGCTCTGGCCAAGTAAAAAACCCTATCTGCATAATAAAAGATCAAGGTGGAATGGCCAGTTTCTTCGAGGGCTATGTAAATGGCACACCTGGTCAAACCAATCCCTTGGGCTCTATGTAAATCAAATACCACCTCTTCAAACCCCCTCCTCTATATATCAGTCTGCTTCCCGCCAGGAATGGGGAGATCCATTCGGAGTCCTCCTCCCTCTGCATGGGGGAGCTGTTCTCTTTTTTCTGCCTGTTAAACTTTCTGCTCCTTAACCCACCCACGTGTGTCCGTGTTGTTAATCTTCTTGGCACGAAACAACAAACCTCAGGTATTTCCCCAAACAACGGAGCCGATTCACTTTGATCTATTTGTATGTCATGGAGTCTGGCTTCCTGCCGAGTTTTCAAATTGGGTGTCCCCTCACTTTCACTCCGTCACAGGCTTGCCGTGGACCAAGTCTCATGGGCAACACAGGGCCCAGAACCACCTGTCCTTGAGAGCTAGGATTAGTTGGAGGGACATGTATGTGACCAAGTGGTGGCAGTCCCTGAGGCTGCCTTACACACCTGGACGTATCCACATAGCCAGAGATTCTCCTAGAAGTGTCACACATCTAGGGCTGTCGCCTACCTGGGAACTTCTAACCAGATCTCTCTGACCATAACCCACAGAGTATGACCTACTCTGTTTTTTTACACCTAGAGTACAAGGTCTCAATCATGTTTGTGTAGGAAGCATTTCTGTTTTCAATCCAGGGAAAATTGCAAACCCCCACTTTCAGGGATTCCTGAAGAAAAGGCACCCAATAACTTAGGAATATTCTTTCATTTCCTCTCAAAAAACGTTCGTTGGAGTCTGTGGTAGGCTGACTAATGCTCCTCCTGTTACCGGTGGAGGGTGTCCAGGTTCTTGGCGTCTTGATAAAGAAATGGACAAAACGCACAAAGCAAGTAAAGAATGAAGCAACAAAAGAGATTTATTGAAAAACGAAAGTACGCTCCACAGGGTGGGAGCAGCCCAAGCAGCTCAAGAACCCGGTTACAGAATTTTCTGGGATTTAAATACCCTCTAGAGGTTTCCCATTGGTTACTTGGTGTACACCCTATGTAAATGAAGCAGAGGTCCATGATCAGTTTGATTGGTTGTGGGAGGGGACCAATCAGAGGCTGAAGCAAAGTTACAAAGTTACACCACCCTATACAAACATCTGACTGGTTGTGTAAAACGCCCAATCAGAGGCTGAAGTTACAAAGTTATACTCCTAGGCAAATGAAGACTTGGCCTAAGACCAGTCTGATTGGTTGTGGGAGGGGATCAATTAGCGATACTTTCAATTTTTCACCTGCCATGCAGAAAAGGGGCTGGGGGTGGGGAGGTTGCAAAGGGAGTAGCCTCTGGTCCTTTTGTTACTTGAGCGTGGAAAGTTGGGGTTTTCCTTTTGACTTAGTTCTAGGAAGTCAGCCTGAATTGGCCTTAGGAAGCCAATTCCATGCCTCCAGACCCTATCTCCTGCTTCCCTCCCCTTCAGAGATGTCCCTGTCCTCCTCACCAGAACCTGTGAATATCTTATTCTGCAAGGTAAAAGAGGCTTTGCAGATGTTATTAAGAATCACAAAATGGGAGATTATTCTAGATTATCTGGATGGGCGTAATCCCAAGTGTCCTTACAAGGAGGCAGGGAGGGTCAGAGAGGAGGTGTGACAATAGAAGCAGCCAGAATGATGCAGCCACAAGCCAAGGAAAATGGGCAGCCTCTAGAAGCGGAAAAGGGGCAAGGAATGGGCAGCACCCTATAGCACCTCTGGAAGCAATTCGCTTCTGCCGACAACCTTTGGCTCGTGTCCAGGATGACAGAATGATATATTTGTGTTGTTTTAAGCCACTGAGGTTGTGGTAATTTGTTAAGAGTGGCCATAGGAAACCAATACAGACTTCAACAGAGCAGCAGTGAGCTTCTCCTCACAGCCTCCTGTGGCTTTTTGACTATGTAGCTTTGATGAAGAAGTATACTGATGGACAATTTACTGCCTCCCATCAACCAGAGTAGTAGAGTGGTCAAGACAGCACCCTCTGGATGAGATGGCCTGGGATGGAGTACTTACTGTTTATTTCACCCTTTTGTGTCTCAGTTGTCTTGTCTATCAAATGAGGGATGATAAAGAACATACAGTCCTTGGAATAACATCTGCTATGTGATGAGCACACGGGAAATGCCAGCTATTACAGCTGCTACTGCTTCATCACAGCACTTAGAACCAGACCAGATACCCCACTGCCCAGTCCCACATGGCCCAATGCCCAAGGCTGACTCTTAGGACTATGCCATCTCCTCCCAATCCCTGGTGCCAGGATGCCTTGCTGGTAGCTGGAAAGTGGCCATGGCGGGAATATTTACATCATAGGTATCAGCAAACACTCCATATCAAGGCTTTTTAATTTTTTGCCCCAGAGGGCTGGTTTGCCAGCACACCACAACTCCAGACCGCCTTTTACCCTGATTGCATCTTCACTCCTTATACCATCAAGGTCTTAAGCAAATAGCAGCCCATGTTGGCAAAATCAGACTAGCCATTCTCTCATCACTTAAAAAGAAAAAAAAAACTTTTATTCTGGTGTAAGGTGCTATGACTATGAGTATCCTCACTCCCAGCTTTCCCGTGTCCTTGGCACGTCAGACCTGGTAGCCACAAGGACTACACTGGAGTCTAGAACAAACTCTTTCCCCACCCCAAGGATTCTAACCACACACTTGGCCCCAACACTCTACAAGTCCTGTCTTCCTGCATGTGGCTGTCTCAAACCTGAAGGATCACTCGCCTTGAGGATTCTTTGGTCATAACCTCAGAAGAGAAAAAACAGTAACATTCACAAGAGAGACAAAGTGACCTTACAAGTCACTGCATCAGGACCTTACAAGTCTCAATCTTAAAGGTCCAGTAAAAGAAACTGCTGATTCTTGGGATATGATTCTCCAAGGCCTCTCACATTTTTATACATCTGGTAAGAATAGACACCAATTGCCAGGTTCCAGACTTATATTTTCAAGGATGTTTATCTAGTGAACAGTCTTGGATGACAGAGATAGTGTCTGTCTCTGGAGCAAAAGTCAGGCAGGCTTACTGCCCATTATCAAATACCAGGGTCCCCTAAGCATGGGGGTTCCTCTTGTAATGCAGCCCACTGCGTGTGCAGGTCTCACCTGGCCCTCTTCTTGGGGCCTGGGGCTCAGGGAACCAGTGTAAATGCTGATAATCTGGCCACTGCTATTGCTATAATAAACTGTCCTTTGTCTCTGACCTATGAGTCTCATAACTTCTGCCAGGATCCATGAACCCATGTGGTGTGCTCACTTTATTAGCCTGCAAGTAGGGTAAAATCTCATACCCTTCACAGGTTTGCTACCTATGTGGTACTTTTAAGAATCCAGAGCTGTAAAAGAAGACAAAGTCCAGGTAGCAAAAAACAGTTTGCTGACTCCACACACAGAAAAGACCCAGGAAATATAATGTTCAAGGAGCACTTTAATAGTCAACAAATTGATGCAGTTTTGTCACAATACTTTGCATAATTTTATAGTAACAGTAAAATTCTGAATCACTTTATAGTAAAAGAAAAGACACAGAGGAAAATAATTTCCCTGTACAATGAAATTTTCATACACTATATGAAGATTTCCCACATCTGTCAAGTTTTGGCTCAGAATAAAAGATAGCTAATATATTTCACTCTTTTTTCTGTTACTTTTTTTTTTTTTTTTGAGACAGTGTTTCGCTCTGTTGCCCAGGTCGGAGTGCAATGGCACCATCTCGGCTCACTGCAACCTCTGCCTCCCAGGTTCAAGCGATTCTCCTGCCTCAACCTCTCAGGTAGCTGGGATTACAGGCGTGCGCCACCAAACCCAGCTAATTTTGTATTTTTAGTAGAGACAGTGTTTCACCATGTTGGTCAGGCTGGTCTCTAACTCCTGACCTTAAGTGATCCACCCGCCTCAGCCTCTCAAAGTGCTGGGATTACAGGCGTGAGCCACGGCGCCTGGGATTACAGGCATGAGCCACTGTGCCTGGCCTTTTCTATTACCTTTAAAAGTTACTTCACATAGTAAAGAAATTAGGACTGATTCTTGGCATAAAGGAGGGTACAAAAAAAAATTGTGCCAGGTACAGTGGCTAATGGCCATAATCCCAACACTTTGGGAGGCGGAAGTGGGCAGATCACTTGAGCCCAGGAGTTCCAGACCATCCTGGGCAACATGGTGAAACTCGTCTCTATTAAAAATACAAAAATTAGCCAGGCGTAGCCAGTCATACACGCCTGTGGTCCCGGCTACTCGGGAGGCTGAGGTGGGAGGATCACTTGAGCCCAGTAGGTGGAGGCTGCAGTGAGCTGAGATCGCGCCACTGCACTCCAGCCTGGGCAACAGAGTGAGGCCCTGTCTCAAAAAAAAAAAGAAAAGAAAAGAAAATTTGGTTTCCTGGCAGATAGAGTTTTAACAAGCGCATCAAGCAGTAATAATTTGTGGTCTTGTGCTCAATTCTCACACATGATCTTTGCAAGCGTCCCAGCAGCCATCACAGCTCTACTTTCACATGCATGGGACACAGCACAGAGCAGCAGCCTTGAAAGGACTGCAAAGAGGTGTGAATTCCAAACATTCTCTTAAGTCCTAACATTTCTGTTCTTCATTTTGTGTGACAGAAGCCCATGGAAACAAGGCGATGACGGCGCTTGAGGGTGACCAGACCTCCTCAATCATTCCATCAGCCACCCAGGACTCAACAGCAGAACCTCAGAGGACTCAGCTGAAAGAGGTTTTCACTCGAGCACTAACCACAGAGAAATGGGAAGTGCCATCCTGCTGTCATACGCAGCCGATGGCTGGGTAGGACTAAATGCCCTTCTGTGGTGAGATGAACCAAGACGGCAGATGGGGGAATAACATCAGTGAGAGAGAGATTACGAATGGATCCTTGTATTGCAGATCAAACTGGGTTGTCTCTTCTCAAACCACCCAGGCAGTTTCTGAATGTCCCAAGATAGGGGTAGGAGAAAAGAAAAAAAAGACAAAACAGGAGACGGTGGGTAAGAAAACCTAAAAGGCACAATGAGGCAAAGGCCTAAGATGGAGGCTGGCTTTGGGATCTGAAATCCGGCCACAATCCTCCTTGTTTTACCTCAAGTCCAAGAATTGTCAAAAAGAAAACCCAGAAGGGCTATTCATTCTAAATTTTAAAATCTTTTCTTCCTGGCCTACCAAGTCCTTGTGTTTTCTTTCTAGGCGCCCATAAATACAACCCCATTACAGTTCTATTTGGCTAATAATTTACAGAACATTTAAAATACCGGGTAGGTGAACATCTCTTCATGGCTTTTGTGTAAGGGCCTGAAGCGAAGAGAAAAACAACTGATTGGAGATTCCTATCTGGCGCCTTCTCCAGGGAAACTGACAACCAGAGAAATCTGTTGCTAGGATTTCTAGGACATCTGGAAATTCCCTTTTTGTTCTTTCTCAACAATATAAAATGGTATATTCGCAAACCTATCTGAATCACCTCAATCTAGGCCACTTTGAAAATTTCATTTAAAAATGTAATCACAGATTTTTAAACTAATTACCCAATTTGCAAACAAATCCCAGCTACTTCTGGTCTTGAACATGGAGCAAAGGTGTGTCAGTAAGGCCAACATTCTTAGGTTGACAGAGACAGGTTAACACATTGGCTGGCTTCATTTACCCCCCTGCCACGCCCCACACTGAGCTGGATGATTTGATGGGAAGAGAGGGTCCCCACCTCAGGGTTCACTTCCCCAGCCCCAGCGTTCATGGGTTTTCAGGAGGCTCAGCCTGTGAAAAAGAACCAATGATGATGCACACCCTGGCTGAAGTGACATCTGGCCAAAGGATTCCAACAGAATGAATTCCATCAACATGGAAAAGATAATCCATGGCACCAATTCTGTGCTGCTTACAGGCAATGGTTACCAAATGAGTCAAAACATGGCCTAGAAGTGGAGCCGGGCCCAATGAAAAGCCTGAGTTCACACGTGCTAGGGGCTCCACTGACCGGCCTCTGCAGCCCAGCACCCAGTCCTCTTGCTCTGGGTGCAAGGTGAGGAGGCAGAGTGCACACACCGGCTCCTGTGTCCCCGGCCTGGCTGGCAATGGTAAAATGGGCTGCCTTTCTTTTGCAGCTTCTTCTAATCGAAATACCAAAGGGTACTGACCTCTGGCCTCAGGGATGTGACTTGCAGTGCAAATTTTACCTCTTCAGTGCAGAGAGTGGTCTTGAAATCTTGCCAGTGTGTGGCCCTCCCTCAGCTCCTGCCACCCTGGGGAGCCAGGATGCTGAAATGCATAAGGCAAAAGCACTGAATCGGATCTATTCCCCACTGACCTTTAGTTACGATCACTCTGCCCTGACCAGCTGGAGTTGGGCCTGTGTGAAGCCAGTGATTTCCAACACACTGAAGAAGGTATCTGAGTCCAGTGTGAAAGCCAAATTCCTCCTGAATCTGTGATTTGGTGAAGCTCTGTGAGGTATTTTTTGTGTGTGGAAGACTGAAAGTGAAGGGAAACAACTAAAAAAATTAAACAGACAAAAGCAGTGTACCTTATCCTGGTTTCTTCAAACATAATGCCTGTGCCAAGAATTGGGCAGGAGAGAAACCAACGAAATGAATATAATAACTTATCCTGAGGCGCTCCCTCCCACGCTGGCTTAGAGATCTCGCACACACAAAAACTCTCCTTGTTTATAAGAAGCTGTCTCTCAGTATGCGGGCAGCTCTTCCCAAAAGCCCGTCATTAAATAAGCTAAAAACAGGTGCAAGCGATGTACCTGCATGGGTTCCTGAGACTTGCCTTGCAGAAGCGGCCTTCCAAGTCACCAACTCTTGAGAACTCCAGAGAAAAACAGCGCAAACACGTGGGCAAAAAAAAAAATCCTGG
This sequence comes from Homo sapiens, assembly GCF_000001405.40. Classification (NCBI taxonomy): domain Eukaryota; kingdom Metazoa; phylum Chordata; class Mammalia; order Primates; family Hominidae; genus Homo; species Homo sapiens. The sequence continues at coordinate 45,677,820 of NC_000003.12, read as the reverse complement.
TGCCTGCACCAAGTTCTTCTCCCAAAGTATGTTTTACTCACATAGGGCAAATTTCTGTCGCGGACTCAGCTGCCTTTAGGAGAGTAAGGATTTGAAGGGGTACAGAGAATGCTGTCAGTGTCTAAGGAGGAAACCCTGCCTCACCTATTTCAAATCTTGACTCTGGTTTTCTAAGCAAATTTATCTTAGGATACAAAGCACACATTAGAGCTTCCTTCTTGCCTTAATGCAATTAAATTTGCAGCCATTCTGCAGAAGAACTGAAGCTCTCAGGTGAAAAGAAGCCTTAAATCATGCCATGATATATGTCGGGGGAGGGAACATTTGGGTATAGGTATTTTCCTGAAGGAAGAGAAAGGGTTGAATGTATTGGCAGCTGAGCTGTCCCTTCAAGGGGATATTGTGAAACAAGCTCAATAAAAACCTCTCCCTCTGAAGCATGAAATGTTCCCAGAGGGGACAGGAGGATTCCTTTGGTGCTATGATGCAACCTCAGGTCATGTGCTCGCACATGCTGGAGCATTTTCCTGAGTAACCTGAGGAAAATGTGGCAACAGAGAAAAGCACTTGGAAAATACACGCAGGAGGCAGGTAGTGTTCACCTCCCTGGTTAAAGGAAAGGCACCCCCCACATGCTCACAGGAACTCTCCCTCCTGCCCCTCCTCTTCCCCTACCCCACTTCCACCCCAGGGGCCACCGGAAGCAGCAGCAGCAACCCCGGCTCCTCATCCCCTGCCGTGATGTCTGCAAGTGGCTCTGGCTAGAAGTGGTGCTGGTGAAGGGCTGTAGATGAGGGTCTCTTCTCCAGCCTCTTCACGTGGCAGGAGTGACAGAACAGGTGGTCCTCCAGCGGATAACAGCGGTGGCCATCTTCATCATTGAGCTCCAGACCACAGTCCTGTGGGGAGGCAGACATGTCCAGGGGAAGCAAAACAAAACAGACTGCAAGACTGACCTGAAGGCCACAGTCCCCAAAATCAGCAGAGGGTGCTGTGTGTTTCTGTATAGGCAGGAAATGCCAGTGCAGAAACACAGCTCCTGCCCCGTGGAGGCCTGTCCAACACAGGAGACACTGCCACAAGGCACTTGCTGTGAACCACTTAAAATGTGCTGTCAGTGTAAATGCAGATTCCGAAGACTTAGGACAAAAAGAGGATGTAAAAATATCTCATGGGAAAAAGGAATGAGATCATGTCCTTTGCAGGGACATGGATGAAGCTGGAAGCCATCATTCTCAGCAAACTAACAAAGGAACAGAAAACTAAACACCACATGTTCTCACTCATAAGTGGGAGTTGAACAATGAGAACACATGGACACAGGGAGGGGAACAACACACACCAGGGCCTGTTGGGAGGTGGGGGTGAGGGGAGGGAACTTAGAGGATGGGACAATAGGTGCAGCAAACCACCCTGGCACACGTACAACATATATCTATGTAATAAATCTTCACACGTATCCCTTTTTTTTTTTTAGAAGAAATAAAATAAATTGTGGAGTTACAAAAAAAATCTCATGGGTAACTTTTTTATATTGATTACATGTTCAAAAGATAACATTTGGATTTTTTTTTCTTTTTTGAGACAGTCTCCCTCTGTTTTCTAGGCTGGAGTGCAGTGGTGCGATCTCAGCTCACTGCAACATCCACCTCCCCCGTTCAAGGAATTCTCCTGTCTCAGCCTCCCAAGTAGCTGGGATTATGCACGCGCCAACACATCTGGCTAATTTTTGTATTTTTAGTAGAGACAGGGTTTCACCATGTTGGCCAGGCTGGTCTTGAACTCCTGACCTCAAGTGATCTGCCCTCCCAAAGTGCTGGGATTACAGGCATGAGCCACCACGCCCAGCAGGATTTTTTACTTTTTTAAGACAGGGTCTTGCTGTGTCACCCAGAGTAGAGTGCAGTGACACGATCCTAGCTTCCTAAGTAGCTGAGACTATAGGCACAGCATGCCTGGCTAATTTTTGTATTTTTAGTAGAGACAGGGTCTCACTGTGTTGTCCATGCTGTTCTCAAACTCCTGGGCTCATGTGATCCCCCTGCCTCGGCCTTCCAAAGTGCTAAGATTACAGGCATGGGCCCATGCCTGGCTGGATATTTTGAACCGAATAAAATAATTAATCTCACCGGTTTCTTTTAACGTTTTAATTGTGACTACCAGAAAACTTAAAATGATACATGACTTTAATTTGTGGCTCTCATAATTCTTTAACGTTTTAATTGTGACTACCAGAAAACTTAAAATGATACATGACTTTAATTTGTGGCTCTCATAGTTCTTTCTTTTTTTGAGACGGAGTCTTGCTCTGTTGCCCAGGCTGGAGTGCAGTAGCATGATCTCAGGTCACTGCAACCTCCACTTCCCAGGTTCAAGCAATTCTCCTGTCTCAGCTTCCCGAGTAGCTGGGACTACAGGCGTGTGCCACCACGCCCACTAATCTTTGTATTTTTAGTAGAGATGGGTTTTTGCCATGTTGGCCAGGCTGGTCTCGAACTCCTGACCTCAAGTAATCTGCCGGCCTTGGCCTCCCAAAGTGCTGAGATTACAGGCGTGAGCTATCGCGCCCGGCCCCTTATATTTCTTTTGGATAGCACTGGTCTAGAAAATGTGGAGAGGCCTGTTGAGCAAATGTCCTCACCTTTTTCTCCTGCAGTGACCTGGGGCACCTGGGGTCCCAGCAGCAATGATTCCCACCCATTTCTTCAGTGTTGGCAGTGGGACAAGTCTATATGAGGGACACCCCCATTCTCTACCCACAGGGTCACCAAATGAATCTAATCTCCTTCCATGGGTGAATTCACTTAATTGTGGCTGAAATTCCATGGTCACCCTTCACAAGGGTTGGTGAGGGGCAACCTCTAGCTTTCCTGACAGTCATCAGGTACTAGTGCTCCTTCATCTTGGGTTGGGACAAAGGGCAGGAAGGGGCAGGCGGACCCCACCCGCCTTCACACCACCAGCTGACATGCCTGTTTCCAAGAGGGGCTTCATGATTTCCAGGGCTCAGCTGAGAAAGGAGCTTCAGGCAGATAGAACAGCCTGCAAGCTGGAGGGGAGGGAGTCCCTTCCCCAAATCGCACACCTGCCTGACAATGTGGCCCGCAGATAGGACCTGAAACCCATGCTCTCCACGACCCTCCTAGCTCTGCAGCTTCAGGGAGAGCAGCTCCAACAGTTGCAGGACTTGATAGTTCTGAATATGCAGAAGAAAGACCTTTATACCTTGAGCATTTCCATCTTCTCCTACCTCCCCCAAGAACCAGCCTTCATTCCATTTCCTACAGAAGCTCTAGAGGGCTGACCCTTGCCAGAATCTTGTTGACTGCCTCTTGCCCCAGTCAACGCAGGATGCTTTTCTCTTGGATGTCTACAATGGGCTTTGGGGGCTGGGTGGGGAGGGGTCTACCTCGCAGTGGTAACACTCCACGTGGTAGTCTCTGTCCATGGACACGACACGGATGGTCTCATCTGAGCCCTGGGACCAGAGAAAAGCAAGAACACATAGGAGAGGCCTGTTAGGGGGGCTGTCGGGCTTGATGTACCGTGGGGTGGGGAGGGAAGAGGGTTTTGGGGGTAACAAGTAGGTGGCCTTGGGAGGAGAAGGTAAATCAGGAGTACTTACTGGAAGAAGAATACATTTAAGCTGATGAGAGGGGAAGTAGGAGGGATAGGAGTCCTTCCTTCTAGAATGTCAGAGTTAACACTGAAAGAAAGACCTACATGGACACTTATTTTAAAAAATGAAGAAAAGACAAGCCTTTCTCCTCATCTGCTAATCTAAGAATTAGTATCAAGTAAGGGAGTTTGACCTGGTTATGGGGACAAATCAGCACAAGAAGGGTACTGGGTTGGGGAAGCCAGTCAACAAGGAAGGGTGAAGACACGACTTATCTCAAAGGTGAAGTGGGGTTTTTTTTGGTTTTTTTTTTTTGGAGACAAGGTCTTGCTGTCACCTGCTGGAATGCAGTAGCACCATCATAGCTCGCTGCAGCCTCAAACTCTTGGGCTCAAGCAGCTAGGACTACAGGCACATGCCACCACACTTGGCCAATTTTTAACAATTTTTTGTAGAGATGAGGTCTTGCTATGTTGCCCAGGCTGTTCTTAAACTCCAGGCCTCAAGCAATTTTCCTGCCTGGGCCTCCTAAAAGGGGTGGGATTACAGGCGTGAGCCACTGCACCAGGCCAGAGTTGAGATTTTTAAAAGGATACCTTAAAAGCTGTAAGGACAGGACATGGATCTTGTAAATGAGCCCAGGGAGATATTCATGTCTTAGAAGCCCCTGGGAGCATGTCTGGAAGGGCATCTTACCTCAGGTGGAAGGATGGGAAGCCCACAGGCTGCACACTTGGGGGCCAGCACCCTGTGGGGAGAAACAAAGCAGCAATAAATGTTGCTTCTGGGAGCAAATTCCAGAGTCAGACTTGCACTTGGAATCCACATGGAGCCTTCCTCCATGCCGCCTCCTGCCCCTTGCTCTCCTCCCTCATAGAATGACTGGTACCTGGCTCACTTTGTGGAATATGCCTTAGTATTTGCTCCCCAGCTGCAATGAGGACACTGGCTGCCTCTCACTCTTCTGGGGACAGCACTAACTGATTTGTTTACACCTCTCATGGTGCCTAGCACAGGCCCAGGCAAACCAAGAGTGGTAGGAACCAGCACTGCATAGGGGCCTTGTGAAGTTAGGTAACGCTGAAGCCACAGGGCTTGGTGGATTCCTCCCGAGGCCTAGCTACAAATATGATTATTAGTTTTTCTGTGCTCTGTTGTTTTTTTTTTTTCACTAAACATGATTCTTTAACCCATTCCTGTCAACACTGGCATCGACCAACCTCCCAAGGTCCCTGCTGTACCCCTCAAAACCATTAAGCCTTTGCTGGACTGTGATCTAAGGGCGGCTGGCAAACACAGTTTTGTCGGTTTCCACCACTCACTCTGCTGAGATCAGCTTGGCCTACACGAATGGGTCCTGTCTGCTCCCATCCCTTCTTACTTGTGGTAATCTCGGACACAGTAGATCTTGTTCTCTGAGTCCACGGTGAAGGGCACCCCATCCAAACACTCATTACAGATGACACAGCGGAAACAGCCGGGGTGGTAGGACTTCCCCAGGGCTTGCAGGATCTGGAGCAGAGACCAAGACTCAGTGGGGATTATAGGGAAGGATGAGATGGTGGAAGGGGAGAGGAACACATCAGGCCTAAGGATTACATGAGCAGTCACACACAGAGTACACTTACCCCCGAGTTTCACCTAGGAGAAGAGCAAGAGGTGATGGGGTGGGAAAGGCAAATCTGTTTAGATGAATACACAGAAGAGACCACACAGGAATCCTTCTCCTGCAGCCTCTCACAGGGTCTCTGAGCTGGCAGGGAAAGAGGGCTCCTTTCCAACCCTCACCCAGAACAGGAAACTCTTGCATAGTTCTTTAAGAGAAAGAGATGGTAAGGAAGGGATGGGCCAATCCCAGGGCCAAAATCCACCACGAAGAAGTGGGAAACGATGCAAAGCAGGGCCACAGAAGGATACATCCTTCCCAGATTTGGGAAGCAGCAAGTACTCGGAAAAATGAAAAGAAATTCCATGTGGAAATGGCAGAGCTCAAAAGGAACCCCTTCACTTCTGCCTCTTGGATGCCCCTTCTATGCAGCTTTGACTCTGGAGCATGATAATCTAGAAGTTCTGACTCAACCCAATGACCTCAAATCCAAGTGTAATAAGTAAAGTTTCTCTGTTGTTGTTTTTAAACGCAATAGAGGGAAAGCCCCACAAACTTCTTCCTCTCAGTGTCATTTAATCTGGATCTGGATGGGATACCTGGAACTGCCAGAGCCAACCTGAAACCAGGACAGACCCAAGACATGGACAGCAGGAAAGAGAAGAGATGGAAAGAACATCCTTGGTGAGGTCCGTAAGTAACTGAATTAACTCATCATGGAACCACATACCTCCAAGCCTCTTTTTAGGTGAGATAAAATATCATTCCTATGAAGTCAGTGGTCCTCGAAATGTGTGTGGCCCCAGACCTTCAGCATTAGCATCACCTGCAAACTTGTTAATAATGCACATTCTTGGACCCCATCCCAGATTTCTTGAATCAGAAACTCTGGGGGTAAGGCCCAGCAGTTGGTATTTTAATAGGGTGATTCTGATATATATTAAAGTTGGAGGATCATTGGTTTAACTCGAACTGAGTCTGGGTTTTTTCTATAATTTGCAGTTGAAAGCATCTTCACTGACTTAATAGGAGATTCATTTCTGCAATTACCTGCATCATGAAACTTAGCAAAAACAACTGAACTACAGAATCAACATGAGCAAGGTCACACCAAAACATGCATCTGCAAAGAATGTACAGAACGGTCATCAGCATCCAGCAGTGGGAGCCCACACAGAAAGCCTTCAAACAGGCTGAAGAAAGGGGATTTTGGATTTGGGGAAGCCTTGTCAGTACACTGTGAGACCCAGGGGTAAAGATATGCTGTGTTACAGCTCCTTCCCCTGGAAGCCTCAGGCGGATAACTCCACACTGCACAAGCTCCAGCCAAGAAGGCAAGAGGAGGGCGTTGTGCTATTCCAGCTTTCCTCTGAATGCTCAGCTTTCAAGCTTCCTCATTCCCTCTTGGGTTTCCCTAACCTTTGAGGGCCCTCTCAATCTGCAGTAAGGCAAAACAGGAAGAACAACTGGCTGGGCTTCCAAAACCCATTTGGCAATTTGGACCTTGGAATGCATTTTCCCCAAGATGAATGCTGTCTTGGCAGAAAGAGATCCTTAAATTAATTTAATCCACATTGTGCCTAAAGTAAGATTAGAAAAAGATGCCATTTTGCTGCATTGTGACTAGCTGTAATACTTTTTTTATGTGAGACTATGCCTGGTTCTAACCTGCAAGCCCAGAATGTACCCCTCTATTAACAAAAGGGTATATAGAGAGACAATTTACACAAAGAGTTAGACAGCTGGGGTTCTGTCTAGACATTCACTAAAAGTTTTCAAGTCCTAGGGAAGACCTGAAAGACTGAAGCTTCAACTTCATACTATCCCATATGGTAGAGATCTCACATCAAGAGATGGGGACTATTTCCCCCTCCCCTTGAATCAGAACTGGCTTTGTGACTTTCTTTAATTAACAGAAAGCAGAAGAAACAATGTTCTGAGATTTCTGAGTCAAAGGCTTAAGAAGACTGGTAGCTTCCACTTCCTATCTCTTGCTGTAAGGAAGTCTGAACTAGACTACTGAATGATTAGAGGCTACAGGGAGAGGGGCCTGGAGGGTGAGAGGTCATCTTGGATGTTCCAGTTCAACTGTGCTACCAGCTGAACAAAGTTAAGTAGGAGACCCCAGCCAATGCCACACAGAGCAGAAGAATTGGCCTGCTAAACCCTGACCTAAATCCTGACCCACAGCATGAAGCATGATGATAAATAAGAAATCACTATTGTTTTAAACTACAAAGTTTTAGGGTGGTTTGTCATGCAGCAATAGATAAATGACATACCCTGAGGTTATCCAAAGAAGTCTTAGGATTACTAGAACTAAGAATAGGGTATAATCATACTCATAAATTCAGAGCATGTTGACTTCATATGAAGTAGGTTTGTCAGAAGGACACTAAAAACAAAGGCAAATTCTGCTAAAGAAATAGAGCCCTACAGAGTCTAGAAGATACCTGGGAAGGAGAGGTAAGCATATGTAGCTTCTGCCTACCTCCCACTGCGAGCATGGGGGAAGGGCCACGTTTCCCAGGGAGGTCTTGGCTACTAATGAGGACATGGCTCTAATAGGGCTAAGACCTCTGCTGAGGTCTGTCAAAGCCTGGGAGATAGCAGATATTCATCACGAATGGGGAGGGCTGTGGGTCACTGATGTTTTATAAATATTAGCATATAACCAGCAGAAATGAGTGTTTATGTCCATCAAAGACATGTTCAAGAGTATTCACAGCAGCTTCATGCATAAATAGCAAAAAACTAGAAACCACCAAATCCCCATCAACATGAGATGGAGAAATAAATTGTGCTATATCCATACAATGGAATTCCACTTAGCAATACAAATCAATAAACTACCAATACAGGTAACAGCATGGATGAAGCTCAAAAACATATGTAATAAGACCTGAAAGAGTCTATACTATATGTTTCTATTTATATGAAGTTCCAAAACCAGCAAAATGAATTTCTGGCAATAGAAGTTGGAATAATGGTTGCCTTTGTGGGAGTGGGGTCTTGAGTGGGAATAGACAAGAAGGAACTTTCTGGAGTTTGGGAAGTGTTCTATATCTTGATCTGGGTGGTGGTTACAGGGGTATATGCACATGTGAAAACTCGTTCAGATGTACACTTAAGATTAGTATCTTTTACTCTATGAGTTATTTCTCAATAAAAAGGTAAAATTAAAAATACTAATAATTAGAAATTATCTTCTCTAGAATGAAATTAATGAGTCAGCTTAGAGAGGGACTTAACTGTTTCCAACTTAAAGTATGTTATATAATCATTTCCTCTGATCAGTATATTAAAGAACTTCTTAAAGGCTGGTTTCCAATGGTGAACAATTTGATGTTGTATTCATTAACCTCATAACCTAACCCTCTAGGGAAAAATTGTCCCCACTGAAGACCTGAAGCCCAAAATAACCTCAGAGAGCCAGTGACTGAGCAAAGAATGGAATGTATAAAACCTGGTCCTTGCTCTGCTGTCTCAGAACTAAATGACAGGCCCTAAAAACTCATCTTCGTAATGGTGTGAGCTGGGCATAACACAGGGAGAAAAACAACTTTGCTCCTCTGGCTTTCTGCATTTGACTCCAAGGTAGCTGAGATTTCTGCAGTAAAAACAGACTGTATTTAGCATCTCACCTGGGATGCCACAAGGATCACAGAGAAGCCAGAGGGAGGCCAGTGCGATTCAAACAGCCCAGAGGAGGAGAAAGCATTATCGGAAACATGATAGCGTGTGCTCTAGATGGTTAAAGATGTTAATTCCAATAAAAGCCAACAATGTGGGTTCTATTAGAACAAGCAAGCTGTACTTTACAGGGACTTTTTTTTTTTTTTTGAGGTGGAGTCTCACTCTGTTGCCCAGGCTGGAGTGCAGTGGCGTGATCTTGGCTCACTGCAAACTCCGCCTCCAGGGTTCAAACAATTCTCCTGCCTTGGCCTCTCAAGTAGCTGGGACTACAGGCATGCACCACCACGCCCGGAAAATTTTTGTATTTTTAGTAGAGACAAGGTTTCACCATATTGGCCAGGCTGGTTGGTCTCAAACTCCTGACCTCGTGATCCGCCCGCCTCGGCCTCCCAAAGTGCTGGGATTACAGGCATGAGCCACTGCGCCCAGCTGTAACCACAAATCAAGATAAGAAACACTGTCCTCAATTATTAATTTCTTTTTTCTCTGAACACCTCCTCCTCCACCTGAGATGCTGTTCTCTTCTTTGGCTGACCTACTCACCATGTCCATGATCAGATGTCCACAAAGAAAACACCTGTCAGCCGACTGCTGGAAACCAGAGTACTGCAGAAGAAAAAGAAAAGAAAGTTAAACCCAGACTGGTAAGATGAATCAGCCACTTCCCCAACAGCCAAGAGGATTATAAGGAATTTCTCAGAAAGATGTGTCACTCTGTGCAGAATTCTGTCATCCCCAAGTACAACACAGCTGTGGGCTGAGTCATAGAATATTCTCTGCCACGAAAGCCATCACAAATACTAGTACCACTCACTCTAACAATGACTGTGTCTGGGCACCCACAGCATGCCAGGCTCTATGTAAGGGACTGTATATAGAGATGCTTTAATCCCATCTCAGTGGTTCTCAAAGAGCAGTTCCCTGGCATCACTTGAAAGCTTGTAAAAAATGCAAATCCTTGGGCTCCACTCCAGACCTACTGATTTGGAAACTCAGGGGGTGGGTTCTGGCAATCTGTGTTTTCACAAGCCTTTCAGGGGATTCTGAAACCATCACTCTAATGCTTACAACAATTCTGCAAGGTCTACATTATTACCCAGAATCCTCAAATAGAAGCAGAGGGCAGCTCAGAGAGGTTAAGTGAACTTTTCAAGGTCACACAGCCAACAAAGGGTAAGGACAGAAATCAAATTCAACTCCGGTTCTGGTTAAAAAGCTAATGCCTTTTATAGTTAGCTTCAAAGAAACTTAATAAATATCTACTTTACCTTACCTTATCTTACCTAAACACATACACACACACAGTCTTGAAAGACATGAGGTGCTCTCTTCAAAAAACATACTAGATGCTACACGCTAGACTAGAAGTTTGGGTATTACAAACACAACTTAACTGGGGGAAACCTTATGAAAGGAAGCTGGGAAAAACAAAAAAGGGAAACTTTCTGCAACTCTACACCATGTGGTGGAGGTTTCTGTTGTCTGGCACCTACGCCCCATTCTGGGGGTAATAGCTCTCTATTTTCATTTGAGATCCAGCCCCCAGCTCCACACCACGTGGCTCCCATCACCATGTGGGCTGGCTCCATGCCAGGGCCCAGGCAGGGCATTGACAGATCTGGCCCATCAGAGCCTTGCATTCCTCCAGCACTGTTACTTTTTCCAGGCGTGGGCATGTGGCCCAGTAAGAGCCAATGAGACTCCATCAGACGTCTGTGGAGGATTCCGAAGGAGGGACTGGCACTCTTGCCCATCGGATGTGAAACTGAGAGAATGTAAACTCTGGGGTCCTCCCAACATCTGGCCATCACATAGGACCTGAGACTGAAGCTAACACTGAGATACACGGCCAAAAACTGTGGAGAAAATGACTCCTGAGGCACTGCTGGAATAATTTCCTTTTTACTTAAGCCCGTTTGGGTTTGCTAGTCTGTTTCTGGCCAACAGGAATCATAATGAATCAACTTTTCAGTGAAAACCAAATAGAGCTTTTCTCAAGGGAAGGCAGGGAGAAGCTGGCCCTGAGCCCATCTCTGCATCTCACATTCCTCATCCCTGAGATGACAGAGTCATTTCAACCACCAACTACCAAGCACCCAGTCTGCATGGCATCTTGTTAGAATCTGCAGGTGTGAAGGTGAAGACGCATGTTCTTTCTATCCTGGAAGCTTTCAGTCAATGGAGGAGAGACTTGTAAGCAGACATACTGCTCAGGGCTAACAGCCCACAGCCCTGCCAGGGCAGGCCCTGGGCATGGTGGCAGCACAGAAGAGCTCCTCCATTGTGGGTGCAGGAGGGACAGGAAGGCTGTTGGGGGGATCTGGGAAAATAAAGGGGCAAGACATTGCAAGCAGGGGAAATGGCCCAAGCAAAGGCACGAAGGCATGAGGTTGCATAGGTGTGGGCAGCTGGGGATTCCAGACCTCGGAGAGCTTCTGAGTGTGCTTTGTACCCTGCACATGCTGGGACCAAGCAGGCCAGGTTTATGCCCTATAAGGCCTCTTGATGCGGGTGTGCGGAGGCCGTTAAGCTAGCCTGGCTGAGCCATGCCGGAGGTATGAACGGAGGCAGAATTGTGGAAGACATGGCAGCACAGAGTTCAACGCCTGGCTGCGTTCAAGGAGGTGGGGTTGAGGACAAACCTAGGAGGCAATTCTCACAGATCAGGACCCAAGGCAAGGTAAGATTTTTCTGCTTCACAGAAATATGGTGAGGGGCTGGTACGTGAGGGGTTGGGACACAGCCCAGGGGCCAGTGGGATGCCAGCAGCTGGCCTCAGAGGTGCGGCAGGGCTAGAGCTCAGGTCTGGGAGCCACTGGCACATGGATGGACTTCCAGTCCATGGGAGAAGCTAGATCCCCAGAGAGAGTGGGATGAGAAGAAGAGAGCCCAGGTCCCAGTCCAGTGGTCTAAGAGGAGGAGTCCAGGGTGGTGGAAGAGGCAGAACTGCAGAAAGCAGCAAGAGGATAGCCAAGTGACCCCACAGTTCCTTCAAAGTACAAAGCTGTGTGGTTTGCCATTGGCCTCAGGAACATGGCCACCCCCAAGTATCTACAGAAGGAAAGGCAGGGCCCCTCTCTCCAGCAGTGCAGCTTCCCTACACGCTGGCCCAGGTCCCCCCAGGCCCCTGCCCTCTGACTCTGGCCAGGACATGCAAGGGGAGGCTTCGGTGACACACTCACCAGGAAGTCTTCTTCACAAAACACTTTGCCGTTGACAAAATAAAAGGCTTTTCCTCTCAGCTTCCGGCCTAAGGAAAAAATCACAAACACAGGGTAAAAAAAGAAAAATTTTAATATGCAGTGGAAAAAGTGAAAAGTGAAAAGCAAAATCTTTAGGCAGAAATAAACACGTAAAAACCGCCAACTGTCAATGACACTTTCCAGTTCCTAAAAGATGCCGTGGCCCTCGGCGAGAGGCAGGCAGGCTGAGGCCGGGAGGAAGGGTGCCCTGGCAGGTGCTATTTGGCAAAAAGACTCAAGGGCTGACTTGGAAGTCATCCTACGCTCACCTTCCAGCACCTCCTATCTGCTTGGAAAGATGCCAGCAAAGCATTTGGTGGCAGGACAGCAGAGGCAACACAAGGGGGCATCCAAGCAACAGTCTCTTGTGAAGATGCAGTTTCCCACAGGCATTTATGACAGTCACCTTGGACATATGCTCCAGGACCATTGTGACCGCCTATCAGGAGAGTCCTATACATTGGTTAACTATTATTTTCCTATCTTTTTCTCACCTAAACTGTAGAAAACACACATTGTTGGAAGGATATTTTTGTTTCTCTTGACCTAAAACGAGTAGGCGGGAGTGGGAAAAGTTCAAAGCACCCTGATTCCTTGGATGGAACTCTTGCTTCCATAAGGCTAACACAGGTAAACATCCTTTATCAGTCCCTCTCATCTCTTATGGAAAACACAATGGGGCTGTGAGCTCAAGGTCAGCAGAGGGTGTCCCGGGATCCCCTACTTGGCAGTATTCACAGATCTGAGGGCATTTCCAGTGCTAGGCTCAACACATACTCAACAGGCAATGTGGGGGTTTCAGAAACTGAATGAACTCTCTGCAAAAAGTTAAACCAAGCCCTTTGGGGCCAGCCCACAAAATGAAAGTAAAATCATCATTGTCACAAACAGTGCCCGAGATACAGAGAAACCCGCCAGACGAACACTGGCTGCCCTCGCCTGGTGACGCCCACAGGAGGCAAAGCAGCGCAAGGCAGATAGCGACAAGACTGTCAAAGAACATTCCTCAGACCTCAGAGAGGACCCTGAAAGCATCAACGCAGCGGAAAAGGCATAAAAAAGGAAGTAACTTTAACTACAAATCCATCTTCTTTGCTGTGGTGGTCGTTGCTACCAGATCTAGTGTTGTCTGAATGTTTCCCCCAGCCCTCCTGTAGGTTCCTGTAGGACTTTTTAATACTCTGAGTATATGCTACATTCCTTGAAGATATAGCTAAGTCAGCTTCATACTTGGAGGGGAAGCTTTGGCAATACTCTAACAGAGTGCAGTACATGTTGAGTTAAAGAAAAAAGGAAGAGTAAGCCATGGATCAGAAGATGGCCAAAGCACATATAAAATGCTATTAGTATCTGGCCGGGCACAGTTGTTCACGTCTGTAGTCCCAGCATTTTGGGAGGCTGACACGGGAGGATCACTTGAGGTCAGGAGTTTGGGACCAGCCTGGCCAACATGGTGAAACTTTGTCTCTACAAAAGGTACAAAAATTGGCCGGGCACAGTGGCTCAAGCCTGTAGTGCCAGCACTTTGGGAGGCTGAGGCAGGTGGATCACCTGAGGTCAGGAGTTCGAGATCAGCCTGGCCAATATGGTGAAACCCCATCTCTACTAAAAATACAAAAAAGAGCTGGGCATGGTGGCATGCACCTGTAACCCCAGCTACTTGGGAGACTGAGGCAGGAGAATCGCCTGCACCTAGGAGGCGGAGGTTGCAGTGAGCCGAGATCATGCCACTGCACTCCAGCCTGGGTGACAGAGGGAGACTCTGTCTCAAAAAAAAAAAAAAAAAAAATTAGCCAGGCATGGTGCCACGCACTACTTGGGAGTCTGAGGCAGAAGAATCACTTGAACCCAGGAGGTGGAGATTGCAGTGAGTCAAGACTGGGCAACAGAGCAAGACTCTGTCTCAAAAATAAATAAATAAAATAAATTAAAATAGTATTAGTACCTAAGACACAAAGAACACCAATTAATAAGAAAAAGATAAATAATCCAATGGGGAAATGAGCAAAGGGCAGGAAGAGAAAGTGCATAGAATAGAAAACCTGTTATACCTTAGGAATAACCAGGATTATTAATCATAACCCCAATATCTATAATAAAAAGATGTTCTATCCTATCAACAATCAGGATAATGCAAACTAAAACCACAATGAGATTCTATCTCACTTTCATAGATTGGCAAAAATTACTAAATCTAATAGCATGTCTTGGAAGGTGTGGGACAAGAGGAGCCCTTTCACACTGGTGGGAGTATCATCAACTGGGATGACTACTTGGGAACAATTTGTCAAGGGCCAATAGATCTGAAAATACACATAATCCACAACACACTTCTAAGGTTGCCCCTTGAGAAGATTACCCAAACATGCATGAGGACAGACATGTATGGATGTTCACGGCAACGTTGTTATGGAAAAACTAGAAGCGTCTTCAGTGTTCACTAGATATGAGAATTGATAAATAGACGAAGAAACTGGAGCTGTATTTACTGGATGTAATACCAGACAGCAGTCAAAATGAAAGGGCTAGATCTATGCATATCATTATTAATTGAACTGAACACCAGTGCAAATAAGGCAAAATGCCTGAAGATATACCAATGATCGTATATGTGTAAGTTTGAGAGTGCGCACACACACATACACAAACTAGTACTGTTTTGTTTTTTTTTTTTGAGACGGAGTCTCGCTGTGTCGCCCAGGCTGGAGTGCAGTGGCACGATCTTGGTTCACTGCAGCCTCTGCCTCCCAGGTTCAAGTGATTCTCCTGCCTCAGCCTCCCAAGCAACTGGGATTACAGGCACTCACCACCATACCCGGCTAATTTTTGTATTTTTAGTAGAGATGGTGGCCAGGCTGGTCTCGAACTCCTGACCTCAGGTGATCCACCCACCTCGGCCTCCCAAAGTGCTGGGATTACAGGTGTGAGCCACCATGCCCGGCCACAAACTAGTACTGTAAACTAGTACTGTATGTTTTTTATTGACAATAGTATATATGGTAACAGTAGGAAAATTTCAATTCATAATGGCAGCTGCCCTAGGGAAGGAAGGGAGAGGATGGGAAAAGGAATCAAGATGATTCCAATTTTTATATAATATTTTATTTCCTTTATAAAAATACAGAATCAAAGCTACAATGTAAAAATGTCTGTGCATTCTGGGTGATAGGTAAATAAGGATTATTTCCTATAGTACTTTCCAGTAGGTTTTAAAATACACACACAATTTTTATATATTTAATTTCCTTTATAAAAAATATCAAACCAAAACTATAATGTAAAAATGTCTGTGCATTCTGGGTGACAGGTAAATAAGGATTATTTCCCATAGTACCTTCCAGTAGGTTTTACACGCGCACACACACACACACACACACACACTTAGGTGAAACACCGTAAACGAAAAGGCAATAACAAACTAGAGCAAACATCTATACTGTATGACAGAAAAGGATGTAACTCTAATATGAAAATAACTCAAGTAACAGTCCTATATAAAAAATGGGTAAAGAATAGGCAGACAAACCACAAAATAAGTATGAATGATCAATAACTATAAAATAAAATCTTTAGCTTTCCTCATGATTTAAAAAATATTGCTGCCAGGCACAGTGGCTCACACCTGTAATTCCAACACTTTGGGAGGCCAAGGTGGGAGGATCACTTGAACCCAGGAGCTCAAGACCAGCCTAGGCAACACAGCAAGATCCCATCTCTACAAATAATAAAAAAGTTAGCTAGGTGTAGTGGGGCACGCCTGTAGTCCCAGCTACTTAGGAGGCTGAGCTAGGAGGATCACTTGTGCCTAGAGGTTGAGACTGCAGTGAGCTGAGATCACGTCTGTGCACGCCAGCCTGGGCAATAGAGTGAGACTCTGTCTCTCCAAAAACAAACAACAACAAAAAACCCTATGCTTTACCTATCAGACTAGCAAAGCTTAAAAAGAATGATAACCCCAGTGTTAGTAATGACACAGACAAACAGATACTTGTTCACACTCTGCAAGGGATAGCAGAAGCTAAAACAAGCTCTTAGGAGAGAAATTTGTATTAAATGTCAGTAGAATTTACAAAGTTCAGATATTTTCTCCCCAAAAATTCTATTTCAGGAATTTATCCTAGTTCCAGAAATCGTCATCTCAGATTTATAATAGCTTGCTAAAAATGAGCATCAAATGTCCAATTCCTATTAAATGATAACCCATATACATGTTGGAATATTATGCAGCCATAAAAAGATTGTGTTTTCAAAAAAATATTTATTGACAGGGAAAAATACTTAAAATATTTTAAAGGAAGTATATAAGTATGTGGGTTACAGTTATGAACACACTCACATATATGATGACAAAATTATGTGTACACTCATACACATAAGATGTACACCAAATTTTAAGTCATTATCTTTGAGTGTAAGAAATAGGTGATTTTCAATTACCATTTTTTCCTGCAATAATTATGCATTATTTTTATAACCTGAAACAAAGTTTAATGGAGTAGGGGAATGTGGGTGGGGGTGCATGGAAGGGATAATAGGACTTACATAGAAGGCCACAACTCTTTAGGTCTCCAAAGCTGCTCTCTTGTCCTCCCCTCAAAGTTACTGTTGCCCTCTCTTCTAGAAGGTCCCCATCCTTGAACGTTCGCAGTATTTTCTGACTCTGCTAAACTAAGGTACCAAGAATGTCTACCTACAGCTGGGTGATCTCAGGGATCATCATCAGAACCCCCTTGACAGCCATGGAAATTAATTTCAGTTACTTAAACTTTCTCTCTATAAAGGGACTCCAGAGAACTCGAAGTTTTAGAAAAGAAAATGAGAACTAACTAGAGTATCTTTCCCATACTTTTCCCACGTCGGACACCTACCTGGGTGACAGCTGATCTGCTGCCCTCTGTCCCTCCCCAGGAACAAGGTGACGAGGAACACAAACAGCCCACCTGGCCGGGCGCGGTGGCTCACGCCTGTGATCCCAGCACTCTGGGAGGCTGAGGCTGTTGGACCACTTGAGATCACGAGTTCGAGACCAGCCTGGCCAACATGGCGAAACCTCATCTCCACTAAAAATACAAAAATTAGCTTGGCATGGTGGCACGCGCCTATAATCCTAGCTACTTGGGAGGCCGCGGTAGGAGAATCGCTTGAACCTGGGAGGCGGAGGCTGCAGGAAGCTAAGATCGCGCCATTGCACTCTAGCCTTTATGACAGAGAGAGACTCCGTCTCGGGAAAAAAAAAAAAAAAAAAAAAAAAAGACAGCCCACCTAAGAGAAGCTTGCTCAACCAGTAAGCAAAACTATTCACACACTGTCTGATCACAAAGTCCAAATCTTTACTTGTGGAGCTCCCCACTTTCGCCTCTTCCTTCTCGGAATTCCCGCAGGGTAAACTCATTCCTCAAGAGAGGAAAGAAGGTGGGGCTGCAGTTGCGGATGGGGCCCCTAGAGGGAGCTAGGAGGCCACCAGGAAACGGCGCAGGACTTCCAGAGCTTAGGCTTCTGATCCAATGTATGGAGAACACAGCAAACAGCACTTTGGTTCCAGGAATGGGGTTAGCAAGTTCTAAGGAATCTGAGCTGGAAATCAACGTTTTGTGTAATAGGGCGAAGATCACCTCTATTCCAAAAATCACAGAGGAAGATCATTGAACATGCAGAAGCACTGAACCCTCTAGTGTTAAGAAACAAATTAAACGAAAGCTTTTTCATCCAGGAGATCAACAAAGATTTTTTAAGTGTTTGTGATTGTTGTCACTGTATATTTTCATAAGCTACTGCTGAGAGTGTAAGATGATAAACTCTCCCTGGAAGGGAAACTTTAAAATGTTTATCTCTGACTCAGTGAGGTTATCTGAGACTTAGCTTTGGGAAAGAATTTTAAAAAGTGAATAAATATTTACTTAGATCCAAACTGGCAGCCTTAGAGGAATGGTTATATAAACCAGAGTACATATAAATGATGAAATGTTACATAGCTATTTAAAATGTCATTTAAATAGTGTTTTAGTCATATTGGAAAATGCTTATATATAGCATATATATATGTTTGGGGATAGCATATATATATGTTTGGGGTTTTTTTGAGATGGAGCCTGACTCTGTCACCCAGGCTGGAGTGCAGTGGTGCAATCTGCAGCCTCAGCCTCCCAGGCTCAAGGAATCCTCCCACCTCGGCCTCCTGAGTAGATAGGGCTACAGGTGTGCACCACCACAACTGCCTAATTTTTGTATTTTTTTGTAGAGACAGTGTTTCGCCATGTTGTCTAAGGCTAGTCAACAACTCCTGGGCTCAAGTGATCAGCCCATCTCAGGATTACAGGTGTGAACTACTGCACCCAGACTGAAAATATATTAACAAGTGAAAAAAGCAAACTTGACAAGTGTATTTATAGTACAATTCCATTTCAGTAATTTGCAGATACCACTGATATGCAAAAGGGAAAAAAACAAACAGTGGGTAACACTGGTAGAAGTATAACAGTGAAACATCACTTTCTACTTTATATACTTTAATATTTTAAATTTTCTTTCTAGTATTAGGTACAGTGACAGATGGTATTAGAGAGAAATTTCACTTTACTTCACATATTTCTATATTAAATTTTTCTAGAAATATGTATAATATGAAAAAATACTTTTAATCTTAAAAGAAAACCCTTATGTTATAATGTGAAAAGTAAAAAGCAAGATTTAAAAATTGTGCATCTCAACTATATAAAGAAATTCAAAGAAAAAAAGACTGGAAAGGAAATCTGCCCATGAGTGGCAACGCCTCTGAGTGGACATATTTAGAATCTGCATGGTGAGGCCAGGCACGGTGGCTCATGCCTGTAATCCTAGCACTTTGAGAGGCCAAGGCGGGCAGATCGCCTGAAGTCGGGAGTTCAAGACCAGTCTGACCAACATGGAAAAGCCCCCTCTCTACTAAAAATACAAAATTAGCCAGGCATGGTGGTGCATGCCTGTAGTCCCAGCTACTCAGGAGGCTGAGGCAGGAGAATCACTTGAACCCAAGGAGTGGAGATTGTGGTGAGCTGAGATCACACCATTGCACTCCAGCCTGCAATGAGCAACATGAGCAAAACTCAGTCTCAAAAAAAAAAAAAAAAAAAAAAAAAAAAAAAAGAATCTGCATGGTGGAGGGGATGGTTTATTTCCTAGTTGGTTGCTTCTATATACTTTCCTACACTTTCCCAAAGATTTACCAATGAGCAGGTATTGCTCTGATCATTTAAAAAATTGCCCAGCTGGCTAGATAAGTCCTCTTGCTGCCAGTTCCCACAGCTGAGAATTCCCATGTCCGGACACAGGAGGCCAGTACAGGGGGTTGGGGGACTACGTCTGATTTTCCTTTATTCCAAATTTTAAAAAACTGAGACTCCCCCACTGACCTAAGAGGGTGGGGCTTAGTTTGCTCTGAAGAACTCACACTTCATTTTTCACTTCGGTTTTGAAAGACCACCTGAGGTTAGAAACTGGATAGTGTATCAAAATATATTTGTTTGTATTCTGAGTGGGAGAAAAGCCTAACATCTACTGATTGTCTTCTGTGGTCTAAGTACTATGTTTAGGGCTTTCACATATATTTTTAAATGCTTGAAAACTTTGCCACACAGGTTACTGCATCACTCCACCTTCTGACCCTGTACTGTCACATGCCTTTTACGGAAGAAACTCACAAAGTCATTTCCTACTCAAAGCCATCACCTACTCCAGGTTTCAGTGAGCGTAGAAAGGGTTCAGTAAAGAGTCGGGCAGAAATAAAACACATCACATGTCAATGTCATGGAGCAGTACAAGGATACAGGAATTGATTATTTTTGGGAATCACTTGAAATCACACCCAAGGATTACTCCTAACTTTCTGGAGTAAAAATATGATACTTATGAATTACACATTATCGTTTTCATTTCATAAGTAAGGAAATTGAGGCTTACCCAGGTAGTAAGTGGGCAGGATGGGAACCCAGATTTGTCTGACTGTGAAGACTGTGCTTGTTCCACTGCACCATGAGGCCATGCAGCAGTATTTAATGCTTGTTGGATGCACACCTATATGCAGAATCCAGTTTCTCTCTTCTGCCAGGAAATGGGACAGGCCTTTCTTTCTTTTTCCTTTTTTTTTTTTTTTTTTTTGAGACAGCGTCTTGCTCTGTTGCCCAGGCTGGAGTGCAGTGGTACAATCATAGCTCACTGCAGCCTCGAACTCCTGGTCTCAGCAATCCTCCCGCCTTGGCCTCCCAAAGCGTTGAGATTACAGGTGTGAGTTACCATATCTGGCCGGAAAAGGGAATTTTCATTCAAACACTTTCTAGGTACTGGGCCTTTTACTTGCCTCATGTCTCACTTAAGTGTCATGAACAGCTCCGTAAAAACTCCTTGTGATGACAGGCATTTAGATGTAACTTGATAGGTAACCTTCCACTTGGAGACAGGCTAAAGTTTGTATCTTTGGAGAAAGGGGGTTGCTGAGAGGAGGCTGAGGCCAGGTAGGAAACAGCAAGCAACCTGGTGCTGAGAAGCAGGGAGGCAGAAAAGGTATTCTCCAGGCTGAATCACCCCAGATTTGGCCAATGAAACAGACGCCAACTAACCTGAAAATTCCTGGAATCACTGCCACTGTCCTGAAAGTTCCAATCAAGAGCAGGATCCAGAATCCTCCTTATTGACATTTAAGCTAGAGCACCCAACCGCCACTAGGTGGTGCCAAACCACAGCCAGGACAAGGACAGGTTGAAGCAGCACAATTTACCCCAAGCCAGCCAGCCCTGGAGGCCTGCTTGAGTCATTTCATTAATCTTGCAATAATGTGCCCTGACGTTTGGGCAGTTGAAACTCACTTGTCGGCTGGGCGTGGTGGCTCACGCCTGTAATCTCAGCACTTTGGGAGGCCAAGGTGGGCGGATCATGAGGTCAGGAGACCAAGACCATCCTGGCCAACATGGTGAAACCCCGTCCCTACTAAAAATACAAAAACCAGCTGGGTGTGGTGGTGCGTGCCTGTAATCCCAGCTACTCAGGAAGCTGAGGCAGGAGAATCGCTTGAACCCGGGAGGCCGAGGTTGCAGTGAGCCGAGATTGCACCACTGCACTCCAGCCTGGCGACAGAGTGAGACTCCGTCTCAAAAAAAAAAAGAAAGAAAAAGAAAAAGGAAACTCACTTACTATATTACGGTTGAGTTACTGATGCTTTTTTTTTTTTTTCTGATGGAGAAACAAAAGCTAAAGAGGTTAAATTCACCTATGTAGCTAAAAGTTAAATAGAAAAGTTGAGATTCGAACCCAGGTCTCTCTTGTGCAAAGTCAACACTCTTTCCACCACACTATACTGTCTCTCTTGTTTTCTGTTCCAAAAGGAATATCTCTCAGACTAAGGGGAATGTCTTAGTCATTTTAGGCTGTTAGAACAAAATACCATAAAGTGAGTAGCTTAAACAATAGACATTTATTTCTCACAGCTCTGGAGGTTGGAAGTCCAACATCAGGGTGCTAGTAGGGTCAGGTTCTTGGTGAGGATCCAGTTCCTGATTTACAGATGGCTGTCTTCCTGCTGTTTTCTCACATGGTGGAAAGGGAACTAACTACATCTCTGAGCTCTTCTTATAAGGACACTAATCCCATTCAGGAAGTATCCACTCTCATAACTTAATCACCTCCCAAAGACTCCACCTCCAAATACCATCATGTTGGGATTAGAGATTCAACATAAGGATTTGTGAGGGGGCGGTATAAACGTTCAGTCCTTCCAGGGAAGTAGATGGATTTCCTGGCATTCCCAATTAAACTTCCTTCTGCTCCCTTGAAGAGGCAAATTTCACTGTCCTCACTGACTTGTTATGGCGGCTCATACGTAGAGACGTAACACTAGGGAGCTGCTGCGGCTTTGGCAGAGCTAATAAGGACAGAGGACAAAATGGAATAGCCGAGGGATAAACACCAAAAACTTAGGTGGTTCTCAAACCTTAGCATGCTTCAGAACCACCAGGTGAGTTTGTTGAAACACAGACTGCTGACTTAGTAAGTGTGGGAAGGGGCCCGAGACTCTGCATTTCTAGTTAAGTTCCCTAGTGATGCTGATGGTGCTAGTCCAGGGACCACACTTTGAGAACCACCAAGTCAGACTATGCCTCAGGCTTGTCTCTGAACTGGCACTTCCATTTGATGCTGTTCATCTTGGTCAAAAATGCTAAGACCTAAACCATCCCTGAATAATCAGCATCAAACATAAACTGGGGGTGGGAGTGTCAGTGTTACATCTTTATAATTCTAGTTTCAGAATCGTCCTGCTTCCAGTAAAGGAATTCCCTCCACTAGGAAATAGCTGATGATCGTCACACTAAATATATACTCAATAGACCATTTTTACAGTTTAGAAGACAGTAGTCAAAATGCTCTTTATTTTCTTTATTTACATCAGCCGTTTATAAAATATTGACTGATAGGCCGAGTGTGGTGTCTCATGCCTATAATCCCAGCACTTTGGGAGGCTGAGGTAGGCAGATCACTTGAGGTCAGGAGTTCGACACCAGCTTGGCCAACAGGGTGAAACCCCATCTCTACTAAAAATACAAAAATTAGCCAGGCCTGGTGGCGTGAGCCTGTAATCCCAGCTACTCAGGAGGCTGAGGCAGGAGAATCACTTGAACCCGGGTGGCAGAGGTTGCAGTGAGCTGAGATTGCACCATTGTACTCCAGCCTGGGTGACAGAGTGAGACTATGTCTTAAAAAAAAAAAAAAAAATTGACTGATAAATGTGCAGACTCACAGAGAATCCACTCCAAAAAGACACTTCCTGTAGATGTAGTGAATGAATTTTTTCTTTTTTCTTTTTTTTTTTTTTTTTTTTTTGAG
Organism: Homo sapiens; assembly: GCF_000001405.40. NCBI lineage: Eukaryota > Metazoa > Chordata > Mammalia > Primates > Hominidae > Homo > Homo sapiens. The sequence continues at coordinate 45,654,809 of NC_000003.12, read as the reverse complement.
ACAGGGTCTTACTCTGTCACCCAGGCTGGAGTGCAGTGGTGCAATCTCCTCCTGGGCTAGAGCAATCCTCCCACCTCAGCCTTGAGTAGCTGGGAACACACGTGGATGCCACCATGACTGGCTAATTTTTTGTGTGTATTTTTAGTAGAGACGGGGTTTCACCATGTTGCCCAGGCTGGTCTCAAACTCCGGGGTTCAAGCTATTCACCTGCCTCAGCCTCCCACAGTGCTGGGATTACAGGTGTGAGCCACCTGCAGGCCGTGAATGAGTATTTTATATTTGCCTTCAAGCCATCCTCAGTTTAAAAGAGAAAAATGCATCTGATAAAGCCGGTGTAGTTTAACAAAGGAAACAAGAGTTAAGGACATCACAAAGAGAGGTCAGCCATTTAATCTGACAAAACTAAAACGTGCAATAATACTCACCACTCTTCCTTCCCTATAAAATAGAAATAAGCTATAACCTATTCTGGAAACATAACTGGTCCTTGGCGGTAAGACTCCACCACAAATTTCAGTTCCAAAATATCTCCCTGAGAAGTAAAAATGCAAGGGTTTCCCAACAATGAGAAGAGTTTCCGAGAAAAGAAAGTAAAAATCAGTAGTCACTTGGATTGTTTTGATTGTACTGTCCCAGTTAGTGACTTCTACCTGTACTGTCCATGGTGGCTACTAGCCACATGTGGTTATTTATGTAAGTTTAAATCAATTAAGATAACATCAAAAATTTAGCGCCAGGGCTTGAACAAGTATATCTTGAGTACTTGATGGCCACTTGTGACTAGGGAAGCTTTAGAATATCTGCATCATCGCACAAAATTCTAACCAATCTACTTCTTCAAATAGCTTTTCTAGAATAGGTTCTTTTTTTTTTTTCTTTTTCTTTTTTTTTTTTTTTTTTTGAGACAGTCTTGCTCCGTCACTCAGGCTGGAGTGCAGTGGTGCAATCTTGGCTCACAGCAACCTCCGCCTTCTGGATTCAAGCCATCCTCCTGGCTCAGCCTCCTGAGTAGCTGGGACTACAGGCATGCACCATCACTCCCAGGTAATTTTTGTATTTTTAGTAGAGATGGGGTTTCACCATGTTGGCCAGGTTGGTCTTGAATTCCTGACCTCAGGTGATCTGGCTACCTCAGCCTCCCAAAGTGCTAGGATTAGAGGCATAGGCCACAACACCCAGCCCCAGAATAGGTTAACTCTTAAAAGATATTGCTAAAAACAAATCAATTTGGTTTGGCTCAAGTGAAGGAGAGATCCAGCCTCGATTTTGCAGGCTTGCCAAGCCTCAGTAAGCCAAGGAGCACAGCAGAAAGGGGCAAAGTGGAAAAGCACTCAGGCTTGGGGTCCAACCTTGCCTTTGCCCCTTCCCTGAAATGAGACCCTGGCTGTCACCCAAACCCTTCAGGTTCCCTGGTAAGGATAAAAGTGGGATCACAGTAGGGAACGCAGCCCAGTGCACCTCATACCAGGCATCTGGTGTGACTGTTGCCAGCATCCCTACCTGACCTTCCGTTTCCTCAAATGACACCCACCAGAGCTAAGAATCATAACCACCACCCTCTCTCCCTCCTCATCCAAATCCCCTACATCACTCCTTCCTTCTCAGTTTATCTGTGGCAAAGGGCTAGGTATGGGAGGCTTTTGTTTTTAATTTCCATCTGTCAGACTTATTATCTTGTAAAATACAATAATATAGAAAAATGAAACATAAAATCCAAGCCCCAACTGTAGTTATTATCCAATTCAACTGACACAAAGCCACTCTGTCAAACTCTTAGGAAGGTCTCTAAACGTTCTCATCTCTTTCTCGGCCTTTGCTGGTGCTGGCCAAGGACCATGTTCTGAGCACTGCTGCCTCACGCTCCAATTCTCTTCTCACGTGCCACTCCAAAGTCTTTGTCTTATAGTTAGTTTTCCATTTCCCCTATTCCAGGCTATTATCGTCTGGATCAGAGATGAGAATACTGCACACAGAGACAACCCAGAGATGTGCAGAGGGTCTCCGTTAAGTGTTCAGCAGAGCATGGATCAGCTCTTGCCTGTGAGGAAACTAACCAAAGTCAGAGGACAAACATCTGCAGGATTCGCAAGAACAGTGCCTGGCACCCACAAAAGCTGGAAACAGTGCCTATTCCCACCAGCCCTGAGAATGAGGAATAATAGAGCCCTAGACTGAGCTCTGCTTTGAATTCATCTAATAAATCATAAAAGCAAGACTAGAAAGAATCACTGTTCCTAAATAATTTAACAGCATCCCAGAACAATGCTCAGAAGATTGAAAGAATACAAAATATCCAAGACTCAAAAAGGTAAAGTTTACAATGTCTGGCAGCCAATCAAATATTCCCAGGCATGCAAAGAGGCAGGAAAGCACAACCCACAGGGAAGAGAATAATCAATCTATGGAAATCAACCCCGATCAGACACAGATATTAGAATTAGCAGAGAAGGACATTAAAAGCTATTGTTTCTATATTCAATATGTTGGAAATGTTAAGTAGCAACATGGAAAATATTTAAAAGGCTCAAACTGAGCTGCTAGAGATGAAAACCAAAATGTCTGAGATAAACAATACATTGGCTGGCCGGGCATGGTGGCTCTCACCTGTAATGCCAGCACTTAGGGAGGCCAAGGAAGGCGTATCACTTGAGGACAGGAGTTTGAGATCAGCCTGGCCAACATAGTAAAACTCCACCTCTACTAAAAATACAAAAATTAGCCAGGCATGGTGGCTCATGCCTGTAATCCCAGCTACTTAGGAGGCTGACCCGTGAGAATCGCTGGAACCTGGGAGGCGGAGGTTGCAGTGAGCCGAGATCACACCATTGCACTCCAGCCTGGGCAGCAGAGCAAGACTCTGTCTCAAAATAAATAACAGGCCGGGTGCGGTGGCTCACGCCTATAATCCTAGCACTTTGGGAGGCCGAGGCAGGTGGATCACCTGAGGTCAGGAGTTTGAGACCAGCCTGGCCAACGTGGCAAAACCCTGTCTCTACTAAAAATACAAAAATTAGCCAGGCATGTGGTGCATGCCTGTAATCCCAGCTACTTGGAAGGCTGAGGAAGGAGAATCGCTTGAACCCGGGAGGTGGAGGTTGCACTGAGCTGAGATCATGCCACTACACTCCAGCCTGCACAATGGGGGCAAGACTCCATCTTAAAAAAAAAAATAACCATCTGATCTTTGACAAACTTGACAAAAACAAGCAATGGAGAAAGGATTCCCTACTTAATGGTGCTGGGAAAACTGGCTAGCCATATGTAGAAAGCTGAAACTGGATCCCTTCCTTCCACCTTACACAAAAATTAACTCAAGATGGATTAAGGACTTAAATGTAAGACCAAAAACCATAAAAACCCTAGAATAAAATCTAGGCAGTACCATTCAGGACACACGCACAGGCAAGGACTTCATAACTAAAACACCAAAAGCAATGGCAACAAAAGCCAAAATAGACAAATGGGATCTAATTAAACTAAAGAGCTTCTGCACAGCAAAAGAAACTACCATCAGAGTGAACAGGCAACCTACAGAATGGGAGAAAATTTCTACAATCTACCCATCTGATAAAGGGCTAATATCCAGAATCTACAAAGGACTTAAACAAATTTACAAGAAAACAACAACCCCATCAAAAAGTGTGCAAAGGATATGAACAGACACTTCTCAAAAGAAGACATTTATGCAGCCAACAGACATATGAAAAAATGCTCATCATCACTGGTCATCAGAGAAATGCAAATCAAAACCACAATGAGATACCATCTCATGTCAGTTAGAATGGCGATTATTAAAAAGTCAGGAAACAACAGACGCTGGAGAGGATGTGGGAAACAGGAACGCTTTTACACTGTTGGTGGGAGTGTAAATTAGTTCAACCATTGTGGAAGACAGCGTGGCAATTCCTCAAGGATGTACAACTAGAAATACCATTTGACCCAGCCATCCCATTACTGGGCATATACCCAAAGGATTATAAATCATGCTGCTATAAAGACACACGCACACGTTATGTTTATTGCGGCACTATTCAAAATAGCAAAGACTTGGAACCAACCCAAATATCCATCAATAATAGGCTGGATAAAGAAAATGTGGAACATATACACCACGGAATACTATGCAGCCATAAAAAGGATGAGTTCATGTCCTTTTTGGGGACATGGATGAAGCTGGAAACCATCATTCTCAGCAAACTATCACAAGGACAGAAAACCAAATACCGCATGTTCTCACTCATAAGTGGGAGTTGAACAATCAGAACACGTGGACACAGGGAGGGGACATCACACACTGGGGCCTGTTGGGGGGGGTGGGGGGCTGGGGGAGGGATAGCATTAGGAGAAATACCTAATGTAAATGATGAGTTTATGGGTACAGTAAGCCAACATGGCACATGTATACCTATGTAACAAAACTGCACATTGTGCACATGTACCCCAGAACTTAAAGTATAATTTAAAAAAAGATACATAAATAAATAACAAAAAGCTTTTTAAAAATTTTAGAAAAGAGAATACACTGGATGGGATTAATAGCAGATTACACCATGCAAGAGAAAACATTAGTGAATTTAAAGGTACAGCAATAGAAAATGTCCAAAATGAAATGAGAGGAAAAGAACTTTTTAAATAACGAAATGGGCATAAGTGAGCTCTGGGACAACTTCAAGATGCCTAAGATTGGAGTAATTGGAGTCCCTAGTGGATGGGGAGGAATGTGAAGAAATAGATTTGATGAAGACTGACTACAAACACACAGATCCAAGAAGCTCAACAAACCCCTAAGCACAAGAAACATGAAAAGCACACCAAGGATATCATAATCAAATTTCTCAAAATCAATGATGAAATCTTAAAAGCAGCCAGAATGGGGGAAAAACATGTCACATACAGAGAATAGAGATATCAGATTTCTCATTAAAAAAAAAAAGGGAGAAAATAGTAAAAAAAAAAAAAACAAAAAAACTTCAAGGAACTCAAAAAAGTATCAAGCTAGAATTCTATATCCAGCAATATATATATTTTATATATATAATTATATATATAAAATATATAATTATATATAAATATATCTATATAATTTTATATATATATATGTATACATATATATAATTTTTTTTTTTTTGAGACAGAGTCTCACTCTGTTGCCCAGGCTGGAGTGCAGTGGTGCAATCTCGGCTCACTGCAAGCTCTGCCTCCTGCGTTCACGCCATTCTGCTGCCTCAGCCTCGCCAGTAGCTGGGACTACAGGCACCCGCCACCATGCCCGGCTAATTTTTTGTATTTTTAGTAGAGACGGGGTTTCACCATGTTAGTCAGGATGGTCTCGATCTTCTGACCTCATGATTGGCCCGCCTCGGCCTCCCAAAGTGCTGGGATTACAGGCGTGAGCCACCGCGCCCAGCCAAAAAAATATATTTTAAAATAAAAAAATGAAAGAAAGATAAATTCAGAATACAAAAGTTTAAAGAATTCATCACCAAATCAGCATACGAAAAAGAAAAAATGTTAAGAGAAGTCCTTCAAGCAGAAGGAAAAATGGTACCAGATGAAAACCTGAATCTAAACAAAGGGATGAGAAGGAGCAGAAATGGCAAATGCGAGGACAAGTGAGACTTTTTTCTTATTAGTTAAATCTCTTTAAAACATTTAGAAGAAAACATGGACATGAATCTTTGTGACCTTGGGTCAGCCAATGTTTTCCTACAAAAAGCACCAAAACACTGGCAAAAAAAGAAAAAAAGTAGATAAATTCTACTGCATCAAAATTTAAAGCCTTTGTGCTGTAAACAATACCATCAAGAAATGAAATGACAGTCCACAGAATGAAAGAAAATATTCCCAAATCCTATACAAAGAACGATTAAGACTCAATAATAAAAAGACAATCCAAGTAAAAATGAGCAGGGAATTGAGAAGACATTTTTCCAAATAAGACATACCAATGGCCAATAAATGTATGAAAAGATGCTCAACATCATTAATCATCAGGAAAATGCAAATCAAAACCCACAATGAGATCCAACTTCACACCAAATAGGATAGTTAGAATAAAAAAACTAGATAAGCCTAAGCGTTGGCAAGGATGTGGAAATACTGGAACTCTCATACATGGCTGGTGGGAATGTAACATGGTAGAGCTTCTTTAAAAAACAGGTCCTCAAAAGGTTAAACACAGTTACCATATGACCCAGCAATTTCACTCCTAATATTTACCCAAGAGAACAGAAATGATACATTCACATAAACACCTGCCTAGGAATGTTCATAGCAACATTATTTATAATAGCCAAAAATAAAAACAAGTGTCTATCAACTGCTGAATGGATAAACAAAATATGGTACATCTATACAAGGGAATACTATTCAGCCATAAAAAGAAATGAGATACTGATTCATACTACAACGTGGATGAACCTGGAATGCACGCTAAGTGAAAAAAGCCAGACACAGAAGATCATATATTGTATGATTTCATTCATATGAAATATCCAGAATAGGCAAATCTATAGGGATAGGAAGATCAGTGGTTGCTTAGGGATGAGGGAAGGTGAGTAAGGAGGTGAAGTGATGAGTACCAGGTAATGGGGAAGTGTCACCTTTATTTATTCCAACATTTATTCTGTGTTCAGAATTATACTAAAGGTGCTGAAGGGTTATAAGGAGTAAAATCATGATCAGTTAAACCCTGTCCCTATTTTTCCCAAAACTGATCACCTAGGGGGAGATAGAGATTCCTGCAAACAGTTTCAATCTAATCATAATTGAAAACACCATAGGACAGGCAAATGAAGGGTGCACATGGGACCCAAGATCAGGAGAGTAGCAATGGAGATGGCAATGGAAGACACTGAAGGGAGAGTGATATTCACCTGGGTGGTGATGGAGGCTAAGGGTGACAAGGTACAGGGGTAGAAAAGGACAGGTGATGTGCAGTGTGGCCAGGGACTTCAGCACTTCGGGAGGCTGTGGGGCAGCGGAGGAGGGGGATAGTTAGAAAGAAAGAAGACAGGAAGGAAGTTAGAACTAATTTAAGGAAATGTCTTAAACACCAGGCAAAAGAACTGGACTACAATGTTAAGGCAAAAAGTAGCTGAAGGTCTCTGAGCTGTGGAGTGGCCTCCTCGCTGCTGTGCCCAGAGACCAGACTGGAGGTGACAGCAGTGATCCATGCAAGAGACAGAGACGCTCTGCCCAAAACAGGGCATATGGGACCCTGCTGGCATCCAAATGCCACCAATGGTGACCATTGCAGGGCTGCTGCGGATGTGGAGAGGCAGCTGTCACCCTGCCCCTGAACACAGGGAAGGGCCTGCATCCTCTGGCCAGGCATTGGATTTGCCGGACCCCCAGGCTGACCCGTGCCCTGCTATGCATCTGGTCCTTGAAAACCTGGCCACAGGATCCACACTCAGCCAGCCTCAGTACTCCTGGGAAGAGTCTGGGAGCTCCCATGGTAAGAGTTCACTTCCCCTTTAAACTTTAACTGGCAAGAAGGTTATGTTGGCTTTGAGTCATCAAATCAACAGGATCTTACGCAGCAGATGGTTATGAAGACTATGAAGCAATGAGGGAAAAGGCATATGATATATTTCTAAGTGGAAAAAGCAGGGCATAAAAGCAAACATACACTGTGATGACAACCAGGCAAAAACGTCTATGTAGGCACAGCATACATTTTTGGGGGTTCTTTTTGGTATTGAATTATAGGTGATTTTCTTCTCCCATATACATTTTTTGACAATGTGACTACATTGACTTGGTGATGTATAAAATATCAAAAACAAGAAACTTCATGAATAATTTCCTACTAATAAGTGAACTCTGGCTAAGATTTAGAGGCCGGGCATTGTGGCTTGCACTTGTAATTCCAGCACTTTGGGAGGCCAAGGCGGGAGGATCACTTGAACCCAGGAGTTTGAGACCAATCTGGGCAACATAGTGGGACTCCAACTCTACAAAAATTAATTTCAAAAAAATTAGCCAGGGGACTAAAGGGACTGAGGTGGGAGGATCACTTTAGCCCATGAGGCAGAGGTTGCAGTGAGCCATAATGCAGCACTGCACTCCAGCCTGAATGGCAGAGTGAGACTGTCTCAAAAAAAAAAAAAAAAGATTTAGGAACAAGAGGCTTTACATGCAGTCCAATACAGTAGCCACAAGCTGTACATGGCTACTAAAATAAATTTAAACTTTAATTAATTAAAATGAAATAAAATGGAAAATGCAGTTCCATAGTCACACTAGCCACATTTCAAGTGCTCAAGAGCCCCAGGTGGCCAGTAGCTGCTGTGTTAGATGGTGCAGGTCTACAGGTCAGAGAGAGGCCAGAGGACTGAAGTCCACATGAAGGTCAAGTGGGCTGGTGGTGAGGCCCACTGCAGGGCCACAGCCAAGTTCCCAGCTAACTTCATCACAATCCCCCAGGATGCTCCCCCTGCACACACAGATCTCAGAAATCAGGATCTCTGCAGGCAGAGGCAGAGGTCGGCACTGCAACAGGCCCCTTGTGATGGCGACTGACGCACAGTGAGGGGTGAAGGCCATGGATATGGTGGCAAGTGTATACACAGTGGCCACCTGCCCCTGGGCACGAACACACTTCCCCACTCACCAGCTGGGCAACCGCTCTGAGACCCCATGACCTCTTGTGTAAGATGAGTGTGGCTGGAAGGCAAGCAAGGGACATAAGAAGACAGCCACGTGCAGCTTGTGGCTACTGTACTGGACTGCATATAAAGCCTCTGGTTCCTAAATCTTTTTTTTTTTTTTTTTTGAGACAGAGTCTCGCTCTGTCACTCAGGCTGGAGTGCAGTGGCACGATCACGGCTCACTGCAATAAATGCAATAAATGCTCCACAGACAGCAGCTTGTATTACACTGGCTTACAGGCATGGATCCACTGATGGGCAACTATGGGTGCAAACAAAACTGTTGGTGAAAGGAGGAGAGAGGAGGGAAGGGAAAGAGAAGGAGAAGGAATCTGAAGGGGCCAGAGCCAGGGGCAGAAATCTAAGAGAAGAGCTGAGAGACACATGAAGAAGGGATACCCTCAGTGAGATGAGAGGGCCACAGAAACCTGAGGAGTGCCTACAATGCCAGAATACAGTCAGGCCTAGGTAAAAGAGTTTACTCCCTAACCCAGGACTCTGGCTCTGAGATGAGGCACTGCGGTGCAACATCTTCCTGCTAATTACGGTGTGATGCTCCTGGCGTACTGGAGTGCTCTTCATTCTCCTCTTCCACTTGAGAAGACAGGTGACACCCTGGGCACCGCCAAGTATCACCCTTGGTCTGGGACTACCACGGAGGAAAGGTACAGACTTCCAACAAAAACCAGACATGTGCAATATCAGGAGCTTAGGATGCAGACATGGCCACATAAGGTATAGGTTACACCAAAGTTAGCCTCTACAATATACTGCGAAACCTCTCAGACTGTGTTCAGACGATAGGAACAAAGGAATCTGATGGTCTTCCCTGTCAGGGACTTCCTGGCCTCTGACTGAACCAGCAGAGTCTGACCTGGGAAACCAGGTTTGGCCCCAACTCCAGTGCACTAGCAGAACTAGGCTTGCAGGAGACGGACACAAGAGACCCTTTGATAACCAAAGTAAGTGGCCCCTCCACTCTCTTCCGATCCCTGCAGCCCTCTGGCCAGCTCCAGCCTATTTTGGTTGCTTCCTGATCTTTCCTGTGCCCACTGATTTCCTTTAGCATCTGCCCACTCTTCCTTTCTCACATTCTTGATCTTCAGCTTTTTCCTTAGGTCCTGCTGACTCATTCAGCTCATACAGAACTGCTGAATATGATGAGAAATATTCGGACAATTCGACAGCTCAGAAACTCAGGGATTAAAGCCCTTAGTCCATTTCTCTACTATGGGTGCATCCCATGATTGAATTCTACCTCCCCTATTCCCAGCCCCAGGCCACTCTCCTGCACTCACAACTCGAGGGTGGCCAAAAATCCAGTCTCTGTTGTCACACAACCCCAAGGCAGCGGCTGAACCTGAAAAGTCAAGGCAAGGCCCCATGGCTACAGCCCGGCTCCTGTCTTTGGCAAATACTCTCTCTAAGCAAAGGTAATTTAATACAGTGGCTAACAGCAAGAGCTGTGGATCCACAGGTCTTGGGTTCAAGTGCTGACCACACCACTTAACAGTGACGAAACCAACCACAAACTAAACTCTCCAAGCCTCAATCTGTACATCTTAAGTTGAGAGTAATAATAATAATGAACGTTGAACTCCCTGAATTGTTACAGGATTTAGTGCGCCGCCATGGGTGGAGGAGGGTTATGCGGTGTCAGGCCCACGGTAAGCTAGAAAGCTTACCCAAAATTATCTATAAATATCGCAGTGACTGTTTTACAGAAGCAGACCTGCATGAATTAAAGGAAGACCTCCCTAGTTCAGGCTTAACTCATTCAAAATGTGTAAGCATTTTCAGGGGCTGGGTTGACGAGGTCATTTACAAAGTCAACAAAAAAGGGAAAGGATTTCAGATGCAGTATTTAGACTTTGTAAGAAAAACAAAATAGCTGGCAAGAACCCTCCAGTCCTTCAGAGGCGAACTAACTGGTGAGTCAATCACCAAGGACTTATTCATTCGCTAAGAACCTCTGTTCCACAACACTAGGCTTGGTCCTAATTGTTTTATTTATCTCAAGTAACAAAATGGCATTTTGTGAGTGTTCTAGATGCAGGCTTTTTATTACTAAGAAAGGCTTTCTTCCAACTGGGTCTCAACAAGTGAGATTTTACTATAAATCCCATTCGCAGTCTTCAACAGCCATGGACATTCGGTTTTTGGAAGGTGAAATGAGCAATGGTATATAATCTTAGTTTTGCTTTTTTCTCCCCACTAAGGCATGGCTGGCAGGTCACAGTGCATCTTACACCGAGCAATACAAACAGTAGGTTACACCACTGCAATTCATTCTGGCCTTGACTTACACATTCCAGCACCATCCCAAGTGGACCCCGTCTGGCCCTCTGCAGCCTTCCACTGAGCTCGGACCTGCACTAGGCGTAATTTCTGTCAACTGTGGGACTGGCTGCTTCCCAGCTTCCATCCCCAAGGTGGGCACCCCCCTGCTCCATGGGCTTCTGGCGGGGAGAGTATATTTACCTAGTCCATCATTTTCCGTCTCATATCACCGAAAAACTAATAGGAATCATGACACTAACATGGCAAGTAGGATGGAATTTGTTTAGTCTGTGAAATGAACGTCTTAGTTTTTAAACCTCAATCTGCCTGGAGTGAGCACACAGGACCTTGCCTACTTCTCCCTCACAGACCATTCTTTTTTTTTTTTTTGAGACAGAGTCTCACCCTGTCGCCCAGGATGGAGTACAGTGGCGCAATCTTGGCTCACTGAAAACTCCGCCTCCTGGGTTCAAGTGATTCTCCTGCCTCAGCCCCCCAAATAGCTAGTATTATAGGCATGTGCCACCACATGCGGTTAATTTTTGTATTTTTAGTAGAGATGGGGTTTTGCCACATTGCCCAGGCTGGTCTCAAACTCGTGACCTCAAGTGATCTACCCGCCTCAACCTCCCAAAGTGCTGGGATTACAGATTGAGCCACCACGCCTGGCCTCCCAGACTATTCTTGAAGGTGCCGAGAAGTCCACTCAACCCCACAAGTCAGCGTGTTTTTCCTCCTCTCATGCTGCTGCTTCTGAGGCACAGGTGGGAGCCAGCCTCCCTCAGACAGGCCACTTGACATGTAAGTAGACACAGCTGTCAACAAAGGCCACTCCTGTCCTCTCCACAGACCTCCCTCCCACTCCAGGGTGTGCCAACAGCTTCCTGAGAGTGTCCAGTGCCAGTGGGGGGGCATGGCCGCCTGGGGTGGGCAGAGCCTGAGGGGAGAGGAGGGAGACCCACAGCACTCATCTCCACGGCAACCAAACATTCCCAGCCCAAGGAGCACAGCAAAGAAGAAGGGAACTTGAACAAACCACACAAACGCCCACACCACAACCTGATGCTTACTGCTGGAACGAGCACCAAGGAAACAATCCCACAGAAGGAAAGAAAGATGCTGCACGAAGATGCTGGCTGGGGCTGTGTGTAACAACCTGCAAACCAGCCATTAACTGTGGCACAACTCATCCATCACCATGTAACTTAAAATTATTATTATGAACTATGACATGATGTTAAATTGAAAAGGATACAACATTGTTTATATACTATGATCGCAACTCTAAAAAATGTGTATAAACTTGGGGAAAACCTGGCAGGGAAAACATAAAAGTGACAGTAGCTGAGCTACAATGCTAACATAACAGGTTTCTGTCTTTAAAATTGTCTTTGCAGCAGCCAGATGTGGTGGCTCATGCCTATAATCCTAGCACTTTGGGACGCCAAGGCAGACAGACTGCTTGAGCCCAGGAGTTTGAGACCAGCCTGGGCAACATAGCAAGACCCTGTCTCTACAAAAAATAATAAAAAATAGCTGAACATGGTGGTGCATGTCTGTAATCCCAGCTACTCAGGAGGCTGAGGCAGGAGGATCGCCTGAGCCCAGGAGTTCAAGGCTGCAGTGAGCTGTGATCCCACCATTGCACTCCAGCTTGTACGACAGAGCAAGACCCAGTCTCAAAAAGAAAAAAAAAAAAAAGATACAATTTTCTCACAGCTTTCCCCATTGCTGCTTCTCATCAGCAGATGGGGAAATGTTCATATCCGTGTAAGGGAACCTGCCATGGTGCCTGGGAGAACTGCACATAGCCATGTATGCAAAGGTTTGCCTGAATCTTGGTGGAACACCTTGTAGGCTTCCAGAACATAAAAAGATGCACGGCTGTCTCTCATTCACCTCCCTATTCCCCCAGGAGCCTGTCACCAGACAGTGTCTCATCTCTAATGAGGTATGGGAATTTCTGCCTGCCTCTCAGAACAGAGCTGTGGGCTCTGAGACCACTTAGCTGCAGTCTAAAATTGCTTCTCAAAATCCCACTTATGTGGCAGTCATCAGCCCCTTTTGCTTCAGTGTCATCCTCTTCAGTGTATGGGACAAGGACCCAGGAAGATGGTACCTTTGACACATTCTTTGTGTTGCCTGCCTATGTAAGTAATAAACTGCCTAAAGTAACAGTGGCTTGTTGTATCTTTACCAAACTAGTCAGGCCCTGGACTTGCCCTGTAAATGTGTGTGAGCTTAACAGTATCCAAATACCATGGTTTAATGCAGTATCAATGGACCTCAGGAAGTATGTGTATATACCAACAGATACCTCCATATGCCATATGCTATATATATATAAAAAATATAAATAAAATAAAATATATATAATTATATATAAAATCTGGCTTTACATACTATATATAGTGTTTTAAACTAGATTTTCATAATTGAAATGGGAAAATAGAAAAGATACATATACAAGTATGTTCAGAAATACACACACTCACCAGACTCTATCAATAACCAAGATAAGATAAAGAACAGAGAAAACACACTTATTTTTGCTTGACTAGGTGGAAATAAATCAGAGGAGGGAGAACCAGAAAAACAAGGAAGTACAGGTGAGCATAGATTCAAGAGGTCTGGATTCCATGCCAGCTCCATAGCCAGGTTTTTGACCTTGAGAAATTCTTCCCCTGTCTGCCCCCATTTTCTCTTCTAAGAAGGAGGGGATGCCCTAGATGCACCCAGACCCCCAGCTGTGCCGTCTCCATGGTGTTGAGGCTCACAGAGACACACTCAGGACCTGCAGAGCTGAGACACAGAGCTCCCGGGTGCCTCCTTCTGCTGAAAACTGAGGTAAAGGGCAGCAATCTGGTAACTGAAAAAAGACAAGTCACCTCCAGTGTCTAAGAGAAGCCGCTGAGACACAAGCCCAGTCTCCAACATTCCAACTGCTCTTTGGAACTGGACAGGAAGTGGGACATTCACAGAGCAGGAGGGTGTGCAGCCCCAGGGCAAACAGCAATGCCCCTGCACTCACTTTTTGACAAAATCCGAATCCTCATTCCTTCAGCAACTCTGTTCTAGGGCCTGGTTTGCTGGCAATAGATCCACAGAGAATGAGGTTCACCATCTATGTAATAACACCAACAAGGGTTGGGAGTGGTGGCTCACGCTTGTAATTTCAGCACTTTGGAAGGCCAAGGCAGGCAGATCACCTGAGGTCAGGAGTTCAAGACCAGCCTGGCCAACATGGTGAAACCCTGTCTCTACGAAAAATACAAAAATTAGCCGGGCCTGGTGGTACATGCCTGTAGTTCCAGCTACTTAGGAGGCTGAGAGGCAGGAGAATCGCTTGAACCCGGGAGGCAGAGGTTGCAGTGGGCTGAGATCATGCCACTGCACTCCAGCCTGGGCAACAGAGTGAGATCCGTCTTAAAAACAAAACAAAACAACAACAACAACAAAAAACAACAAGAAAGCAGAGTGCACCAAATTCAGGAGAAGTCTCTTCCTGCTAAGGAAACAGGGAAGGCTTCCTGGAAGAGGAGGCATTTGAGCTGAGTCATAAGACTGGACAGAGAAATGTATTAAGTGAATGGGGAGAGGCTATTCTAGATAACAATGTGATCAGAGGCATGGAAGTGAAAAAGAGAAATTCAGTTTGACTGGAATAGGAAACAGGAAGTGATAAGACAGGGACAAGACCACAAAGGCCTTCAATGCTAGACCAATCAAAAACCCAAACCAGGTCTGTCTTCCTTAAGTGTCTGTGCTTGTCACAATTTGAAGAAAGAGAAACTCAATCCATTAAGAAATAGACAGCCACTCTAGCAGCCTTGGGTGGAACCCACAGACTCATCTGCAATGGGCTGAATGTCTATGTCCCCCTAAAATTCCTATGTTAAAATCCTAACCTCTGGCCGGGCATGGTGGCTCACGCCTGTAATCCCAGCATTTTGGGAAGCTGAGGCGGGTAGATCACCTGAGGTCAGGACTTCGAGACCAGCCTGACCAACATGAAGAAACCCTGTCTCTACTAAAAATACAAAAATTAGCCAGGTTTGGTGGCGCATGGCTGTAATCCCAGCTACTTGGGAGGCTGAGGCAGGAGAATCGCTTGAACCCAGGAGGCGGAGGTTGCGGTAAGCCGAGACTGCGCCACTGCACTCCAGCCTGGGCAATAAGAGCAAAACTCCATCTCAAAAAAAGAAAAAAAATCCTAACCTCCAAGGTGACGGGATTAGGGGGTAGGGCCTTTGGGAGGTGATTCTCATGAGGTGGAACGCTCAGGAATGGGATTAGTGCCCTTATAAAGGAGATCCCAGAGAGCTCCCCTTCTACCATATGAGTGCCCGGGAAGTGGGCCCTCAACAGACACCTCATCTGCCAGCACCTTGATCTTGGACTTTCCAGCATCTAGAACTGTGAGAAATACATTTCTATTGTTTATAAGCCAACCAGTGTATGGTACTTTGTTATAACAGTCCAAACAGACTAAGACGCTCATCAATTGGTTTTCCCTCACCAACAGCTTCCCTAATTCAAATGGTAACTGCTTGAGGTGGAAAACAGCCTCTCCTTAATATTTATTTTCTTTTTCCTGAAAAATAGAGCAAGTATTGAGAAACTGTTGTAGGAGTCAAAGGTCAAAGATAAATTGTAAACAAAGATCTGATACAAGCAGCCAACAAACATGAAAAAAATGCTCAAGGGTCAGGTGTGGTGGCTTATGCCAGTAATCCCAGCCCTGTGGGAGGCTGAGGTGGGAGGGTCACCAGAAGTCAGGAGCTCAAGACCAGCCTAGGCAACACAGCGAGACCTCTGTCTCTACAAAAATTTTAAACCATTAGCTGGGCATGGTGGCACATGCCCGCAGTCCCAGCTACTCAGAAGCTAAGGCAGAAGGGTTGCTTGAGTTCAAGGCTGCAGTGAGCTACAATTACATCATGGCACTCCAGCCTGGATGACACAGTGAGACCCCATCTCAAAACAAAACAAACCTCCACATCATTATCATCAAAGAAATGCAAATCAAAACCACAAAATGGCCATTATTAAAAAGTCAAAAAGTAGATGTTGGCAAGGCTATAGAGAAAAGGCAATGCTTATACACAGTTGGTGGGAGTGTAAATTAGTTCAGCCACTGTGGAAAACAGTTAGGAGATTTCTCAAAGAACTAAAAATAGAGCTACCATTTGACCCAGTAATCCCATTACTGGATATATATGCAAAGAAAAGTACATCTTCTACCAAAGATACCTGCACTCGTATGTTTATCACCACACTATTCACAATAGCAAAGACATGGAATCAACCTAGGTGCCCATCAGCAGTAACTGAATAAAGAAAATGTGGTACATATACACCATGGAATACTACACAGCCATAAAAAAGTGACATCATGTCCTTTGCAGCAACATAGAAACACAAGAAACAGAAAACCAAATAGCTGAAAAACTTTCTACTGGGTACTATGTTCACTGTGTGGGTGACAGGACCAATAGAAGCTCAAACTTCAGATTCACACAATATACCTTTGTAACAAACCTGCACGTCTTGAATCTAAAACTAAAATTAAAATTTAACTAACTAAATAAATAAATAAAGGGGGGCCTAAACACAACTCCCATATGGATAAAACACAAACATGTGCCAAAGACTTTATTTAACTCATCAATTAATAAAGGAACCAATTAATGGGTTTAATGGGGAGAATTCAAAGAACCATAGGCCATCAGGAATGTTGAAATCAATTTGCTAAATAGATTGCAAAACTGGTCAATCTCCACAGGGTAACAATCATCAACTGCACCTCACCAGACAGTCTGCATTGCTATAGACAAGAATGTGTTGTACCATCAATATTCTACAACTTACAGAGTGCAACATAGCTCAAAGACAAGGAAAGGCACAGAGACCCAGAGAATTCGATAACCAGACCACTCCTAGATTTCCACTGCGGACATTCTCATAGTCTTTCCCTACACAGGTGAACACTGATCAATGTGTAAACCATAAACTCTCAGGCATGTGTTCTAAGGCAAATTGCAGTGAGGACTGAAGCATGAGGTTCAGAACTCAGGCCTGGACCATCAAGGCTCAGCAGGTTAGGAGGCCACTGGTTAACCACAATGCACTGGTTAACTTTATACTGGGAATTAGGATCTCTGGCTGTGAGCAAGTTCTTCCCCTTCCCTTCTCCAGAAGGATTCAAAATGAGGATCCCCAAACCAATGGTAGTCAGCCCTGATCACACCCTGGAAGTATCTGAGAAGCTGTGAAAAAATACACTTGCCCCACTTGGGCGGGCGCAGTGGCTCACGCCTGTAATCCCAGCACTTTGGGAGGCCGAGGTGGGTGGATCACAAGGTCAAGAGATCGAGACAATCCTGGCCAACATGGTGAAACCCCGTCTCTACTAAAAATACAAAAATTAGCTGGGCGTGCTGGTGCACATCTGTAGTCCCAGCTACTCGGGAGGCTGTAGCAAAAGAATCGCTTGAACCCAGGAGGCGGAGGTTGCAGTGAGCTGAGATAGCACCACTGCACTCCAGCCTGGGTGACAAAGCGAGACTCCGTCTCAAAAAAAAAAAAAAAATTAATACACTTGCCTCACTCTAGAAATTCCAAGGGTGATGCCCTGGCCCCACCCTTGATTAGCAGAATCAGATTGAGGTTCCTAGCTAATCCTATCAGATTAGGATTTAGCTCTGATTCTGATTAGCAGGGTTTTAAAGTCTCCACAGGTGATTCTAATGAGCAGCCAGGATTGCAAACCACGGGGCCAGATGGTTAGAAAGACCCCTTTGTTCCTGACACCCTGTGACTCTGCTGTAACATTCCCTTTTAGTTGAGAGCTGTTAGCCTCAGTATAGGATTGAGAATATAAGTAGGACATTTTCCAAAAATACTCCTCAAAATTAATCTTTGATAGAGACAGAAAACAAGCAAAATCCATAACTTGGTCAGACTTGGCAAGCATGCAATGTGTTAGAATCTTCCACGGGGAGCGGTTGCCATCCATTCAATCCAGACTCCTGATGGGCTGCTTGAATTATAATGCATGTACTGGAGTACAAAGATGCCCACAGGTGTGTGCTAGGTAGGCACCAGCACATGGGTGGCATGCACACACACCTCATGCTCATACAGCAGCCTCCAAATCAAAGATTAGGTTAGGGAGGTGGTTACAGAGTAATAAAGGACCCCCACCTCCACCTCACACTGGGGTAGCTGACTGACTAATCACTTTTGGTTGGCTGGTCCCCACAGTGGGGGAGAGAACTGACAAACAGGGTAGACATGGTGAATCCCAGCACTTCCTCCCAAATCTTCTGAAACCTCTTCTTACATATTTCAAACCTGATGTGATTAGGGATCACTCTGAACTCATTCAACTTATCACCAGAATCACAGGCAATCTTTGGTATTGTGTTAAGTCACCGTGCCCTGATGGGCTTCTGTTGGTGGTAAGAAACCCTGCTGTAAAAGACACTGTCTGGCTTTTCTGTGGGGCTGAGGAGGGCCATGGACCAACCGTCTCCAGAAAGATGATCTCTCTCCTCCCTTTCTCGGTTCCCATGTTCCTTACGCATCCCCCACACACCCGACACCCACACCCACACTTACTGCAAGCTGCACAGGTGAAGCATGTGTCATGGTAGAGGTTCCCCATGGCCTGACAGGCCTGGCCAGCCCCAAACACCCCTTTGCTGCATTTCACACAGGCTCCTTGCAGGACAAGAGAAACATCAGTGAGTCAGGAGGGAACCAGTGTAAACTGAGTCATAAAAAAGCCAATGAACAAAGCATAATACCATCCCTCCCCATGGCCAGCCCACCACCAAATCCAGTGGATGACTCATTTGAAGTGTCTTTCTCTCCCTCTCCCTCTGTCACTCTTTCAACTGCAGAAAACAGCTACCAGGCTGGACTTTAGGTCCCACTTTCCCTGCCCCACTGTTATGCTAATGTCCAGAATTCCTGGGCTTGGTCAACTCCCTCCCTCACCCCACCCAAAGCTTTCGAAGGTTCCCACTGTTTGTAAGACAGTTCAGAAAGATTGCACCATCACTATAATATGCCAAGCATGCAGGTTGGGAAATTTCTTTTTTCCTCCCTTTTTTTTTTTTTTTTTTTTTTTTTTTTGAGACGGGGATCTTGATATGTTGCCCAGACTGGTCTTGAACTCCTAGGCTCAAGCAATCCTCCCGCCTCGGCCTCCTAAAGTGCTAGGATTACAGGTGTGAGCCACCATGCCTGGCCAGACAATTCCAACTAAATTATTTCCTTTAATTTTCAGTGGGAACCACCAACTAGGATTTAGTAACCTCAATTTTTACAAAAAGTATATCACACCCCAAGCCCTGGGTTTGTCAGACTGCAAGCAAGTGCTCTTCCCTGCCCTTCTACCAGCAGCTCCTCACCCCCTAACAAGTCCCACAGGGTCTTAGCCCAGCCTTTGCTGATGGGCCCCTACCTAGTACATTCTACTCCTGCCCTTCTGTTCACTCAAGTCCTGAGGCTTTCATCTCAGCCTGCCCCACGATTCCTTCCTCAGACTGTTTGAGGCCAGGAGTTCAACACCAGCCTGGGCAACATAGGGAGATCATCCATCGAGAGAGAGAGAGAGAACTTTTTTTTGAGACAGAGTCTCACTCTGTCACCTGGGCTGGAGTGCAGTGGTGCAATCTCGGCTCACTGCAACCTCCGCCTCCCGGGTTCAAGTGATTCTCCTGCCTCAGCCTTCCAAGTAGCTGGGACTACAGGAATGCACAATCAAGCCCAGCTGATTTTTGTATTTTCAGTAGAGATGGGGTTTCACCATGTTGGCCAGGCTGGTCTCAAACTACTGACCTCAGGTGATCCGCCTGCCTCAGCCTCCCAAAGTGCCGGGATGACAGGCATGAGCCACCGCGCCTGGCCTGAAAAAACAAATTTGAAGAGCCAGGTTCTAACCTTGAGCCTCCCACCTACCCGTGACTCCTGTAGTTTGGATTAATGGTGATCAGCTCTCTGGGTGTCCGTTTCTTAATTAGGAAATAGAGGTTCCTTCCATCTGCCCTGCATATTCCCAGGAGCAGCAATTAAGAGTTGCTTTGAAAACCAAAAAGTTCTAAAGAGTTAACATGCCTCAACTACAAAGTGCTTATTGGGACACCTGGTCTAAAACAGCTCCACAATTTACTAGCTATGTGACAAGCGCAGACTAATTAAACTCCGATGTTGGGCTAGAAAATGGGGACAACAGTGGCCCCCTCGTAGGGTTACTGTTAAGAGAATATGTGCAAAGTACTTAGTGCAGGGCCCCATACTTGGGAAATGCTCAATTAACAGGCAAATTATAAGGATGACAATCATGTTACTGCCTCCTGCAAAAAGTGCCTTCAGCTTAAAAAGAGCTGTCTAAGAAGTTCTGGGCCTCTCGGGATCTCACATGGGCTCTGTGAACAGGCTGGAGGTCTCTCAGGCTAGGCCAGCCCAGAACCCCTACAGTAGCAGCCCAGGCTCCGGGCCCATCCACATCAAGGAGGCCTTGGAGTCTCCCTCCCAAAGAACTCCCCCATTACAGTCAAATGAAAGACAGCACAATTATGTAAACAATGCACAAGATGAAAAAAGATTCACGGAGGAATATATTAAAATATAAACAGTGGTTTCTTTATGTTGTAAAACTGTAGCTGGCCTTATTTCTTTACATTTTCTGTAGTTTTTTATAAGACAGCAGGCATTCATTACTTTACAGATTTTAAAAGGTCGTCTCAAAAAAGTGTTTGAATATGTTCAAATACATTATATAATGTTAAAATTTTTGAAAAATCAACTTCACAGATTTTATAAATATCAATTGCTCCCCTAGCACCCAGCAAGGTAGCCAGCTGGCATCCTTTGGTCAGGAGGAGCTCAGGCATCCTTTTCTAACTCTGGCTCCAATCTGCCAGGGCTATTCTCAGGCTGCAAATCCCCAGCCTTCTGCCCACAGGGTAGAAAGCCCTGTGTTTCAGAGTTCATATCATTTTAAGTTGATAAACTGCATCACCATCAAAGGAAGTCCAAGCTAACACATCCTTCATGAAATTCCCCCACACCAACAGGTTTAAGGAGAAAGCCCCTCTGCCAACACCAGGAAGCAGGGTGAAGCAGTCTGTAGGAAACAGACAAGACATTGACCATTGGAGAAATTCATTTATAGAAAGCTCAAGAGGGCACAAGTATTGGTTATCTGCAGTTCTTCTTCTGTTTCAACATTTTCAAACACGCAGAAAAGTTGAAGGAATTATACAGAGGGTACCCACATACTCACCATCCCAATTCTATAATTGATGTTTTGCTAACCATTCCTCAATCAATCCAACAATCCATCCCATTCTTGATGCATTTCAAAGTTGCAGGCAGCAACTTCACCCCAAACACTTCAGCCTCCCCATCATTAACTAGAGTTCATCATTTATTTGCTTAGGCTTATTTTTTTCCGGGTAAAATTCACAAACAGACACAAAAAGTGTAAGTCTACCATTCAATGAGTTTTGACAAATGATCTATGTAAAGCAAACCCAAATCAAGATATAGAATATTTCCAACACCCCCAAAAAGTTCCTGCCTGCCTTCTCCCTTCCATCTTCTCTTTAATGGCCATGAAATGCATGTGTGTGCATGTATATGTGCCTGTGGAGGGGAGGGTGGCGGGCGGATGAGATTACTGGACAGCTGGCATTTCTGTTCCTTGCAAGCAGCAAAGTCAACAGGGAGCCCCCACCAGTATGAAACTGAAAGCATCAAGTAATTCAGAGGCATCAGCATTTCTTTCTGTCTAATGATTTTTATATACAACTTAGGTACCTTATGCTCTCAAGGTAGAAAATACAGTTCCGGGCAAACTGCATTTCTTTTGCTGGCACACATGGAGCTGTGGGGCCCACCTAGCAGCAAAGCATAAACCCAACAGGGTTGAGGCATCACCACTCATCTTTAAGGCTCCTTTAAGCGGTCTCGTCACCCTGGAAAGCAGTGGTGTCGCGGCTGCTGCTAGGGGCCCATGCACAGTGACCACTGGACCAGGCCGAGCCAAGTGGGGCCTCTAGTATTTGGGACGGGGCAAATGTGGAAGTGATGGTGGTGGTGCATCTGCCACTGGGCACAGCACCTACCATGCTGTGGTGAGTTGCTAGTTACCTGGGCATTTGCCTCTCCTAGTGAATTGCAAGTGCCTTCAGAATAAGGGCCATGTCTTAACTGTGGCCTCCGCAAGTGCTCAAGGAAACAAGTGTGAGTTGAATCACATTCCACATAGTTCCCTGCACAGTCCTTTCCTCTTTCTTCCTTACCTGGCACCTGCTTCCTTGTATCTTGGGCACACATGTCTGTTCCCCCACAAGCACTTCATTCCAAGGCCCAGGGTCTTATTCATCTCTGAACACCCCCAGCCACAGACAGAGTGCACTTAGTATCCCCTCAGCAGACCTAAACACAGAGAAATGGGTTCTATGGACATCTATTGGGAACTGGCGATGACATAATTCAAATGTGACAATGGGGGAGAAATCTTTCCGAAAAATGCCAAATATCAGGCCATGGCAAAATGTCAAGATATGAGTTAGGTTATTGTTTGGTAATGCCGAAGTCCACTTCCAGATTACCCATCGTAAGTCCCCTGGTGGACCTGACTCTAAGCCTTTACAATGAGCAACAAAAGCTAGTTTGTCAGGCATCAACTAAGCACACTCGAAGCAGGCTACATGTAATGTTAAAGCAGTGCATTTGTGAATATAATTCTGCTCACAAACGTGGTGTAAAACCACTCCCAAATGCTGTGGCCTCTTTGTTTAACCTCCTGTAAAATGCTGGCTACAAACAGCAGAGGGGCACAGGGACTCAGCAGCTTAGCATGGCATGCCCACCCTTTCCACCACCCACAGCATGAGCACATGAAGAGGACCGTCCTGCAAGACAGCTCACCAAAAAGGAAAGGTGAAATGAATTGCACGTGTCAGTGCAATGCTGCTGGCCCAGACGGCAGAAGCAAATGCATCTTATTTGGGTTTGGGGAATGAAATCCAGCACCCTCTCCTACCCCTGTTCATAAGATGCTGGCAGGGTGGCCAGCGTCTTCACGTGGATGCTCTGACAACAGCCAGTGCCCCACTGGACTTCCTGCCACTTTATCTCTCAACGGCAGGGCTTCCTCCCCTCTCTCCACACCCTGCTCAGCTACACTCTCTTCTGGCTTCCTCTCTCTGAGGGCTGTGACCCTCTGCCTTCAGCTGTCCCTCACTTTCTGTTCCTGCAGCTGAGTCCTTCGGGCTGCTGACATCCTTTCTCTCCACCGTGACCAGTGACCACCTAGCACAGATACAAAACAAGGAAGCCACCTGTGTTTGAAACCATGGGTCACAGAGTGAGGAAGACCCCATAAGAAGCCAAGTAGGTAGGAAAAGATTTCATCCTTGTGGCTAAATGGATCTAAAAGTACTTCCTACACAGAAAAGGTAGGGAAAAAAACTGCATTTCACATTCTAGGAAATCATGTGTCTACTATGGGCCAGACCCTGGACTTGGAGATTTCTTTCTTTGTTTTTTTTTTGAGAGAGTCTCACTCTGTCGCCAGGCTGGAGTGCAGTATATCAGTATGGACTCACAGATATTTTTTTCTTTGGATTTTTATTATTATTATTATTATTTGAGACAGAGTCTCACTCTGTCATCCAGGCTGGAGTGCAGCATGCGATCTCGGCTACCTGTAACCTCTGCCTCCTGGTTTCAAGCTATTCTCCTGCCTCAGCCTCCCGAGTAGCTGGGATTACAGTTGTGCACCACCATGCCTGACTAATTTTTATATTTTTAGTAGAGACGGGGTTTCTCCATGCTGGCCAGGCTGGTCTGGAACTCCTGACCTCAGGTGATCCGCCCGCCTCGGCCTCCCAAAGTGCTGGGATTACAGGCGTGAGCCACCGCACCTAGCCAGACTTGGGGATTTCAACCAGTGAAGGAGCTGCTGCCATCTCCTGTCTAAAACCCAAGTTCCAGAAAGGTCCTGTCACTTACTGAAGTCTGCACAGTGGGTAGGTTTGAAAGAGGGAATCTGAGCCCCAGTTCCAACTCAAAGGTCTCATTATGACTATCTGGTTGGCAGCTGTGGCTATTCCTGCCACACATGCCCCCCAACCCCCCCCATCATGAGGGGAGCTCCTTCCTCACCCCATAACATATCACCTCATCAGGGATTCAGACCCCAGACCAGCCCTGCCCCCAGTCTCCTACTACCCACCCTGGCCCACCTCCCATTCTACCTTGTCCCTTGCACACACGACCATCTTTCTGACTGGGACCTCAATCACAAGGCCTCTCCCTGGGGGGCAACCCGCAGCTCCTCCTGCCCTTCTGTGAGGGGCCCTGCAGGTGCGTGCCTTCTGATTGCCCTTCAGGAAACCAATCGTTCCCCCCACAAACACTTCCCTCTCACTCATTTGGAGCCAGCCCCTCTCCAGACGCTGGCTATGGGATAGGGAGCAGGGTGACTGCACTGTGGCCATGCCCTTGTAGAAACCAGACCCTGCCACCACTGGTGGTGAGCTGCCCAATCTCACCTGTACATTCACTAAGTGGTCTGGGCTGAGGAGAGGCTCAGGCTCAACAAGAAGAAAAAGAGTAGGCTCTTAGCCTCCCTTGGCTTTGCCAGGGCCCCCCATGCCACAGGATTTTAAAGAAATGCCCAACAGAGGAAAGAAAAAATATCATCACATGTTACTGTAACAACCAAGCTCAAAAACCAGAAGGGAAGTGAGAGGAATAAGGGATACACTTTTAGGAGA
Organism: Homo sapiens; assembly: GCF_000001405.40. Taxonomy (NCBI): domain Eukaryota; kingdom Metazoa; phylum Chordata; class Mammalia; order Primates; family Hominidae; genus Homo; species Homo sapiens. The sequence continues at coordinate 45,630,072 of NC_000003.12, read as the reverse complement.
AGAGAGGAAGGGATGGGCATTTTTCCTCTGCAATTAGACTTACTGCCCCTTTAGCCCATTCTCCAAATTGTAGCCCAAGCAATCTTCTTATAAAACAGCTTTAATGAGATATAAGTAGCATATAATAAGCTGTACCTATTTAAAGAGTGCAATTTGGTATTATGATGGGAAAAGTTCCCTTGTCCCTCTCACAGGGTGTGCAATGGGAGTGTGGCTCGCTTCTTCAGTGCCCCCCTGCTCAAACCTCTAGGGGAGCATACAGGCTCTCCTCCGACTGCCCCAGCCAAACTCTGCCTCGTTCTGCCGGCTGATGGCCTGCCAGTGTGGTGGCGTCTGTCGGTGTGCTCCTGGCATCCTCTCGCCATCCAGCTGCTTGTATCTTCTTCCGCTGATGTGTTCCTCTCGCCGTCCAGCAGCTTCTGTCTCTGCCTTGCTAGGGTCTCAGGTTTTTATAGGCCCAGGATGGGAGCAAGGCAGGCTGGGGTGGTTTTGGAAAATGCAATATTTGGGTGCAAAGGCAGAAGTGCCTGTCCTCACCTAGGTCCCTGGTATAGAGCCCTAGCCAGGGACCATGCCCTCCTCTACCCAGCACTTCTCTTCCCTGCTTCTGTATCAGTATGTTGTGACATTTCTTTTCTTTTCTTTTTTTTTTTTTTTTTTGAGACAAGAGTCTTCTTTGTCACCCAGGCTGGAGTGCAGTGGCGTGATCTCAGCTCACTACAACCTCTGCCTCCTGGGTTCAAGCGATTCTCCTGCCTCAGTCTCCTGAGTAGCTGGGATTACAGGCACGTGCCACCAGGCCTGGCTAATTTTTGTATTTTTAGTAGAGACAAGAGTTTCACCATGTTGGTCAGGCTGGTCTTGAACTCCTGACCTCATGATCTGCCCGCCTCGGCCTCCCAAAGTGCTGGGAATACAGGCGTGAACCACCGTGCCCAGCCCCGTGTTGTGACATTTCTATACACCTGTGAAATCACCACAATCAAGACAATGATCAAATCCACTGCCCCAGAGATTCCCCATGTCCTCATGCCTTTTGCAATCCCTCCCCGCTTCCTCTTCCTCTCCCCAGGCAACCACTGATCTGCTTTCTGTCATCACAGATTAGCTTGTCTTTTCTAGTTTATATAAATGGAATCTGGAGTATGTACTTTATCTGGTTTATGTACTTTATCTGGTTTCTTTCACTCAATATAAATTGAGATTCACGCATGCTGTTACATGCAGCAGGAGCTCATTCCTCTTTACTGCCATGTGGTATTCCACCATATGAATGTATTAGTTTGTTTATCCATTTGCTTGTTGATGCACATAAGTTGTTTCCAGTTTGAGGCTATTACAAATAAAGATGCCATCAAGATTTGTGTACAAGCGTTTGTAATGGACATACATTTGCACTTCTCTTGAGTAAAGGCCTAGGAGTGAAATGGCTGGGTCTTATGGTAGGTGGATGATTAACTGTTTAAGAAATTGACAAACCGCTTTCTGAAGAAGTTATATCATTTTACATTCCTACCAGCAGCTCATTAGAGTTCCAAATTCTCCACATCCTTGCCAACACTTGGCATGAATAGTCTTTTAAATGTTATCCATTCTATTGTAATAGGTTATACAGTAGCATCTCATTGTAGTTTTAATCTGCATCTCTCTAGTAACTGATGTTGTGTGTGAGCATCTTTTCACCTGCTTATTTGTCATCCTTTTCTTCTTTAGTGAGACGCCCAAATCTTTTGCCTGTTTTTTTTCTTACTGTTATGAGAACTTCTTATACATTCTAGATACAAGTTCTTTATCAGATATTGCTTCACAAAGGTTTTGCTAGAGTCCTACAAACTAGCTGCCTTGGTCCCCATAGACTCTCAGCTCCTTTTCAACTCAGGGAGTCCACCAGGTTCTGCCTCTCTTCTCCCTCCCTGTGCCAAGGCCTGGAAATTCTCTCGAGGCAATTAGCTGGGGCTGTCACTGGGCTCACCTCATTTGCTTCCTATCTCTCAAGAATCACCTTCTTGATGTCCAGTGTCTTGAAAACCTTTGGTTCATATATTCTTTTTTCTTTTTTTTTTTTGAGATGGGGTCTCACTCTGTCACCCAGGCTGGAGTGCAGTGGCACCATCTTGGCTCACTGCAACCTCCGCCTCCCAGGTTCAAGCGATTCTCCTGCCTCAGCCTCCTGAGTAGCTGGGACTACAGGCGTGCAACACCATGCCTCGCTAATTTTTGTATTTTCAGTAGAGATGGTGTTTCGCCATGTTGGCCAGGCTGGTATCGAACTCCTGACCTCAAGTGATCCACCCGCCTCGGCCTCCCAAAGTGCTGGGATTACAGGCATGAGCTACCGCACCTGGCCTTTTTTTTTTTTTTTTTTTGGTTGTTTTAGGCAGGAGGTTCATCCAGTCCCTGATGCTCCATCTTTAGAATGGGCTTTTTCATTTTATATTTTATAAAAAAGAGACGGGTTCTCGCTATGTTGACCAAGTTGGTCTTGAACTCCTGGCTTCAAGTGATCCTCCCATCTTGGCCTCCCAAAGTGCTGGGATTACACGTGTGAGCCACCACATCTAGCCTAGAATGGGCATTTATTAAACATCACAAGTGCCAACACGGTGCTAGACAGTTTATATGTGTTTCTTCATTTAACAACAATTCTATAAAACATCATCACTTTATACATGAAGAAACTGAAGTTCAAAGATTAAATCTAATGCGCAAAATCAGGCTGACTTATCTATATCCTTTCCAGTCCATCCTACTGCACTTATAAGAGGGGCTAAGGGAGTACCGGGGAAGAAAAGGTCCAGGGGTTCTACTTATCCCTAAAACTTAGTATCTTCATGGTTTTGGGGCACCAGCGAATCCCCAAATCCCAGCTCAGTGATGGCAGCATAGCTCCTTCTTGGCTGCAGCTAGGAGATGAAGGCCAAGCCCACCCCTACGCACAGAGAAATGTGGCCCTTGGAACCCTGGGCATGGAGTGGCCCCAGAAGAAGGTGTTTGTGTGCCCAGGGCCTCTCCTTCGGGGACACCAAAGGAGGTGGGGGAGCACAGTGGATTTTTGAAAGATCATTAATAGTCAATAGGCCAACAGACTTCAGTGGGAATTATTTTTAAAAAATGATATTTATCATTTTGGCCTATTTCCTTCCAGTATTTTTTCAATGAATTTACTTTTTTTTTTTTTTGAGCAGTTTTAGGTTCACAGCAAAACTGAGCAAAAGCTACAGAGAATTTCCATATATCCCCTTCCTCACACATGCACAGCCCCCCTCCCTATCAACAGCCCCCACCAGAGTGGTACACTTGTCACAAATGAGGAACCTACATGGACACATCATTATCACCCGAAGTCCACAGTTCATGTGTGGGTTCACTCTGGGTGCTGTACATTCTATGGGTGTGGACAAGTGTATGGCATGTATCTACTATTACAGTAGCAAACAGACTAATTTCACTGCCCTAAAAATCCCCTATGCTCCACTTATTCATCTGTTCCTCCCCAAAAACCCCTGGCAACCATTGATCCTTTTATTTTCTCCAAAGTTTTGCCTTTTCCAGAATGTTGTATCTTTGGAATCATACACTCTGCAGCCTTTTAGATCGGCTTCTCTCACTTACTAACATGCATTTATGGTTTCTCCATGTCTTTTCATGGCTCAATAGCTCATTTTTTCTTAGTGCTAAATAATATGCCATTGTCTGGATATACAACCATTTATTGATGCAGTCATCTACTGAAGGACATCTTGCCAAATTTTGTCATTATGAATAAGCTTCTATAAACATTCGTGTGCAGGTTTTTGTGTGGACATAAGTTTTCAACTCATTTGGGTAAATACCAAGGACGGTGACTGCTGGATTATACAACAAGAATATGTTCAGTTTTATAAGAAGCTGCCAAACTGTTTTCCAAAATGGCTATACAAGATTCTTTTAAAAATCATAATATTCTCACAGGAAAGGGCAAAAACAAGGGACAGTTTCCCGTTTTAAAAGATGTGCAGCAGGAGGCAATGATCCACCAAGGATTACTCAAACATTTCTCCCACCTCTCTTTTGTGGCTTATGATTTTATACTAGGTAGGGTTAGCAGTGTATGTCTCCTCATATTAGTCAAACAAATAAGCTTACTGAGCCAAATAAGCCAGGGCAGGGCTCTGGCTGTATATTTTAGTATCGCCATATCTTAATCCATTTTGTGCTACTATAATGGAATACCCGAGACTGAGTAATTTATAAAGAGCAGACATTTATTTCTTACAGTTCTAGAGGCTGGGAAGTCCAAGGATGAAGGGCCCGTATCTGCCAAGGGCCTTCTTACTGCATCATGGAAGGGTGAAAGCATGTGCAAGAGAAAGCAGGGAAGGGGGCTAAATCCATCCTTTTACCAGGAACCCGCTCCAGATATACCATTATTAATCCATTCACAAGGGCAGAGTCTTCATGACCTAATCACCTCTTAAAGGTCCCACCTCTCAACACTGTTGCCTTGGGGATTCAGTTTCCAACACTTGAACTGTGGGGGGCATATTCAAACCCCAAAGGATCCCACAAACAAGAAATGCTGAGTGCCTCACACACAGTAGATGCCAAATAAGCACTGAACACATTCAAAAACCAGAGTCAGCAGGAAGGTGTTCTAGGTAAATGAAGGCTCAGAGACAGGAAAGGCAGAGGCACATACACAACTGTGTTCCATGCTTATTCGGCATCTACTGAGTGTGAGGTACTCGGCATTTCTTGTTTGTTTAGGCTCCATATTAATGGCATCAGTGAGCTATATATAAAAATCAGGCTGACCTAACTTTCTCTGTGCACAACAGTGGTTCTCAAATGGTTTAAATGGGTAGAAACTTTTCTTTTAAAAAGTATCAATGGAACCTCAACTATATATAACACACATAAGAGAAATCACTATGATTTAGGGTGGGACAGAGACCACTCTGCCTCCTAGGCTGTCCTGGCCCCCTGCAGTGGTTCCAGGAAGATTATCTGAAAACCATTAACATACGGCAAAACTGGTCAACTGCAGATACAACCCTGCCTGGCCTGGGCAGCCTTCCACGTGAAATAAGTTACCCTGAATTGGTATTAAATCATCTTCTGCACACCCAAAGCCGAAAAACAATTTGAACTTTGGGGGGCACCTACTCCACTCTCCCAGCAAAGGCAGCATTTACAAAAAAAAAAAAAAAAAGGAAGATAGCAGAGCACCCTTAGCAAGACAGTTGGCTAGAAGACAATTCCTGCCTCCTTCCTGTCCACAGCCAGGCTGAGGATGCAGCCAACCAGGGTGACGACCAAGTCAGCATCTCCTGTTGTGATGGAAAGTTTTTTTTTGTTTTGTTTTGTTTTTGAGGCGGAGTCTCGCTCTGTCGCCCAGGCTGGAGTGCAGTGGCGCAATCTTGGCTCTCTGCAAGCTCCGCCTCCTGGGTTCACGCCATTCTCCTGCCTCAGCCTCCTGAGTAGCTGGGACTACAGGCGCCCGCCACCACACCCGGCTAATTTCTTTTTATTTTTATTTTTTTGTATTTTCAGTAGAGATGGGGTTTCACTGTTTAGCCAGGATGGTCTCGATCTCCTGACCTCATGATCCGCCCACCTCGGCCTCCCAAAGTGCTGGGATTACAGGCGTGAGACACCGCGCCTGGCCGATGGAAAGCTTTTAAATAAAAAGGCTCTACCAGGCTAGCCAATGAATGTGGCCCTGCTCCTACCCCCGTCTCACATCTCGACTTTATTTTGTGCCACTTCCCTCTCAGTGAAGAAGGGAGGCCTCCCAGAGCAGTGCCCCCACCACACCACCAGACATCATGCAAGATCACATAGCTATGAACCACCTACTGTATGCTGAAAGGGGTTGGGGCAAGGGTCAGGGCATCCAGTCAGCATCTGCAGGGATGCTAGAAAGATCAGCCTGGAACATAATTTTATGAGTTATCCCAAACACAGCTTGAGCAAGGCTCTTTCTTGGCCAAAAGTTGCTGCCTGTGTACCTGGACAGCTCTGGGCATCAGCAGGTTCTGAAGAGGAGCCAAGTCCTTGGGACAGAGCTAGACCAATGATCACAGCAACAGTCTTCCCCCAGCCACTCTAAAAGCTCACAAAAGATCTCCAGGGGTGGCTGCTGCTGGGCTCCTGACTAACACGCATATCAAATTCCCACTTCTCAAGTCTGGCTGTACAGAATCGATGTGCGAATGCCCAACACTACCTCCAGAGACAGGGTCCCGTTTTGGGGGTAAGGCCAAAGCTCTCCAGCTGACTCTAGTGCACAGCCAGGGACGAGAACCACAGATGTAGATAACGCAACACCCTGCATCCTACCTGGCATCCTGGACATCCCCTGCCTCTGCCCTCTCCCTCACACACTCTGCAGCTCTCACGTCAATGGGTAAAGCCATCACCAAGCCACAAAGGAAGTACTTAAGACCACTATGGGCCATAGGGTCATTGTGCCAGCCTACTTTTTTTCATTCTGAACTTGCCATTAAAACACACATGGCCTCAAAACCAACGATGGCCTTACTTCATCACAGTGGGAAAGGAAGTTTCTAATGCAATTTCCCAATCACTGTGAGCTTGAGCTTGCCCTGCCAGACTGCCCGTAGGTATACTTTTGCCCAAGGACACTACTATTCCCTGGCCTAAATGATTCCTGGCCTCCACTCTACAGGGAAACAAGGAGCTCAAAGTACCCCTGAGCAAGTCCTGCACCCCACCCCCAACTCCTACATGAAGCTCTCCTCCAGCTATCGCCAGGGCAGCCCAGCCTGCAGCCTCTGGTTATACCCTTCTGTCTGGTCTTCCTTTTTCCTCACGAGGGTCTTAACTTCGAGTCTCTCCACACAGAGGCTGATGAGCTTTCTCAACTCTAATACGAAATAGGAATGGCCAAGCAGCATTCAAAAAGGTGTTCCTTGCTAGGAGTCACATGCAAAGAGGGGATGCCACTTGTCACTAACCTGATTGACAAAGATGGAAAATAAGGATGATAACAGTGTCACCGAGGTGTAGAGAAAGGGCTCTCTCATACACTCTTAATGGAAGCATAAACGTGGACAACCTTTCTGGAGGGCAGTTTGGCATGATGCATCAAAAACCTTTAAAAGGCCAGGTGCGGTGGCTCACGCCTGTAATCACAGCACTTTGGGAGGCCAAGGCGGGATCATCACCTTAGGTCAGGAGTTCCAGACCAGCCTGGCCAACATGGTGAAACCCTGTCTCTACTAAAAATACAAAAATTAGCCAGGTGCAGTAGCCACGCCTGTAGTCCCAGCTACTTGGGAGGCTGAGGCAGGAGAATTGCTTGAACCTGGGAGGCGGAGGTTGCAGTGAGCCAAGATCATGCCACTGCAATCCAGCCTGGGTGACAGCATGAGACTCTGTTTAAAAAAAAAAAAAAAAAAATTCCTTTAAAAAAGTTCACACTATTTGACCCCATACAGCAGTCTCCCCTTTCCTCAGTCTCAGTCAACCATTGTCAAAACACGGGTGAGTATAGTACAGCAAGATATTTTGAAAGAGAAAGACCACATTCACGTAATTTTTATTACAGTGAACTGCTATAATTGTGCTATAATTGTTCTATTTTATAATTGTATTTGTTCATCTCTTACCATGCCTGATATGTAATTTAAAGTTTATCATAGGTATGTGTGTACAGGAAAAGTCACAGTGTGTATAGGGTTCAGTACTACCCACAGTTTCAGGCATCCACTGGGGGTCTTGGACTATATCCCTCACGCATGAGGGCAGACTACTGTAATTTAACAGAATTTTTCCTAAGGAAAATAATTTAAAATTCTCCCCAAAATAGATGTGCACAGAGACAGCTAGTAGATTCCTGTTTACCCAGGGCTGGAGGACAGCGGAGCAGGGAGTGACAGCTAGTGGGAGTAGAGTTTATTTTCTGGGATAATAAAATTCTTCTAAAATTAGATAGTGGTGATGGTTGCACAACTCTGCAAATACACTAAAAACCAGTGAATTACACAATTTCTTTTTTTTTTTTTTTGAGATGGAGTCTCGCTCTGTCGCCAGACTGGAGTACAGTGGTGTGATCTCGGCTCACTGCAGCCTCCAACTCCCTGGTTCAAGTGATTCTCCTGCCTCAGCCTCCCGAGTAGCTGGGATTATAGGCACGCACCACCATGCCTGGCTAACTTTTGTATTTTTAGTACACACGGGGTTTCAGCATTTTGGCCAGGATGGTCTCGATCTCCTGACTTTTTGATCCACCCACTTCAGCCTCCCAAAGTGCTGGGATGACAGGTGTGAGCCACCGCGCCCAGCCTGAATTGCACAATTTCAATTGATGGATTTACGGTAATGTGAAGTATACCTGTTATTAAATGCTGTTGTTTAAGAAAGAATGTACAAAACTACTCATCAAAATATTAAACACTTAAATACGAAAAATAGAAAATATAAATAACCAATGCAGAGGTAAAGTTAAGTAAATACTACACAACTTTTAAAAATCATATTCTAGAGTAGCACTGCCTAATAGAAACGTTTCTATAATAATGAAAATGTTGGCCAGGCACAGTGGCTCACACCTATAATCCCAACACTTTGGGAAGTCAAGGTGGGAGGATCTCTTGAGCCTAGGAGTTCAAGACCAGCCTGGCAACAGAGTAAGACCCCTGTCTCTACATAAAATAAAAAAGATTTAAAAAATTAGCCAGGTGTGGTGGTACATGCCTGTAGACCCAGCCACTTGGGAGGCTGAAGTGGGAGGATTGTTCGAGCCTGGGAGTTCATGGCTGCAGTGAGCCATGGTCACACCACTGCAGTCCAGTCTGGCAACAGAGCAAGACCCTGTAAGGAAAGAAAAGGGAAAAGGAAAGGAAAAAAGAGAGGGGAGGGGAGGGGAAGGGAGGAATTCAATCCTGGAACTAAATCCACTGCATTTAGTGGTTGTCTCTCTTGGTCTCCTTTAACCTGGGACAGCTCCTCAGTCTTTGTCTTTCTTGACCTTGGTACTTTGGAAGAGTATAGGCCAATTATCTTGCATGCTGTCCCGAACTGGGGTTTGCCTAATGTTTCTTCATGATCAGACTGAGGATATGCATTTTTGGCAGGAATGTCCCAGGAGTGATGGTGTACCCTCCTCAGTACATCATACATGGGTGTACATGATGTCAACATGCAGAATAGAACATTTTACTGCTGGTGTTAACTTGATCACTTAGTTAAGGTGGTATTGGCCAGATTTCTCCACTGTAAAATTACTCTTTTTCTCTTTGGAATTAGCGCAAGAGCTTTATGAAGAAATATTTGAGATTCCTTATCATATTTTTGCCCACTATGCAGCATCCATTGATGATTCTTTTTGTTTGTTTTTTGAGACAGAGTCTTGCTCTGTTGCCCAGGTTGGAGTGCAATGGTGCAATCTTGGCTCACTGCAACTTCTGCCCCCCAGGTTCAAGCGATTTCTAGCTAATTTTTAATAGAGACAGGGTTTCATCATGTTGGCCAGGCTGGTCTCAAACACCTGACTTCAAGTGATCCACACACCTTGGACTCCCCAAGTGCTAGGATTACAAGCATGAGCCACCATGCCCAGCCCCATTGATGATTCTTGACAGCAACAACTATTACAGTGGTCTTTCCAAATGCTGACCTCTTCATTTTCATCATTCTTTCTACATTTTACTAATGGAATCCTCTGTACAAAAGTTTTCCCTTCTCCCCACTTATGTATTTATATCATCATTAAGGACTTGTGGATATTTATTTTATTCTCTGGGTTACAATACCCTTCTACCATTATTTATTTTGTTGCTCAAATTGGCCCAGATTTTGAAGCCAGTTTCTCAAGTTAGCTCACTTTTAACATCACCCTTCCTTGTGAAAAGGCTCAAAATCATGCATGTTTCCCAGGATCTTTGCATCAACATAAACTACTAAAACAAATGTCAACCTCCAGCAGAAAGTGTCTTGACCCCATCATGCAGGCTGAGTAGTGCAACATTCATATCGCTTCTCCCTTTCCAGGTCACTCCACATACCCACTCTTGACATCAGTTCAGTTTTCCCACCAGCAATTTAGAATACCCCATCCGACATCCTCCACCAATTTGCTTCTCTACTGGATTATTTCCTTCCATCTGGCCTGGAAATTCTCTGATCTCTCAAATAAGGCTCAGTTGTACTCCTTACTCCCTTCAGGTCTCAGCTTAATTTAGGGTTGCCAGATAAAATATAGGATGCCCAGTAAAATGTGCTTTTTTTGGGGGGGGGGGCGGGGGGTTGGTTATTATTATTAATTTTTTTAGATGGAGTTTCACTCTGTTGCCCAGGCTGGAGTATAGTGGTGCAATCTCAGCTCACCACAACCTCCGCTTCCCAGGTTCAAGCGATTCTCCTGCTTCAGTCTCCCGAGTAGTTGGGATTACAGGTGCCCATCACCACACCCGGCTAATTTTTATATTTTTAGTAGAGATGGGGTTTTACCATGTTGGCCAGGCTGGTCTCAGACTCCTGACCTCAGGTGATCTGCCCATCTTGGCCTCCCAAAGTGCTGGGATTACAGGCGTGATCCACCATGCCCAGCCTTAAAACGTGAATTTAAGCATAGCAACAAATAATTTTTAGTGACTGTCCCATGCAAATTCGAATATCAGATAAACAAGTATTTTTAGTGTAAGTACCATCACATGGTACATATTTATACTGAAAATTATTTGTTGTTTATCTGACATTCAAATGTATTTTTATTTGTTAAATCTGGCAATCTAAACTCAAGTATAAAGAAGAGCTCGCAGCTGGGCACAGTGGCTCACATCTATAATCTCAGAACTTTAGGAGGCTGAAGCGGGAGGACTGCTTGAGCCCAGGAGTTCAAGACCAGCCTGGGCTATAGTAAGACTCTGTCTCTACAAGAAAAAAAAATAATAGATAAATAAAGAAGAGCTAGCATTTATTATACACACAACTGGTAATCAGTTTAGATAAGACAAGCAACAAAAACATTTTATGATTTCCAAAACCATTACCTCATTGTCCTTTTCTAGAGAGTATAGTTTTTTAAAAAACATTTTTAGTGATGCATACATAAAGAAAAGCCCAAATATTGTTAAGTTTACAACGCAATAATTTTTCACAAAGTAAGCACTCCTGGTAAACAGCAAGCAGATCAGGAATCACAGCATCACTAGCCCCAGAATTCGGGTCCACTCTTGCTGAACCTAAGGACCACCCTGCAGTCCTGGTGGGTCCCAGCGGCAAGACCTTCCTCCCCACGTCCACAGCCTCCCTCCTGCAGTGGAACTGTAAACAGTGGGTTTTGGTATAAGCACTGGGTTCAGATCTGACCTCGGGCATCGTTGTGGCTTCTTCACCCACCAAATGGGCTGTGACAATAAATGCATCTCACAGGGTAGCGGTGAGGATTAAGTGAGATCATGTAAGCTCTTACCTCTGCTCCTGGCACAGAGGTGCCCCATAAAAGTTCATTTCCTTCCCTCCCTTTCTAGGAAAGGTGTTTTCTTCCAGGCCTTAGCACAGTGAATTCATAAAAAGATAAAACCACTCTCCTCACAGACACCCACATTCCACACACTGCACTTCACAAAACCTCCTGAGTTCTTCCCCAGGCCTCCCAGACTCTCCGGACTGAGCTCTCTCCTTCCCTGCCCCACGCCCCTCCCTACTCCTCCACTGGGTAATGACCACACTGTATTGGAACTGTCCCCATAGGACAGCAGGGCCCTTGAGGACTCAGCCACCCTTTTGACCTGAGCAGGTGCCAAGCTCACAGCAGGCGCTCAATAAACATCTACCAAGTGAGTGAAGGAATGAATGAATGACGCACGCAATCTGACCTTAGCTTCTCTCCTTCTCACAGCTCCCTGCTCCCATCTCCCCACTCAGCACGCTTTCAACTGCCCTCCTGCCTCCCTCCAACCACGGAAAACACAAACTCCAGCAGGCGGCTGAGTGTGTCCATGTGGGGCAGAGATGACTGGAGTGGCAAGAAGGGCTCAGAGGTCAGTGACCTCAGGCAGTGAGGTGCCCCACCACACGGAACCAGAAGGGAACCAGAATGAAAATCCTTTCATTTTTCCAGAAAAAATAAAATCCCGAATTCTCCTCAGAAGTAACACAGAGTAGATTTTAGAGATGCTCTGAATCTGCATTCACCAAAGAGGAGGAAGGCTATACCAGAGAAGGAAAAGAGGCAAAGTGAAAACTGTTGGTAGAGCCTATTAAAGCTGAGGGGAGGTTTTGTATTCTCTCCAATTTCCCCACCGACAGCCCTTCCCGTCCTCCCGCTCCCCAGCAAGTCAGAAGCAGAAGGCTTGGTTGCTGCCAGCCAGGCAAGGGACAGCCTCCAGCAGAGTCCACCCACCCACAGTTGTCTCCTTAGAACAAACAGAAAGTTTCACAAGCACACTTTGTTCAGTTCTGCAGCTTACCAGGTGAGTGACCTTGTGGCTCTCTGCTTTAGTTTTCGCATCTTCAAAACAGGAGAGAAAATTGGCGGGCACTTTGCAGGGCTGCTGGGAGGAGGAGAAATGGAGCAGGTAGACACCTGGCACAACTGTGCTTGACATGCAGTCATGAGCCTGGCGTGGGAGGAATGGGTAGGGCACTGGGCAGGGTTCATGTGATAAAATGGAGAGTTTAACATCGGTTCTGTGCCTGCCTGGGAGTGTAACGCAGGGCAAACCATCAGGGCCCTTTCTTAGAAAAGACAAAAACATTGCTTTTTAAGACTATCTTGGACTGGTGCAGTGGCTCACACCTGTAATCCCAGCACTTTGGGAGGCCGAGGTGAGTAGATCACCTGAGGTCAGGAGTTTGAGACCAGCCTGGCCAACATGGTGAAACCCCATCTCTACTAAAAATACAAATAATAATAAAATAAATTAGCCAGGTGGGGTGGCACACACCTGTAGTCCCAGCTACTAGGGAGGCCGAGGCAGGAGAACTGCTTGAACCTGAGAGGCAGAGGCTGCAGTGAGCTGAGATGGTGCCACTGCACTCCAGCCTGGGCGACAGAGCTAGACTCTGTCTCAAAAAAAAAAAAAAAAATAGGCCAGGCACGGTGGCTCACACCTGTAATCCCAGCACTTTGGGAGGCCAAGGCGGGTGGATCACGAGGTCAGGAGTTCGAGACCAGCCTAGCCAACATGGTGAAACCCCGTCTCTACTAAAAATACAAAAATTAGCTGGGCATGGTGGCGCACACCTGTAACCTCAGCTTGAATCACTTGAGCCCGGGAGACAGAGGCTGCAGTGAGCCAAGATTGCGCCACCACACTCCAGCCTGGGAGACAAAGCAAGATTCCGTCTCAAAAAAAAAAAAAAAGACTTTCTCATATCAAATCTAATGTAAGTGAGCTATCTGCAATGCACACACAGGCATGATTTGCTTGTGAATCTTGAAGAACCAACACATCTTTCAGGGAGGGGCCTGAACAACTACCTTGTGCAGTGGAAAGAAACTGGAATAGTGATGGGCTCACAGCCAGGAGGGGGACCCGGGTGCAGCACACAGCAGGGACTCAGGGTGGGGAAGGCAGGACCTCCAAGGCTACTTTCAGGACTTTGGCTCCAATTCTGTGGGTGAGGAAGAAGGGGTCGGGGGCACTGAAGGATTCTTTCCAAGCCCAGGAGGGATGTGACCCGGTTTTGTTTTTACAGGATCCATCTGCCTGCTAAGTAGGTCAGGTCTTTGGGAAGGCTGCTGGCTGGAGAAGAAAAACCTTCTAACAATCTCAACTCATTGACACTTGTCCAGCTGTCCCTCGAGAGAGTGAGACAGCAAGGAACAGAGGTTTGTCAGGAAGATGCTGGCAAGAGATCCCTGTTGGGGGCAGCTGGCAAGAGATCCCTGTTGGGGTCAGGAGGAAGGGGGCCCAGTTCTCAATTCTGATTCCAAAATTACTCATATCAAAATAGAACCCAGCCATTCCTGCGAAAAATAAAGGCAGAAACTGGGGTGACACAAGTCTCCCAGAAAGTTTCTTAAACCAGAGGGAAGCAGCATTGCCAACAAGTAGCAGAAAGGGAAAATGTTTCATATGCTGGCTTCTGAACTCTATTTTTAATCCCTAGAGGCCCCTGAAGGCTGGCTGAAGATGCCGCCCCAAAATATGCCACTTTGACATAGTATTATATCAAACTAAAGACACTTGAAAAACAGCAGATGCAAGAAGGGCATCTTCATCTTCAGGAGACGAAAACTCCCATGTAAAAGGTACCCCCTCCCTATGGACATACAGTGCGGAATGACAGACATTGGAGGCTTAGAAGGGAAGGGGAAGAGGGTGGGTGGGGAGTGAGGGATGAGAAATTACTTTTTTTTTTTTTTGAGACAAGTTGTCAACCCACCCAGGTTGGAGTACACAGGCGTGACTATGGATCACTGCAGCCTCAACTTCCCAGTCTCAGGCAGTCCTCCCACCTCAGCCTCCAAAGTAGCTGGAACCACAGGCACGCACCACCTTGCCCGGCTAATTTTTCGCATTTTTAGTAGAGATGGGGTTTTGCCATGTGGCCCAGGCAGCCTCAACTTCCCAGGCTCAAGATATCCCCACTCCCCTCAGCCTCCCAAAGTGCTGGGATTACTGCCCAGCCAGAAATTACTTAGTGGGAACAATTTACACTGTTCAGTTGATGGTTACACTAAAACCCAGATTTCACCAGTAGGCAATAGATCCATGTAACAAAAGTGCACTTCTCCCCCCTAAATCCATACAAATAAAATACAAAATAAAATAAAAGGTGCCCTCCCTGTACCATGAGAAAACAAACACTCTTCAATGGAGAGTAACAGCAGAGAAAATTCTGTACAAACAGACCTTGTTAAAATAAGGCTTACTTTCCTTTAGCCTCCCCACATAATTTGGTTACTTTCCCACAAATGCCTCTCTTTGTTCAACCTCATATAAACACATGTATGTTTTGCCACTGCTTTGGGTCTTCATTTGTTTATGAGGGCTCCCGTGTCACATAGAACTTTTATTAAATGTGTATGCTCTTCTATTTACCTATGTCAATTTAGTTTTCAGACCCCACCAGGACCCCAAGAGAGAAGAGGGGAAGTTCTGCTCCCCGACATCCTCTATTGGCCCAACTTTCACTAAAGTCCCCAAATCTACAACAAAGTTAATTTTAGTTCACTCAAATTCTTTAAAATTAAATATCTATGTGTAAAAGAAAAAAAAGTCTATCCTAACAGTGATTATCCCTAGAGTAGGATGATCGGTGACCTTTCCAATTTTTTTCTATACTTTCTGACTTTTCTACAGTTAGCTGTGTTTAAGGTTTAAAAAACGGCAAAAAAAAAAAAAAACACCCAGGAATTTATTTTTTATTTTATTATTATTATCACTTTTTTTGAGACAGGGCCTCATTCTGTTGCCCAGGCTGGAATGCAGTGGTGTGATCATGGCTCACTGCAGCTTTGACCTCCTGGGCTCATATGATCCTCCCACCTCAGCCTCCCCGGTACCTGGAACTATAGGCACGCACCACCACGCCCAGCTAATTTTTTTATTTTTCGTAGAGACAAAGTTTCACCATGTTGCCCAGGCTGGTCTTGAATCTCTAAGCTCAAGCAATCCCCCTGCCTCAGCTCCCAAAGTGCTGGGATTACAAAGTGCGTGAACCACAGCACCCGGGCAGAGGATTTCCTTTTTTTTTTTTTTTTTTAACTACAGGTGCCCGCCACCACGCCCGGCTAATTTTTTATATTTGTTGTAGAGGCTGGGTTTCACCATGTTAGCCAGGATGGTCTCGATCTCCTGACCTCGTGATCCACCCGCCTCGGCCTCCCAAAGTGCTGGGATGACAAGCATGAGCCACTGTGCCCAGCCTAAGAGGATTTCTGTACTAGAGAAAACTGGTAAAAGCAAAAACAAAAAAATGTTTTTTAAATCAAACTCTTAAGAGAGCAAAGAAGCAAAGTAAAATAGTGATGGGCTCACAGCCCATCACTATCAAGAAAGGAATAAAATATCTTGTGAAGATAATATTTTAACAGAGGAAATTGGGAGGGTATCAGCCAAGCGTTGCCAGCTCAGAGAACAGGTGGCTTAGAAAGCAACAAGTAAAGCAGGGCCCCCAAGAAATTCTAAAAACAGCTGGAGAATCAGAGGAACTTTCACACTGCTGTGGGAATGCTAAGTGGCACGGCCACTTTGGAAAAGTTTTTGGCAGTTGCTAAAAAAGTTATACATACACCTACTCCATGATCCAGCAATTCTACTCCTAGGTATTTACCCAAGAGAAACGAAAGCCTGTGTCTATACAAAGACTTGTACATATAAGGTGCAGTGGCTCATGCCTATAATTCCAGCACTTTAGGAGGCCAAGGCAGGAGAATCACTTGAAGCCAGGAGTTCAAAACCAACCTGGACAACATAGCGAGATCCCATATTTACAAAAGAAAAAAACAAACAAAAAAAAAACCCAAAGTCTTACACAAAAACAATCCTAACAGACTTATTCATAATAGCCAAAAATGAAAAAAAAAAAAAAACCTCAACAGGGAAATGGAAAAACAAATCTTGTGGTGTATCCATACAATGTAATATTACTCAGCAGTAAAACAAAAGCACAATTGATAATGCAAAAAGCCCAGTTGATAATGCAACAGCATAGCTGAATTTCACAGATATTATCTGAGTGAAATAAGCTGGACAAAGGAGTACTATAGTTGATTCTCATTATTTGGCAAGAATACTGAATCAGTCAATACTGAACCACTGCTTCTGGCAGAAATACAGGGTTAGGTTTCTGAAAACTTCTGACCACAACACTTTCATCAACTGATGAATATATGACCTTGTTTTATGTGTGCTTCTATTTAGAGACACCTTCCTTAGTATATATTGTTGATTCATTAACATCGAACCCTCAGCCAACAGCCCTGTAGCTCGTGCCTGAAGAAAGCTTCTCTCATACATATTCTCGTTGTAAAGCACATCACAGCCCTCTTGCTCTTAGGAACACTAGAAAGCACTCCAGCACTGTGCCTGGGGGCCATTTGAAACAGCAAAATCATCAACAAAAACCACAAAAATGCAAAAACCATGGCACTAAATAGACCATGAAAAGGACACCTGTTTACTGCATGACCTGAAACAAGAAGGCGGAGCGTTGCCTTGTTCGACTTCAGCTGGGAAGATAGGCGTCAGGGGACTCAAACTTTTCAGCACTCTGTTATATCTGTGAATGATCACAAAAGAACTGTGAGTATTAATTTTGGGGTTACAAATAAATTTTAGCAAGTAAGCTGATTCACAAATACAGAATCTGTGGATAATGAAGATCAACTGTATATAAATACTATATGAATCCATTTATATTACATCTTAGAATGGGCAAAACTAATAAATGATTTTAAAAAATCAGAATTGTAGTTGCCTGGAGGTGAGCACTAACTGGAAAGAAGCATGAGGGAACTTTCTGGGGATGGAACTATTCTATATCTTGATAGGAATGTGGGTCACACAGGTGCATGCATCTGTCAAAACTCACTGAACTACACATTTCTCTGTATGCAAATACAGCATTTTGAAAACAATTCCTAGACACTCCTCCTATCAAGAAGTGAGAGTGTGGAAAGGCTTGTGAATGCTTAAAGTAATAGAGCACAGCAGAATGACACTAAATGACTTCCAGGCATTGAGCCTGACCCCAAGTATCCAATGCAGACATCAAATAGCCTGCAAAAGGCCTGGCACAGTGGCTCACACCTGTTATCCTAGCACTTTGGGAGGCCGAGGTGGGAGGATCACTTGAGCCCAGGAGTTCAAGACCAGCCTGGGCAAGACAGCGAGACCCTGCCTCTACAAAAATTAACAAATTAGCCAGGCATGGTTGTGCATACCTGTGTTTCCAGTTATTCGGGGGGCTGGGATGGGAGGATTGCTTGAGCCCAGGAAGCCAAGGCTACAGTGAGCTAAGATGGTGCCACTGAACTCTAACCTGGGTACAGAGTGAGAATTTGTCTTTAAAGAGAGAGAGAGAGAGAGAGAGAGAGAGAGCGCGCACCTGCAAACCATGACAGAGCTGGGCAGAAGCCATGCTAGCTTCCTCAACACCACCTCCTTTCTTTCTCCCTGCCTTCCTCACCGCCTCCCACCAACTTCACTTCCTCTGCTCTCTGGCTACAAATTTGGGCAGAGATGCCTCTCCCCACACCTCACACACCCACCGTCAGGCATGGGCAACCCAGAGAGGTGGCAGCTGTGTGCTATGGGTAGAGGAGGGGCTGCCAGCTCCAGTCCATTCATGGCTTCTAACTGACCTCTGTGGCTGGCCAACAAAGAGCCTCTGTGTAAGTCCCTGCCACCTGCAAGCAAAGCCTCAGTGATGTCAGGACAAGCCTCAGACAAACAGGCCTTTGCAAGCTGCCTGGAAAGCCACCTCCCAGCCTGCCCCTGCATTGGCCACAGGCTTATTGGGAGGCCCATACCCAGGAAAGGGCTCCATAGCCTACACAGAGGGATAGGACATAGGCATCCCAGTAGCCTGTGGCCCCTGATGAGCCAAATCCCAAACAGCCTTCCTCCCACCTCTTGGGACAGGAAACACCATCGTTCACTTCTCTACCTCCCTCAAGGGGATGGGCCATCTCTTTGGGCTTTCTGCCTGTACTTGCTAAACTGAGTGTATTTTTTAAGGCGCTGGAAAGTTGGCTCAGCTGCAATGACCACCTGCTCCATCAAGCCCTGTGCACACAGCAGCTTCGGACCCCAGAGCCCCCCTGCTTCAAGTGGGAACGGATTCGTTCTAAGGCTGCGTGGGAGCAGCCTGCCATCCCTTGCATCAGGCATTTGGCCTCAGTGGGCTCACTTGGTGGTTGGCAATCATGAAATCAGCCTCCCTTGAACAAATGATGATCTTTTTGTTTAAGCATTTGTGGTTCTGAACAAATCGATTGGGCTTGGCTTTCAGATGGGACAAGGTAAAGACGCTTCCATGCTTTTGAGAAAATGACAAAGCAAGAGAATGTATACAGCAAACGACCATGTGTTACAGCCTGTTCTAAGTGCTTTGTAAGGCACAGCCCTGCCCAGCAGAAAAATATGCAAGCCACGTGCGATTTTACATTTTCAAGTATCCATACTTAGGAAGTAAAAATAGGTGAAACTAATTTTAATGTTTTACTTAGGCCAATATATCCAAAAGTCTCATTTCAACATAGAATCAATATGAAAAATATTAATAAGCCACTCTTTTCTCCATACCAAGTCTTCAAAATCCAGATGTGCTTCAAAAGCACATCTCAGTTCAGAAAAGCCACCTTTTGAAGTACTTCACAGTTGCACGTGGCCAGTCTCCCGTACTGGACAACTTAGATCAGATACTAGCTAATTCAGTCCTCACAACCATATGCACATTTTACTGATGGGGAAACTGAGGTACAGGGCTGCTGAACAACCCGCCCAAGGTCTCACAGCTGTTGGCAGAGCTGGGGGGTGGCAGATCCAAAGCCCACGTGCTTATTAGGCTTTTCATTCCCACCAACAGCTCCTCAAATCAAAGCCACCATGCATGCCTGCCAGCATGTCTCCCTGCTCCCTGCCAAACCTGCGCAGGCCTTTGGTGAGCTAGTCCCTGGAACTCTATAAGTTTCTATCCAGATAAAGCATGTATCCCAACCCTTTCTGGCCCCTCTAGTCCTCAGCTACCAAAGGCATCTCCTACCCACATGAGAGCGCTCATCTGAGTAACTCTGGTCAGGGTGAGGGATGTGGACAGCAGCCCAGTGCCCCTGCCTCCCTACCACGTCAGTGTAGGGTATGGATTGATGCCAGAATGTGTGTCCCAGCTAAAGGCACTGACACTCAGGAGGAAGTCAGGGAGTATCTGCTCCCCACATCTGGCCAGAGTGTACACATATTCATTCGAGAAGTCTTTTTTTTCTTGAGACAGAGCCTTGCTCTGTTGCCCAGGCTGGAATGCAGTGGCACAATCTCGGCTCACTCGCCTCCCGGGTTCAAGTGATTCTTCTGCCTCAGCCTCCCGAGTAGCTGGGATTACAGGCGCGCGCCATCATGCCTAGCTAATTTTTGTAGTTTTAGTAGAGATGGGGTTTCACCATGTTGGTCAGGCTGGTCTCGATCTCCTGACCTTGTGATCTGCCCACCTCGGCCTCCCAAAGTGCTGGGATTACAGGCATGGGCCACCGCACCCAGCCTCATTCAGTAAGTTTCCACTGGGTACCTGCTGTGTGCCAGGCAGTGCCTTGGGCCCTGGGGATACAACAGTGAACAAAACAGACAAAAACCCCACTACCAAGGAGCTCAGATACAGCAGGAGGAACTAAGCAATACCTGTTTGTGACAAAAGGAAGCCCTAGTAGTCCTAATTCAGTCTCTTGCACATAGTAGGTACTCAATAATAGCTGCTGAATGAATGAGTTATCCTGGCTTGGAACTACTTTTTCTGGATGTGGTAATGCAAAGATAGGTCTGGGGCAGGGGTAAGTGAGGGCTGTGGAACCCCGCAGGAAAGCCAGTGACCCACTTGGGGTTCATGCCCACAACTCCAGCTTCAGGAATCTGGAGCTCCACCCACCAAGGAAACCAAGGAACCATTCAGAGCCAGGCGCGGTGGCACATGCCTGTATCCCAGCTACCTGGGAGGCTGAGGCAAGAGGACTGCTTGAGCCCAAGAGCTTGAGGCTGTAGTGTACTATGATCACACCTATGAATTAAAAAGAAAAAAGAAGAGAACATCATGAAGCTCCCCCAGGTTATATGCTGACCGACTGAAATTCCCTTAACCGCAAAATGTAGTCAAGTCTCAAGTTTACCACAAGGGACAGGGATTCTCCAAGTTTACTGAATCTGGAGGTCTAGCACTTCTAACATTCAACTTCCATTCCGTGCTTGGCCCTCCTCCCACAAGCAACGTCACCCAAGTCCTCACCAGATAAGCTCTCCCTTCAAAACTCTAACAGGTAATCAAGGTCTGGTGAAAATTGGCACAGCTACTACCAGGCACAAGTTATGGAGAAAATACCTATGTAGCATCCACTGTTTCTTAGCCACTACTGCTGAGCAAACAGTAGCACTGTCACCAAAATATTTCCCTTTTTTATTCTGATTGGGTAATATTATAAATACATACCATGATTCATTCATTCAACAAATATCTCATGAGTAACTTCTACAGACCAGGTCTTTCGGTTTCTATTTTGAACCTTATCACTAATTCAGTGTTTGGTTTTATTTCTTCATTCTCCTTCTTTTTTTTTTTTTTTTTTTGATACCGAGTCTCGCTCTGTTGCCCAGGCTGGAGTGCAATGACACAATCTTGGCTCACTGCAACCTCCGCCTCCCAGGTTCAAGCAATTCTCCTGCCTCAGCCTCCCGAGTAGCTGGGACTACAGGCATGCGCCACCACACCCAGCTAATTTTTGTATTTTTAGTACAGACAGGGTTTTACTGTGTTAGCCAGGCTGGTCTCAAACTCTTGACCTCAAGTGATCCGCCCGCCTCGGCCTCCAAAAGTGTTGGGATTATAGGTGTGAGCCACGTGCCCAGCGTCATTCTCCTTACTTCTTAGAGACAGGGCCTCTCTTGCTTCTAAACAAACTTTGTCATTGTACACGTTTTTCACACCCTCCCCAACTCAGGCTTCTTCACTCCGTCAGTGGGCTTCTCTGCAAGCAAATGAGGGAAAGCTTCCAAGTTCAACCAATGTACATGCCTGCGATGCCCCCGCCCATACACACAAGGTGTCCGAAGCAAGTTCTCCCTAAACCACTGTCACCCTCAGAGCCAAGAGTCTTCTCCCAGCCAACAACCCTGAATCTAAAACTGGCTCTGAGGCTCAAAGCAAGGGAAAGGACACAGGATTATAAGCAGCACAGGACCTCCAGTCTCCATAATATGAAGAAACTGAGGACAGAAAAGTGAAGCAGAAAAGTCAAGCTTACAGCCAGAAAGCAGCACAATCAGGCCTGCAATGCAATCCTTGCTGCCCACATTTAATGTAAAGATAACTGTCAGCAAATGCCCTGGAACCTAGCCATGGCCAGCAGCTGAGCTGCCCCCAATTCCATTTCTTTCTAAATTTACTACCTCACTGCATCATCAGGAAGGAATGCAAACTGAGGTAGCAGGAGGGGAGGGAACAGGCGACATTTTGGCAGATGCAAAACCTCAGGGCCAGCCCTAACCATCACGCGAGCAAACGTGGCCATAACTTGGTTCCACCCTGCTGAAAGGAAATCCATCAACTCGGCTGACAGGGAGGTGCAGGGGAACAGGGAAGCTGCTGTTATTGTCAGAAGGGGTTTCGGGCACAAAAAGCAAATCTGCTCCTGCTTTACCACCTGAAATGGCCGTCACATGCTGGCCAGCTCGGGCCTGCTGGAATATGTGCTCACCCCCTGACTTGGAGCCTGCCTGCTAAGAGGGGTGCCTTACCCACTAGGTCCTCTAAGTACCTCAGTCACTATCCTTCCAGAACTAGCTGCAGGGAGGACCCATGCTAAATGCAAACTCCCTCCCTGGAATGACAGCATCATGGCAGGCTTCCAGAACTTTTTGTGTGCTACAAAACATGTTTGTGGGGAGGGAGGTAGAGACCCCTGAGATGCTCCCCACCAGCTTTCAGTAACCGGGAGTAACCCATCCTCACTCCCCGGGGACACAGCGACAGTCACACAACAAGAAAGATGAGGAAGGAACTTGGCCAAGTTTAAACTCATGGCTCTCAAAACTTAAAAATAACCTGGCTGTGGATCCCAAGAACTCCCTTTGAAACACTCAAGCAGAAAGTCTCCTGCCTTCCCGTGTGACCCCGAGACCCTGTGTCCAGCTGGTTTCCCTGTAAGGGGAAAAATGGAAAACAAAAACTGGAGTGGATATAAATATTCGCTGGCAAGTGCTACCCTGCGTTGCCACGCCTTGGAAATTTCGGTGACCTGTTTTGTTTTAGGACAAGGTTTCTGTTCAGTTTGCTGGATGGACTCTAAGGACAGTGTCATCCAAAATTTGGTTATAGGCCAGGCATGGTGGCTCACACCTGTAATCCCAGCACTTTGAGAGGCCAAGGCGGGTGGATCACTTGAGGTCAGGAGTTCGAGACCTGCCTGGCCAGCATGGTGAAACCCCGTCTCCACTAAAAATACAGAAATTAGCCGGCCAAGGTGGAGTGTGCCTGTAATCCCAGGTACTTGGGAAGCTGAGGCACGAGAATTGCTTGAAACTCGGAAGCAAGGTTGCAGTGAGCTGAGATATTGCCACTGCACTCCAGCCTGGGCAACAGAGCGAGACTCTGCCTCAAAAACAAAAGACAAAACAAAACAAAATTTGGTTCAAGCACCTCTGCACACAGCCTGGGGTTGCTCCTGACCCCCAGACAAGGCATCTTGCTCACGCCCAAGGGAAGTATGGGCTGGCACACCCCTACCTATGCCTGCAGCACTTGGGGATGTCACACGAGCACCCCTGAGGACATGGTCCACTTGCCCTAACCCACACCTCTTCAGAGGAACACAAGGCAGCCCATGTGCCTCCGAGCCTCTGGGGCTCTGTCCACTGCCCTGCAGGGAGGCACTTGTGCAGGCACAGGCTCCTGGACAGAAGAGAAAGCTGGAGACAGCCTCTCGTTGCAAGAGTGGGACCCAACTCCTCCAGTCAGCTCAGGCATGCCTCCACACTCTGCCTTCTTTGCTGCTCCTGGAATGGCCCTGGCTCCACCAGAGTACAAAAAGACCTCAGCCTTGACCTACCCTAGCCACAGTAGCCCCTGAAGTTTCTTCTTTGTTAGAAAGGAGAAACTTCCAAGAGCTAAGAGGCATCACAACACAGTGGTCAAAATCTCCAACTCAGCAGCCAGACTCAGCAAAGATACTTCATAAAAGTACTAGGCGGGCCACTTAACTTCTGTGTAGCTCAGTTTCTCCATCTGTGAAATGGGGTTAATAAAGTAGGGTTGTTGGGAGGATTGAACAACGTAATACAGGTGAGTAAAGCATAAGAAGTGCTTAGAAAAGTGTCTGGCAGAGAAACTGCTAGACCAATTTTAGTAAAACTGTCTCAGAGCCATAACCCCAGCTAAAAATCCCTTATTCCACCTTCACGGCCTAATGGAAGTCCCTCCGCTCCTTCAACAGGCATCCACGGAGCCCACAGCATGTGGGGCACTGGGACAAAGAAGGGAGACTGGCCCAGACACTGCTGGGCCTGAGCCCACTGTCCTATGACAAATGATCAGGCCTGAGACCCAACAACACCCAGGGCGCCACAGGAGCCCACGGAGAGGACTGGGTCATGCCGGTACAAACAAGGACAGTGAACGCCACAAACCAGAGCTCCCAGCTGCCCCCTGCACTAAGGATGACAAGTTTAATTGGAATGAGCGCCTCAAAAGGCCTGCAGGGTTGGTGATCATCATCATACCAGTGGCTTGCCATGTGTGGTTATTTCCTAAAGGACACCTTTCGTCCTTTCTAATCTCACTTTAATTAGATGCACTCTTCCAAGCAAATTGGCCTTTAGCTCAGTAAATGATTCTACATTTGGCCAGAGATCCAAGAATCACAGTGCCTGATACATTCTGTATCACCAGTGGGCTCAGCCACTACTTTGTACTGGATACTTTCTGCAGACAGTCTTAACACTGATTATTCTAAGAATGGAAGGTACATGAGTGATTCATGTTTCTTCTTTAATTGTATGTATTTTCCAGAATATCTAAAGTAAAAATGATTACCACTTACAATTGCAAATGTAACCATAACTAAAAATAAAAATTGTTTTTTAATTCCGTAAAGGTCTGGAAAGGGGCTGGGATGCCAGGCCGCTTGGCCTCTGCCTTTCCAGGCTCTCTGCCACTGCCAACAATAATGCTGCCCAGTCCCTGTTACATGGTTAGCTGAAACCCAGGCATCTAGTTATACCTAATGCCACTGTCACAGGACTTTGGGCCGGGAAGGACCCTGAGAGGTCATCTTGGCTCAATAGAGCTAGAGGGACTTGCCCAACATCACACCCTGAGCTGCTGGTGGTATCAGGCCCAGAAGACCTGGTTTCCTGACTCCCAAATATGTGTCTTTCTTGCACAGTTCTGTCTCCTATGTGACAGTCACAAATCAACAGATGTAAAGAAACATAACTTTTTAAGACCCCTGGCAAGAATGATCATGTCAAAATAACCGTTTCATGTTCTGGACTGTTAATGGAAAGAGCAGGAGGGCTGGATGGAAGAAACAAGACATTCTTTCCTGGTCACAAAAGAACAGAGCAGAAACATACCATACCAAGGAGGGAGGACTCCAGAGAGAAAGCATGACGGGACAGGCAGACGCTGTGGGAATCCATGTCGGGACGCGCCAGGGCTACAGCTCCCAGCAGATCAGCCTGCTTGGAAGGGATTGGTGGCATTGGCAGCACAGCACTGGCCAGAAGAACATCCGTTGGGAGCCACCAAGGCAAGGACCTCAACAGGCTCAGAGAAAACAAGGCTGGGATGACGGGGAAGAAGGAGCAAGGTGAGGCACAGGAGGGGTGGGCCAGAGCGAGGGTCTCCAAGGTCACAGTGAGAGGAGTGTGAATCCATCGCACTGGCTGTCCTTCCCCACAGCACTCAACCCAGTGCTGAGAACACAGTGTGACCTGACACGTATGCATCATTGACCTGCTGATTGAGCAAAAAGATGAACCTATCTAAATGAAGTTTGAGAGCTTCCTCACCTCTGCCCCTGGAAAACTCTGAAGAGAAGTGCTGTGGAGAGAGATGGCATGCAGGGACGGGGCTGAGGCACATGATGTAGTCACATCCCTTCAGAGAACACAGAGGACCGAGACGGTATCCAGTCCTTGACCACTGACCACACAGGAGTCACCGCTGTTACAGGGCGAGCTTCCAGCCCAGGAGGACATACAGTGGAGGTGGCCCTGGGCAGACGGCACCAACTCCTTGCTGTCTCCAGCCCAAGCTTCACCCAGGTCAGCCACACGATCTCCATTCATCCATCCCCAAACATGCCATAATGTGTTTTTACATTTTCCAAGTTTTTAAAAGTTACATCAAATCCCATGTTTGTTTAAAAGCCCATTTTTGCTATCAGAAATCAGACAGCTGATCCTTGGACACTTGGTGGTGACTGTACAGGGGCACAAGGAGCGTCCTGGGTGATGGTCATGTTCTGCCTTGATCTGGGTGTTGGCTACACAGATGGGTTCACTTTGTGAACATCTATGATATGTGTACATCGTACATCAATAAAAGGTTAAGAATACATGTCTTCCTGACTTAGGAAGATTGCCTGGTCCATTAAAAAAATGCATGGGCTGGGCACAGTGGCTCACGACTGTAATCCCAGCACTTTGGGAGGCTGAGGTGGGAGATCACTTGAAGCTGGGAGTTCAAAACCAGCCTAAGCAATATGGTGAGACTCTGCCTCAATTTTTTAAAAGAATGCACAGAGACTGCCCGATGTCTAAAGGATTGGGCATCCCCATATCCCTGGGTGTGCATCTGCAGGGCCAGAGAGATTGGAGTCTTGAATGTCACTGACAAATGTTACCAGCAGAGTCAGAAATTTACTTCCATGTCAATGGAAACCTGGATTCGGCTGGTTCAAATTATGGCACATCTCCAAAAGGCATTCTGGTGGCAGTCCCCACGTCATCATATCTAGTCATGCCAGTCACTCAGACAGAGGCACACAGCTGTTGAGCTTCTGTCACTTTCTTCCACTTCAGCAGTTGGTTTGGGTTTAATGAAATGCCTGATATGGGAGGAGGCTGGTTAGCCAGTGCCTCTGGGGAACACAGACAGACCTCTGTTCTGGAATTCTGGAGGGGCTGCTTTATTACAAGACTAGCCCATGTTGTTTCCTTTTATGTGAAAAATGCTCGATTTTTTAATCTAGGCTGGAATTAAGCACCATATTTCAAGCATCTATTGCTAATAAAGTCTGATAAACAGTAATTAAAAAGTCATGAAGGGCCAGGTGCAGTGGCTCACGCCTGTAATCCCAGCACTTTGGGAGGCCAAGGCGGGCAGATCACCTGAGGTCAGGAGCTCAAGACCAGCCTGGCCAACATGGCGAAACCCTGTCTCTACTGAAAATACAAAAATTAGCCGGGCATGGTGGTGCGCGCCTGTAATCCCAGCTATCCAGGAGGCTGAGGCAGGAGAATCGCTTGAACCCGGGGAGGCGGTGGCCGCAGTGAGCCAAGATCGCACCACTGCACTCCAGCCTGGGTGACGGAGTGAGCCTCCGTCTCAATTTAAAAAAAAAAAAAAAAAGTCATGAAAACGAGGAGCAGCTCAGTGTGCAACAGACTGTCAGATGGAAGGGCATCTGTAGTCATGTAGACATGCAGATAGGGCATCTGTAGTCATGCAAATAGGACATGTAGGTACATAGATAGGACATCCACATGTTCCTTGCTTGGACTGCTCGTTTAACCCTGTGCATTGCCAGGAAAGTAAAATCAAGTAAGACAGGCTCCCTGGCCCCGGTCAGGGCAGGGCCATTCTCAGGAGGAGTCACACCTGCTTTCAGGATCCCAGGCTAAGGGGGGTCTGTCACTGCAGTTTTCTGGGTTAGGATACTGCTGAAAGGACATCCACCAAAGACAGAAAAACCAAACACAATGCCAACCCTTCCTTTCTCCATGCTGGTGAGGAGCAGGCCTGTCCATCCACTTCCTGGGTACAGGAGACCCTGGAACCTGCTTATTCTTGCCTTTCCCACCCCTCTGGTCCTAACAGCGAGCAGAATGTGGCTCTCTCCTGGTTAGCTTTAGCCGTGACAGATCCCCAGGCCCACCCACAGCAGGGAGGGTGAGCACAGGGGCTTCAGGTCCAGGGGACACAAAAGTCCACAGCCCAGGCCGGGCGCAGTGGCTCACGCCTATAATCCCAGCACTTTGGGAGGCCAAGGAGGGTGGATCACAAGGTCAGGAGATCGAGACCATCCTGGCTAACACAGTGAAACCCCATCTCTACTAAAAACATATATATAAAAAATTAGCTGGGCGTGGTGGCGGGCGCCTGCAGTCCCAGCTACCCGGGAGGCTGAGGCAGGAGAATGGCTTGAACCTGGGAGGCGGAGCTTGCAGTGAGCCAAGATCGCGCCACTGCACTCCATCCTGGGCGACAGAGCGAGACTCTGTCTCAAAAAAAAAAAAAAAAAGTCCACAGCCTGAAATATGGGGGAAGAAGGCATGGAAAACGCAAGGAGCCCACAAAAGCTCCCTACAGTACGTGGGTGGAGAATGAATCTGGAGGGGCAATAGAAGGCATCCACTCAGACGTGAGAGACCACCTAGTCCCACCATGCAAGTGGTCAGAGCAGAAGCAAAATCCCGACTGGTATGGGAGCACCACTACTTGTACCCATATGGTCTTGAGCAAGTCACTTAACCTCTCTGGCCTCGGTTTCTCAACTGTAAACAGAGAATGGTGCCTACATCAAAACTAAGTGTGCAGGTTAAATGCCAACAAGGCCCACAAAGCACTGAACTCCAGTGCCCGGCACACCACTGGCACTTGACACACGGTAGCTACTACTAGAACCATAATGCCCAAGTCACCCGCTCCTACCTGCCCCCAGGAAGGGGGCACTGTGGGGATGCTGCAAAGGCCCTTCGATGAAGGCGAGGACAGGGGAGGGCACAGCTGCTGGGGTGCGGCAGGCAGGTTGCCCTCCTGTCAGCCCCTGAAGAGACTATCCCAGCTGCACAGAGCTGCCTCGCCCAAAGTCACCATCTTCCTGGGCAGCCCACAGCCAACAGCTGATCCATGAGGGAGTGTGAAGGCCAGGCCATGTCAGGCCAACTAGGATGACCCTAAAGGACTTTTCCAGCTCCCAGGCTCCCTGCGGGGTCAGGTCCCAGCAGCTCAGCTCTCCTCTACCCACTCCTGATTCCTTCTCCATCTTCCACAGGTGGGGACCCCAAAAGCACCTTTTAATAAGCCCTTGTATGGTCAACTCTGTCTCAGTCAGCTTCCCAGGAAACCCAGCCTATGACAAGTGGTTTATTTGTGGGGTTTTTTGTTTTTGTTTTTGTTTTGAGACAGGGTCTCCCTCTGTCACCCAGGCTGGAGTGCAGTGGCATGATCATATCTCACTGCAGCCTCAGCCTCCTGGGCTCAAGCAATCTTCCCACCTCAGCCTCCCAAGTAGCTGGGACTACAGGTGTGCACCACCATGCCTGGCTAATTTTTGTGTTTTTTGTAGAGATGGGGTCTCACTATGTTGCCCAGGCTGGTCTTAAACTCCTGGGCTCAAGCAATTCTCCTGCCTCAGTCTCTTGAGTCGCTGGGATCACAGGTGTGAGCCACCACACCCGGCTTGTGTCCTTTTTCCTTAGAAAGGGAGAAGAGGACCAGTGTGAGGAAGATAGGTGGATCACATGGAGGAGACGGTGGGGCACAACTAACAAAGGCACGGTGCCCTCTGCACCCCACCTCTGCAGTGTCAGCAGTGGTGCTAAAACAGAAGCCACACTGCACTAGGTGGTGTAGGCCAGGAGCAACGCCTAGAAGACCAAAAACCCAACAACATGGACAGAGAGACACAAAGAGGCAACGGGGACAGGGGGTGGGGAGGATGGCTGGAGGAGGAAGTAGGCCCAGCAGAGTAGGGAAAGAGACACGCCTCTGTAGGATCCTATTTTACTAAACCCACAAAGACCAGCCATGGAAAGTGCCAGGAGAGTTCCCGTGCCAAGTTAATCAGTAACTGGAAACTGGGCATCTTGAGACTCTAAGGGCTTACAAAGGTGGCAACAGGGATTCACAAGCTCTTCCCACAAAGTCAAATGCCCAAAGGGACACCTTCAGTTCAACCTAGGAAGGGGCCCAAGCTAACCCAAACATCTACTTTGCTTTGCTTTTGGCCTGAGTGACATCACCTCTCATGGGGAGTTGTGTCACTCTGACTCTCACTGCCAAGCGCCCTGCACCATTAAACATTCTTCTGTTTGGAAGTAGAATCTAACCATTATTTAACAAATGTAGCGTGTTGGGTAGACAAAATCTTTCAAGTAATACCAGATGTAGGGGAGGAAAAAGTATCTGTGGGAGGGAGCCCCTCAGCTGTCCAGCCTCCTCAGGCTACCGACAAGGGAGGAGTGGTCTGGAGGAGCATGTGGTCTCTTCATGGTCCCCACACAGGGCCAGGCAATGACTGCCAATCTTCAGACCGAAAGACTTCCTCCTCTGCCCCAAGGTAGGTCGCAGAAGAGCAGATGGAAGCTCTGCCACCAAAGCAGGTGTGGAGCAAACCCTCTCCTACATAGCTGGCAGCTCAGCCCTGGCATGAGCTCTGCAGGAAGCAACCAAGCCACACCTAAAGGACACAAACCACGCAGCCCCACAGTCCCACTCCTGGGAGCTCATCTTGCAGCTACGCCTGCCCCTTGTAGGTGGGTACATTCCAAAGGCCCATCAGTGAGGGCTGCTTAGGTGACCTTAGGTGACCTAGGCACATTGCACAGCAGCCACGTATAGCCAGCTGAACACATGCTGATGTAGAGCCACTGCCAAGACGCTGTGCAGTGGAACAGCATGCCACCACTGGGGCTGGCAGAAACACACACATGCTTATTACACCCAGAACACTTGACTAGACAGACCAGGGAAAGAGGCTCGATTTTCACTGTGCGTGCTTGCTTATCTGTGAAGTTTATACAAAAAATGAATAAAATACACGATTCCGTTTCTAAATGAAATTCCAGAATAGGTAAATGCCATAGGGACAGAATGCACATTGGTTGTTGCCAGGAGCTGGGAGGGGATGGGGGAAACAGGGAGCAATTGCTTTATGGGTATGGGGTTTCCTTTTGGGTTGACGAAAACATTTTGGAACTGGACGGAGGTGTTCATTGTACAACGTTGTGAATGTATTAATATTAAACACCACTGAATTGTTCACTTCAAAATGGTTAATTTTACATTATGTGAATTTCATCTCAATTAAAAAAAAACCATAAAAATAAATAAATAAAATAGGCTTCCAAATCTCTGCTTGGGAGACTGTTTGGCAATGCTGGTTAGACACATGGGCCCTGAGGCTGAACTGAACTGTCAGGTTCAAGTCCCAGCAGTACCCAATATGACCTGTGACACCGCCAGTAAGTAATTTAATCTCCCTGAGCTTCCGTTTTCTCATCAGTAAAATGGGCATAATGGCAGAACCAGCTTCCAAGGATGCTGTGACCAGTCAATTCAATAGTCAGCATCAAGTGTTCAGTACAGTGCCCAGCACAGACCAGGCCTACAGGGACTCTGTGCTTGCTGTCTGCTCTGCCAAGAACACCATTTCCCTGGGAAAACACATGGTCCAGTCTCCTGCCTGCCTTTGCTCAAATGCATCTTCTAGGTGGGACATTCCCTGATCACCCAATTTAAAACTGGAAATCTCTCTGCCACCCCCAGCCCCAGGGCTCCATTCCCTTTCTCTACCTTGATTCTCTCCCTAGTACTTGCTTATTTACTTCATTCACTCCCTGCCTCCTTCTACTACATTGTCTGCTCCAGGGAGGCAGAGGTTCCTGTCTGTCCTGTTCACTATGTATCCCCAAGACCTGGAATAGAGCATGGCCTCAAGATAGGTGCTCAATAAATTTTAATATATGCTGAATGGATGAGTAGCGTCAGCTAATACCGTTGCTCTGATGCACAGCATAAACTTGCATCTCAAGATAAAACTGCTGTTTGTGTTGTCCAATGAGCTTGAAATTTACAACTAAACAAAAGTTTAAATTAAAAGACCCACAGTATTTCCAGCTAACTATTACTCCCAAATGTGGGAATGTGCTGAGGAGAAAAGATAGTTCACAGTAAGATGGTGCCATGTGCTTTAAAAAATAAACCAGTAGGCCGGGCACAGTGGCTCACACCTGTAATCCCAGCACTTTGGGAGGCTGAGGCAGGAAGATCACTTGAGCCCAGAAGAACAGCCTGGGCAACCTAGAGAGGACCCCCCACCTCCACGTCCCCTTCCTCCCCTGCTTCCTCTTAAGTAGTCCTAGCTACTCAGGAGGCTGAGGTAGGAAGATGCCTTGAGTCCGGGAGGTCTAGGGTGCACTGCACTCCAGCCTGGGCAACAAGGCAAGACCTTGTCTCAAAATAAATAAATAAATAAACAAATAAATAAATAAAAATAAATTTAAAAAAAGTAAGCCATAAACAGCTACCCTGACCTCAGCCTGCTGAGTATGGGGTGAGAACTGGCTCCCACAAGGTTCTCATGAGAAGCAAAACACAATGCTACCATAAGCTGCACACATCCAGCAGCCCAGTGCCTCAGACCCTGGTCCCTCAAAGGACCTTGGGACACTTGCTCGTTCACGGAGAATAAGCGTAGACTGACAGCAGTAAGCCAGCTGTCTTCCTCTCCCAGGGCCTTCCCTGTCCCTGCCCTCCACTAGGCAGAGCTGCTACCCCAGCAGGACTCAGGCTATGGGGAACACGGGGGTCAATTATCCAAAGTTAAAAACTGAAAAAGAAAAACCCCTCCGATTCTCTGCGAATAGGCTGTCTTTCTAGTTAGCTCTCTTATGAGACAACTAATCATTACTCAACAGAAAGATACAACTACCACTAAACCTCGTGCAAAGAAAAAAAGTTGAAGCTAGCAGTCTCCAAGAGTTTGTGGTTTTAAAAAAGAGAATAAAACAAAACATGCAAGTTTGAGTAAAACCAGGAAGACACATTTTCCATCATAGTTTGTGCCACGGCTGTGGTGCAACCTGGCTGTTGGCTGTTACCTGGGTGTAGGCTGGGTTAGGAGGCACATGGTGCGGCAGGGCTCAAATCTCACCACACAGCAGGATCACGGCTGGCTGGGTCCCATCCCACAGTTTCTGATTCAGTAGGTCTTGGGTGGGGCCCAAGAATTTCCATTTCTAATCAGTTTCCAGGCAAAGGGATGCTGCTGATCCAGGGACTACACTTAAGAACCACTGCTCTGGCCAGGCGCGGTGGCTCACGCCTGTAATCCCAGCACTTTGGGAGGCCAAGGCGGGCGGATCACGAGGTCAGGAGATTGAGAACATCCTGGCTAGCGCAGTGAAACCCTGTCTCTACTTAAAAAAAAAAAATTAGCCAGGTGTGGTGGCACGTGCCTGTAGTCCCAGCTACTCAAGAGGCTGAGGCAGGAGAATTGCTTGAACCCGGGAGGCGGAGGTTGCAGTGAGCCGAGATTGTGCCACTGCACTCTAGCCTGGGCTACAGAACGAGACTCCATCTCAAAAAAAAAAAAAAAAGATCCACTGCTCTACAAGTCTTTCATGGTAGTGTTTGACCTGCCTCAACTGCACATAAGTACCCATCTACACACAGACACACACACAGACACACACACACGGCAGTCAAGAGCCCCTGCCTCAATCACTGGTCCCTCAAACAGCCAGATCAACCAGATCTGCCCAACCAACTACAGACTGAACGCTCAGGGGTAGCTGCCCCTGAGAAAGCTGGTCCCACTGAAGTCCTATATGAGCCTGTCACTGCAAGAGGCTCTAAAGTCACACCCAAAACCCTTGAAATCCAAAGTCACAGCATTTCTCTTTTCTGAGAGCAGTCATGAGCAATCCCACCCTGCTGCACCCTTCACACAT
The DNA here is from genome assembly GCF_000001405.40 of Homo sapiens. NCBI lineage: Eukaryota > Metazoa > Chordata > Mammalia > Primates > Hominidae > Homo > Homo sapiens. Next base: position 45,596,509 of record NC_000003.12, on the reverse strand, counting down.
GGGTAACCCCAGCTGCAAGGTCCGCTTTCTGCCCCAGGATGCTTTCAAGTTTCTGAATCAGAAAAAGCAGCTGAAAGAGGAAGCCCAAAACAAAAAAATAAAAAAACAGGCCACTCAAAGAGAGGTAACTACAGCCCACAGCATCCCTGGTAGGGGGCATGTTCCCCAATCTCAAGAACCCCATCGCCCCACCATAGGCAACTCCACCAGCCTCTCACTCACCAAAGTAATCAGCCTTCGGGTGAGCATCCATCTCTCGCTCCAGACGTTGGGTGAGGGCTTCTAATTTCAACTCAGCAGCAGAGGGTCTCAGCTCAGGACCTGGGACGAGGGGCTGGCAGGGCAGCCTTACCCTAGGGGAGCTGGGGCTGTCCAGGAGCACAGATCCCAGGCTACCATCAGAAGACCAGCCCAGGGGACCCTCTTTACAAGATAACTCAGGCAGGGTGGACATCACTGGATGGACAAGACTGGTGGGGCTGAGCTTGGGACCAGTGCCAAGGTCTGTGCAGCCAGGCTTCGGCCCCAGCCCAGGGACCGCACCCTGCTGTGAACCGTCCAGACCAGCTGGCGAGGATGACGGGGCAGAACTGGAAAGGTAAGATTTGGGCCCATCCTGGAACCAGGGTTGGGGGTCCACATTGGGTTTGGACATCACACCTGAAACCTCACCCCCCAGCCCCGAGTTTGATCTTGGAAGACCTCCTTGCCTGGGGCAGCTCAGGGCCAAGGGTGCTGACACAGAAGGGGTCCTGGGCTGAACAGGCCCCACAGCTGGTGCTCCGTTCTCCAAGTTTGGGGAAGGCAGGCCAGGGCTCACCCGCTGGGAGGAGGCAGTGGACCAAAGGCCTGTTGGCTTCTCGCTGCTGCGGCCACCAATGCCACTATTCTGACCACCGAGGCTACCCTCAGAAGACCTGCTGGAGCTCAGGGAGAGCTGTCGGTGATTTAGGGGATGGTCCCCGCAGGGTTTGGGCAGTGGTGGGTCACTCCCCGGGGAGCTAGGCCACCCACTCCCTACACTCAGGCCGATGCTGGGGGACACTCCTGGTTTGTCACCCCACTTTGGGCTTGCCAAGGAGAGGTTGTCATAATAGTCTCCATGAGTGAGGCAGGAAGGATCCTCACAGGGGCCTGGCTGGTGGAAAGCAGACATCTCAGAAGTCGCCAGGCTCTCCCTGGAACCACAGTCCTGGCTGCCATGCCTCGTGCCATGCAGGTATGGCCTGGATCTCTGCTCCTGCGGTGGGTACGGGGGCTGCCCAGCAGCGAGGGTGGTGACTGCCCCAGGTGCCCCTGTCGAGGCAGCAAGAGGAGGCTTGGCAGCACCATCCACAGTCAGCTTGCTGCCCACAACTTCCCAACGGGCCTGTGGGCCCAGGCGGCCCCCTCCATTGACAGGGCCTCTACTCCCCCTGGGCAGAGTCTCCTCCTGCAGGAGCTGCTGCTGCTGCTGCTGGAGGTGGATTTTGGCCATCTTGGTGGCGAACACCCTGCGAGTTTCCTCAAACTCGGGGTTGTTGCCTGCACCCTTGTCCACTCGGAAGAGCCCATCCTTAGAGGCCTCATACATGTTCAGGTCCTCGATGAATTTACTGGCCTCCAGGCCCAGGTCGTCATACTTATCCATGCTGCAGACAGGTGTCCGGGCCTAGCCCAGGTGCCGTGTGTGTGTGTGTGTGTGTGTGTGTGTGTGTGTGTGTGTGTGTGTGTGTGTGTGTGTGTGTGTGTTGAGGGCAGCGGGGAGATGCTGGCGAAGGGTCGGGGCTCAAGTCCGGCCCAGTACAAGTAAAGACTTCCACCTGCCTAGCGTGAAGGGCATGACCCCAGGATTTAAGAGTCCAGCCGAAGTTGAGACCTCAACGCCAGCTGGACCAAGTTTGCTTCCAACTCCCTTTCCCCTGGAGACGTCCTTGTTGGGGTAGCTGGTGGCACTTCGCCGTCCCGGGCCTGCTCAGCGGAGTTCTTTTCTCCTCTTCAAATTATAAAAGGAAAAAGAAAACAGCAAAAAAGTAAAATCACATCCTCCTTAGGCAACCAAACACGGAAACTCACAGCAAGGCAGCAGCCGACTGGGCCGGGTGAAGCTGAATCGGCCGGGAGGGCGCCGAGGCCGCGAGTCGGGCCGGAGCAAACGCGCGGCGGCTGAGGCGCAGGTACGTTCCAGGCGCTGGGTCCTCCGCTGCTTCCCCGGAGCTGCGATCCCGGCCGGCGCCTGGCAGGAACGCCGTCCGGGACGCACGGGCGGCCGAGCAGCGGCAGGAAGTTCACGGCAGCTGGGGCTGGCGGCCCATTGTCCGATGGCGGCGGCGGATCGGCGCGCGCGGGCCGGAGGGCGGCGGGACGCGGAAGTGAGTGCGCCAGGCGCAGTCCCTGCTGCTCGCTCGCCGGCTCTGCACGTCCCGAGCCCGCGCCGGGGCGGAGGGGGCGGCCGAGGGGCGGGGACGGCGCGCGGGCGGGCGCCCAGGGGCAGGCCTGCACCCGGCAGCGTGGCTGGGCCTCCTGCCCCCAGGCCTGGCTGGAGAACACCGAGGGGTGCCCCACAAGTCCGTCCCACGCTCTAGCACTGGGACTGCACGGGACTTCGCCGCCGCCACTGCCGCCCCCTGCGAGTCCTGGACCGAATTGGGTGCTCCGACCTCCCTTCCAGCCTCGGGTCCTCAGCCCGGCCCCGCCCCTGGCAGCGCTGGGCGGGGTCCTCCGCTCGGAGACGGGCGGCCTGGGTAGCCTGCATGGGCCCAACACAGGCGCTGGGAGTTTGCGAGGACTTTCGAGGACGCCGCTCCTCGCTCCACTGCCTCAGTTTCCCCGGTGGAAAGCCAGCCCTTTGTGCCTCTCGAGGCCGGCACCGTCCAGGCTGTGCCCGCCGCCCGGCTTGCCCGAGGTGCACTATTGGAGAGGCGCACGGGCGTGTCACCCATGGCTGGCCCACCGTCCTCTTTGACAGGTCGGGAGACTGAGGCAGAGAGGGGGAAATGCCCAACATGCCAACGTAACCAGCAAAGCGTAGATGGGAGCCCGGGCCCTCTGAAAGAGCGAAAAAGAAGAAAGTCTCGTTGTGCCTGCGCGCATTTCACGTCCTCAGTGCAGCAGTAAAAGCACGTGCCCTAGTAGGCTCGTTATTCGTAGAGGGACCCATCTGCAAGTGGATCCGCGCGGCTGCAGGGACACCAGGCCTGACTCCTTGGCGCCCCCGCATGGCCCGGGACTCCCTATACCAGTTCCCAGGCGATCCTGGAGAGGTTTCATTTCCCACACTACAGCCATCGTGATCCTAAGGCAAATACTAGAACAGACACTTCTCTACCTAAATCCTCAGTGCTTACCCCAGAATTAAATTGAAATCGGCCCCTTGCCGCAGCCTTCTGGGCCAGATCTAGGGATCTTCCCTCCCTCCCTGCACTCTAGCTGCAGGAGCTTCCTGGTGTCTGCCCAGAGCTTGCCCCTAAACTGAGTGGCTCATCTTTCCCATCCCTGCTGAAGTCACCTCCTCTTAGAGGCCTCCTCAGAGTGGTTCCTGTTGTTCTTTTTCAGCACCCTCTTTACTTCCTGCTCAGTTCTGATAACTATTTATAATTATTTATTTGTTGGTTAACATGCGTTTTTTTTTGTTTGGTTGGGTGGTAGGTTTCCCACTCCATTTGACCATATCTGTATGCCAAGTGCCTGGTATATATTAATAGTAGTACCTAATGGTCGAATAAGTGAATTAGTGAACCCCTATCTGCCAGAGTTGTGACAGAGAACAAATAAGATAATATATATGAATGTGCTTTATATTCTGTAAACCAGGGGTCCCCAACCCCTGGGCTACTGACCAGTACTGGTCTGTGGCCTGTTAGGAACTGAGTGGCACAGCAGGAGGTGAGAGGAGGCAAGCCAGCGAAACTTCATCTGTATTTACAGCCACTCCCCATTACTGGCATTACCGCCTGAGCTTCACATCCTGTCAGATCAGCAGTGGCATTAGATTCTCAGAGGGGTGCACAAACCTTATTATGAACTACCCTCATGAGGAATGTAGGTTGCACGCTCCTTATGAGAATCTAATGCCCGATGATCTGAGGTGGAACAGTTTCATCCCGTCTGTGAAAAAATTGGCTTCTGTGAAACTGGTGCCAAAAAGATTGAGGACCGCTGCCGTAAACCCAAAGTATGGTTAATGGACTCCATATCACCAGGGAGCTTGTTGAAAATGCAGAATCTTAGGCCCCATTGCCAACCTACTGAATCAGAATCTGCATTTTAACAAGATTTCTGGGCGGTTTATTTGCACAATAAAGTTACAGAAGCACTGCTATAAAGCACTATACTAAAATGAAGTATTTTTATTAAAAAATTTTTTTTGGTTTTTTATCTACAAGTAATACATGTTTCTATAACAACTTTGAACAATACAGACATATATAAAGTTTTAAAAGTTGCCTACCATCCCCTTTCTCAGAGGTAATCATAATTAAACACTCCTTAGGTGTTGGGTAATACTTATTAATTAAAAACTGGATTTTGGAGTGGAAGACTGGCTCACTTTGCCTGACCTCCAAATATGGCAGTTGTAGCTGACAAAGTGCTAGGAATATATGGCCATCCCTCTGCAAAGTCCAGTAAGCTCAGAGCCAGCTTCCTGGGTTTTCAGTTTGGACAGCTGGGACCCTGGTGCAGGAGCCACAGACACCAACCAGTGCTCTTACATTTGTCTTCTCTTTTCATCCTATCTTGGTGATGGCAGCAGTGGTCCATCTGGAGCAGCCACTGCCATGATGCTAGCTGCAATGGCGAGGTGAGGCCGTGACTGCATGCTCCATAGAGCTGGTAGGAGCTAGGAACAGGCAGGAGCCCCACTCCCTTCTGAGTTGGTGGGGCGGGAGCCCTGCCTTCCCAGGCACAGCTGCATCCACCCAGCTGTGGCTGCAGACCTGGGCATCCCTGTGCTCCCGGGGACCTAGAAAGCCCCCCTACTCCCACAGGCTCAGAAGTGCCTGCTCCTGTTGCCTGGCCTCTCCTGGTGCCCATTCTGATTTTGGAGCAAAGTTGAAGCTGAGCCCAGATACTGTCACGACCCAGCTGGGGGTGCACGCACTCAGGGCAGCACTGACACACCAGTCCCCTGCCGCCTCGGCCCCCTCCAGACTTTGGGTGCCGATGAGCATGGGAGGGAGGCCAGGGTGAGGCTGAGGGCAGTTCGGCATGTACCTGCAGGCACCCCTCAGCATGAACAGCCTGGGTGCCATGGGTGCCATGGCCAGCAGGTTGATGGCAGCAGGGGGCAATCAGGCTCCTGGGTGAAATGGGATGGGTCCCCAGTGAAGCCCCCTTCAAGACAGGGACAGCCTGAAACCTAGGGGCTGAGCTATCAGTCCTGCAGACTGGAGTGAGAATTTATGGTGCTTTTCCTGGGCCTGCCTATGGCTGCCGGTGGACCAATCAGCACACACTTCCTCCCTTCTGAAGTCCATAAAAAAAACCAGACTCAGCCAGACTCAGGCAGACAATGGGATGACCTGCCTGCAGATAGGAGCTACCCACTCTGGGTCTCTCTGCTGAAGGCTGCAGAGACATCGGGGCAACCTGCCTGTGGAAGGCAGCTACCCACTGTGGGTCTCTTCTCCACTGAGAGCTGGACACTCATCGGGACAACCTGCCTGAGGAAAGGAGATACCCACTGAGAACAGTTCTGCCACTCAGTGAGGCTCCTTTCTGCCTTGCTCACCCTCCAGTTGTCTGCATACTTCATTCTTTGTGGACACAGGACAAGAACTTGGGACCCACTGGGCAAATGGTGGCACTAAAAGATCTGTAACACAAACAGGACTGAAACACACCCCTTGCTTGCCACGTTGTGGGCAACGAGAAGGAGAGAAGAGAGAAGGAGAAAAGAGAGAAGGAGAGAAAAGCTGCAGCCCTTTGGGGAGCCCAGACCTAGGAGCACCCCAATCCAGGGTTATGATACCCTCTTTGGGGCTCTGCGGTTCCTGGTGTCTCCAAGCTTCCAGGTGCCACCGCATTCCCCAGTGCCAGCGGTGGAAGTTGCCTGTGGTACGCCTGGTCCAGCCACAGCTGTGCCCGTGCTGGCACCTGGAGCTGCCTGCACTGCCACAGCTGGCATGCCTGGCTGTGTGCAGTGGCCAGACCCCATGCTTGCTTGCTCACACAGCTCTCGCTGCTCCATGGCTGGCTTGCCCTTGGCAAGCATGGGATCCACACCAGTAGCACGAGCTGAGCACAGCCTGTCAGGCTAAGTGGGCGAAACAAAACCAGCAGGCCTGAGCAAAACTTGGGCAAAGGCACCACTAGCCACAGAGGTTTCTGTCTGGAAAAGCAACACCCCAAGTATCCTGTGACATTGGCACCTATGTGAGCCCACAATCCTTGATGCCCTCCTGCCTCCCCGTATCTTGGCTTAGCTGAAGTGCTCAGCATTCCAGAAGCTTGTAGGCATTACTCTCCACCCCCACTGCCATTCTAGAACAGTTGCACCATCTCCATCAACTAAACACAAACCTGAATCCACAATCCATGTATTTCCTGCCCCAACTGGGTTGTCCTCTCTTAGTCAATGGATCACCTTACACCGTTACAAAATAGATTATAAAGATGGCATCCCAGCCGAGCACAGTGGCTCCCTCTTGTAATCCCAGCACTTTGTGAGGCCAAGGAGGGAGGAATGCTTGAGGCCAGGAGTTTGCGACCAGCCTGGGCAACAAGCATAGTGAGATCCCATCTCTACCAAAAAATAATTTTTAAAAAATTGGCCAGGTATGGTAGCACATGACTGTAGTATCGCACCACTGTTCTCCAGCCTGGGTGAAAGAACAAGACCCTGTCTCAAAAAAAAAATTAAAAAAAAAAATAAAGATGGTATCCCATGGGCATCAAACTGAATAATATACCACTGTGAAAGGGTACTTAGAAATGGCCAGGAGACTACTGATGTTTTACTGCTGCTGTTTAATACATAAGAGGCAGAGGTCTTTCAAATTCTCTGCATAGCATTTAGAATCCCAGCTGTGGTTATTTAATACAGGCTGTTTTTGTCTGTTTCATGTGCTTGGAAACAACTTTAATATCTCAAAAAAAGGTGTTTATATTTGCATAACAGTTGTTTAAGAAGCAAAATACTGAAAAGTTAAAAAATTTTATCAGTAGGTAGGCAGAGTGTAAATGGTTTTGTTTAAGTGTTTACCAGTAATGTTTTATTTTGTTTTCTTGAATGAAAACATGTTCAATATTCTAGTTGACTAGTCTTGGTCCATTTGGGCTGTTATAACAGAATACCACAGACTAGGTGACTTATAAACAACAGAAATGTATTTCTCATGGTTTGAGAGGCTGGGAAGTCCAAGATCAAGGCAACAGCAAATTCAGGGTGTTAACCAAAAATAAAATCCTAAGGCCCCCCAACCATCTAAATGGACTTCCTCCTCAGCCAGGGCACTCTAAAATTTAACCTGAAAGTGGGGGTCAGACATGCCTCATTACACCTCTCTGGCATTAACATCAACACAGACCTTAAGTCTGATGAGAAATATTTACAATCTATTCTCTCTGGTTTTGTTGTTGTTGTTTTGTTTTGTTTTGAGATGGAGTTTTGCTCTTGTTGCTCAGGCTGGAGTACAATGGCATGGTCTCAGCTCACTGCAACCTCCGCCTCCTGGGTTCAAGTTATTCTCCTGCCTCAGTCTCCCGAGTAGCCGGGATTACGGGCACACGCCACCACGCCCAGCTAACTTTTTGTATTTTTAGTAGAGCTAGGGATTCTCCATGTTGGCTAGGCTGGTCTCAAACTCCTGACCTCAGGTGATCCACCCACCTCAGCCTCCCAAAGTACTGGGATTACAGGCATAAGCCACTGCACCCAGCCCAACAATCTATTCTCTCTGAAGCCTGCTACCTGGAGGCTTCATCTGCATGATGAAACTTTGGTCTCCACAGTCTCTTATCACAACCTAGACTTTTTTTATATTGATAACTATTTCAACTAATTGTTGGTTAGAAAAATTTTTAATCTACCTATAACCTGGAAGCCCTCACCCCCACCACCCCCCTCTTTGAGTTGTCCCACCTCTCTGGATGCAACCAATATATATCTTAAATGTATTTGATTGATGTCTCACATCTCCCTAAAATGTACAAAACCAAGCTGCGCCCCAACCACCTTGGGCACATATTCTCAGGATCTCCTGAGGGCTGTGTCACAGGCCATGGTTGCTCATATTTGGCTCAGAATAAATCTCTTCAAATATTTTACAGAGTTTGACTCCTTTTGTCAATGGGTGTTTGGTGAGGACCTGCTCTCTGGTTCATAGATGGTACCTTCTGCCTGTGTCCTCACATGGTAGAAGGGTGACCAAGCTCCCTCAGGCCTCTTTTTTAATGGCACTAATTCCATTCATAAGGGCTCTACCCTCATGACCTTCTTTTTTTTTTTTTTTTTTTCTTGAGATACAGTCTCGCTCTGTCGCCAGGCTGGAGTGCAGTGGCGTGATCTTGGCTCACTGCAACCTCCACCTCCCGGGTTCAAGCAGTTCCCCTGCCTCGGCCTCCCGAGTAGCTGGGACTATAGGCGCACACCACCACACCCGGCTAATTTTTTTGTATTTTAGTAGAGACAGGGTTTCACCATGTTGGCCAGGATGGTCTCGATCTCCTGACCTCATGATCTGCCTGCCTCAACCTCCCAAAGTGCTGGGATTACAGGTGTGAGCCACCGTGCCCGGCCCCAAAGTCCCACCTTCTAATACCATTACTTTGGGCGGTAGGATTTTAACATATGAATGTTGGGGCAGTGGGCATAAACATTCAGTCCATAGCAAGCTGTAAAGCATGGAGCCCCTGCAAAGCAGTGATCATTCCTTCCCATGGCCCTGCCTGTGCAACAGGTACCATTTTCGACACCCAGCTTTCCTTTAGGAAAGCTTTAGGCTGAGGCAGGACAATTGTTCATGATACACAGATACAAAAACTGCCTGCCACAGGGACACACTCATGGAATGTGAATTTTTTTTACTTGACCTGCCCAGAATCTCAGTAACATCAGTCAGATCATGGCTTTCCCTAGTGCAAACCCTCCAATGGCATCCTGAACCACACTTAGATCCTTTCCTTGGCTCTATGTGATCTGGTGCCTTGCCTCCTCTGCCTCCAAATTTTCCACTATCCTTTCCTCTTGCTCCATTCAGACACATGGACTTCTTTGCTGTTCCTTGCCCTTGCCCTTATCATGCATTCACTCACAGAACAAATGGTACTGAGCACCTGTAATGCCCCGGGCCCTTTCCTAGGTGCTGGGGATACAGCAGTGGACAAAACAGATGAACATCCCTGTCCTATTTGGACTTCCATTCTAGTACATTTGAGTGGGGAGGATGGACAATAAACAGAATAGGTGCATGCCTTACAGTACATATTAGAAAGGGATGGGAGCTATGGTGAAAAATGAAGCAGGAAAGAGGACATAGGGAGGGGTGCAATTTTAAACACAAGGGTCAGGGAAGGTCCCACTGAGCAAGTGACACCTGAGCAGAGACCAGAAGAAGAACAAGTGCAAGGAGAGACGGAGACAGCCATCTATGCAACTCTTTCTAGGAGTTTTGTTGGGTAAAGTGAATTAGAGGGAAAAGTGCCATGAAGAGAGGGTTTTTCAATTTGTTTAAAATGTGGGCCAGGTGCGGTGGCTCACGCCTGTAATCCCAGCACTTTGGGAGGCCAAGCCAGGTGGATCACTTGAGGCCAGGAGTTTGAGACCAGCCTGGCCAACATGGTGAAACCCCATCTCTACTAAAAATACAAAAATTAGCTGGGCATAGTGGCGCACACCTGTAATCCCAGCCACTTGGGAGGCTGAGGCAGGAGAATCGCTTGAGCCTGGGAGGTGGAGGTTGCAGTGAGCCAAGATCATGCCACTGCACTCTAGCCTGGGTGACAGAATGAGACTCCATCTCTAGAAAAAAAAATAGGCAGGTCACGGTGGCTCACGCCTGTAATCCCAGCACTTTGGGAGGCTGAAGCGGGTGGATCATCTGAGGTCAAGAGTTTGAGACCAATATGGTGAAAAATCCCATCTCTACTAAAAATACAAAACTCAGCCAGGCACAGTGGCGTGCGCCTATAGTCCCAGATACTCAGGAGGCTGAGACAGGAGAGTTGCTTGAACCCGGGAGGCAGAGGTTGCAGTAAGCTAAGATCACACCACTGCACTCCAGCCTGGGCGACAGCAAGACCCCATCTCAAAAAAAAAAATTACATTTTAATTAATTAATTAATTAAAAATGTGGGAGATTGGCTGGGAGTGGTGGCCTACACCTGTAATCCCAGCACTTTGGGAGGCCAAGGTAGGAGGATCACATGAGCCCAAGAGTTTGAGCCCAGCCGGGGCAACATGATGAAACCCTGTCTCTACAGAAAATACAAATATTAACCAGGAATGGTGGCGTGCGCCTCTAGTCCCAGCTACCTAGGAAGCTAAGGTGGGAAGATTGCTTGAGCCTGGGAGTGGAGGCTGCAGTGAGCTGTGATCATGACACTGCACTCCAGCCCGGGAGACAGAGCAAGACCCTGTCTCAAATAAATAAATAAATAGTAGGAGGTGGTAGGGCATGTTTCAACACTGGTGGGAATGACCCAGTGAGATAGGGACATGGGAGAGGAGCATTGCTAATGTAGAAGGGAGAGGAGAGAGTTTTCCTTGAGTAGCAGAGAGGGATTGGACTTCAATGCATGTTTCATCCATAGTAACAGGAAGGAAGGTTTTGGACAAGAATCAGGTAGGTAAGTACATGAGGTGTTGGAATCTTAGAGTGGTAACTCTTCTGATTGCTTTAATTTTCTTGGTGACATAAGCAAGTAAGGAAGGCATCTGAGAGGGAGGCTGGCAAAGTTGCCATGGGAATTGGTTGTCCGGGGAGTGGGAGGATGAATGGCCCAGGGAAGCATGAAGGCGCCCCACCCCAAGATTCTGGGCATGGGTCTCAGTGAGGCCAGCCAACACAGTGGCATGTTTTTCTCTAGCCAGGGTTCAGCTGCACAGATGTGGGTATGGAGTAGGTGGAGAATTGGGTCTAACTAGGGCTGGCTTTTGTCGAGTGAGTGCAGTGTATCTAGAGTGGGCAAGAGGGTAGCCATTCCTCTGCCTCGAACCCACTGTCCCAGATATCCACGCGAATCCCTCCCTCACAACCCCCAGGTCTCCACTCAGCAGTCATCTCCTTGGGATGTCCTTCCTTACACCCTTCTCTCTATCCCTCTCCCTACATGACACACAGTGAACATCTGTTTCATTACTTGTTTGCTGTCTGTCACCTCACTAGGATGCAGACCCCACAAGGCCATGGATCTTTGACCATTTGGTTCATTGCTGTATCCCAGGAACCTAGAACAGTGCCTGGCACATGGTAGGGGCCCCCCCAAATGTGTGGTAAATTGATCGCATCGGAAAAGGGAGCACTGGTGTGGTGTTGCCGTCTATAAGTAGAAGAAATTAATTGGGCTAAATGGTGACCCAGATTTGGAAAAACAGAGAAGAGAGGGCCAGGCACGGTGGCTCATGCCTGTAATCCCAGCACTTTGGGAGGCTGAGGCAGGTGGATCACCTGAGGTCAGGAGTTCGAGACCAGCCTGACGAGTATGATGAAACCCCATCTCTACTAAAAATACAAAAATTAGCCGGGAATGGTGGTATGCACCTGTAATCCCAGCTACTTGGGATGCTGAGACAGGAGAATTGCTTGAACCCGGGTGGTGGAGGTTGCAGTAAGCCAAGATTGCGCCATTGCACTCCAGCCTGGGCAACAAGAGTAAAACTCCACCTCAAAAAAAAAAAAAAAGAAGAGAGGCTGTATTGTTACTCTTATAAATTTGTATGTCTCTGCAAACCTTCTATAGATCTTGTTTGAACACTTTGTACCAAATACTTAATCTTTTATATATCATATTTGATGAATATTAGTGATATATAGCTTAATTAAGAATATGACTACATATAGGCCAGGTACGTTGGCTCACACCTGTATCTCAGCATTTTGAGAGGCCAGGGCAGGTGGATAACTTGAGGTCAGGAGTTTGAGACCAGCCTGGCCAACATGGTGAAACCCTGTCTCTACTAAAAATACAAAAATTAGGTGGGCGTGGTGGTGGGCGCCTGCAATCCCAGCTACTTGGGAGGCTGAGACAGGAGAATCGCTTGAACCGGGGAGGCGGAGGTTGCAGTGAGCTGAGATCACGCCACTGCACTCTACCCTGAGTGACAGAGTGAGGTTACATCTCAAAAAAAAAAAAAAGTATGACTACATATATATATATATGTGTGTGTGTGTATGTGTGTCTGTGTGTGTATAAAAGATATCTGAGTTTAGAATATCTGTTTACAGTTGGGCACAGTGGCTCACACCTGCAATCCTAACACTTTGGGAGGTCAAGGTGGAAGGATTGCTTGAGCCCAGGAGTTTGAGACCAGCCTGGGAAACGTAGTGAGACCTTGTCTCAAAAAATAAATAAATAAATAAATAAATAAATAACCAGGCATGGTGTTGCATACCTGTGGTCCCAGCTACTTGGCAAGCTGAGGTAGGAGGATCACTTGAGCCTGGGAGAGCAAGGCTGCAGCACGCCACCGCACTCCAGCCTGGGTAATAAAGCAAGACTCTGTCTAAAAAAACAAAAATCTGTTTGCACGCATATATATATGTTTTTCATATCGATATATATAAAGAATTGTTGGCTAAAGGGCATTTGAAAAGCCCTAGTCTAATAGACTGTAGGCAGTAAATGGAGCTCAGGCAGCCTATGAATTACCAAGGGGCCCATGAGGCAAAGGCCGCCTGTCTTGGGACAGAGCCCTGCTTATTTTGCAGCAAACTGAAAGGGCCTCTCTGTCGCTTTTGCTTGGCTATAGGAAATGTCTCTGCACACAATGCTGTGTGTGTCCCAAAGCTGGAGGGCTACTTCAGGGAGGGCTCTGAAAAGAATCTTTATATTTCAGCTGAGCACATGGACGAAGAATTAAGAATTAAGGTTCCTTTGGGCTCTTTCCATTCCACTGATGGCCCAGAGCAGGCCAGGAAAACACTGGCCCCTCCAAATCTGTTTCCAGAACAGATTGGTCTTCTCTGGCCCCAAGGTCCACTGTGGAATTGCCCCATGAATGAAGAGAAGCAGCTGCAATGGAGGCCCTTTCCTGGTGCTTGCAATGAGCCTTTGTCCCATGAGTTTTCCCCTGGAAAGGTGCCAAGGCCAGACCCAGATATTAGGACCGTGACCTTGTCCTGTGTGTGTGGCCTCTGCCAGGCTGCTGGAGCCCACTGTCTTTGCCAGCTTCAGTTCTTCACCCCAGCCCTTTGGCCATGCAAGCAGACCCAGCTGGAGGCATGTGCCTAGCCACAGGCTCCCCATACACCCATAGGGGAGGGAGGTTTCCCGCTGGCCCTGGCCCAACCCCTCCCAGGGCCATCTGCTCAGAGAGCAGCAAAAGATGTTTAACAGTACAATGAACTGTAGTGCTGATTTCTGAATTGGCCCTAGTCACTGGATTACTCTTTTAAAAAATAAAACATGCATATGGGTTAAAATTCAAAAGGAACAACTGAACATACAGTGAAAAGAAGGTATCCTCCCACTCCTATGCCCCAGTGTCCCCTCCAAAGCCAACTACATTACCAAAAGTCACATTACCGAAGTACCTGGTCATGTACAATTCTTTTTTGGTTTTGTTTTTTTAAAACACAGGAAGTAAATGCACTGCCTCTTGCTTTTTGCACTTAATAATATTCTTGGAAATCTTTTCACATCATTTCACATGCAGCTGCCTTGTTCTTTCTTAGGGCTAATATTTCTTTCTTTGAGTGAGTCATGGACTTTTTAACCAACCTCCTATTCACAGACATCTGGGCTGCTTCTGTGCTTTTGCTACTGTGTTAACCATAGCAAGGGATGACTTACAAACCATTTCACACCCGTGCAAGCATGGCTGTAGAGTAGACACCCATGAGTTAGGCATATTCTTGAGAACTCCACAGTGCTGCTGGAGTGACTTGGATTTCTTCACAGACACCAAGGAGGTCTGTCTGGCTCTCTGCGGGTTGTCATCTAGCTGTGGTCAGTGTGAGAATCCTTGATTATTTATAACAAGATCAACAAGGACCACTAACACATCATAGCACCTACTCTGTACCCAGCATCATTTTATATCCTCTACATAGATTACACTGTTAAATCTTCCCAACAACCCACGAGACAGGTTCTGTTATCTACTCCTTTACACAGATGAGGAAATAGGCATAAGGGAGATAAAGAATTTGCCTAAAATTCCACAGCTAGAAAAAAAAAATTCCACAGCTCGTAAGTGGAGGATCTGGGATCTGAACCCAGGCAGCCTGGCTCTAAACCACACCACCTCTCATAACCAAATAATCCAAGTGATTGCCAGGCTATTGAAGCTCCCAGAGCTACTTCCAGAGTGTGTCTATCAGTGAATGTTTGCCTGCCAAACCTGAATGGGGGGACCGTGTCTTCTGTTTCCAACACTACTGTGGGTCCAGGAAGAGGCCAGACTAGACTGTAAGCTCTGTGAGGGTAAGGATCAGGTGTGTCTTGCCCACCCTGGTATCTTGTACAGTATTTAATTAATTATTGTGAATGAATGAATGAATGAATGCATATTGTACTGGATAATAATCATGCTAATAATAGTTGACATTTGCTAAGCACTGGCTAAGAGTTTGCATTCTTGCCCTTAATCCTTATAACAGCTCTCCTAGATAAATTCCATTATCCCATTTTACAAATAGAGAAATGGAGGTTCAGAGAGTTTAAGTAGATTGCCTAATGGCACATAGCTGGTAAATAGAGGAGTAAGGATTTAATCCCTGAATGTCTGCTCTCTGTACTGAATGATGTCTGAGGTCTTATCTGCACCTAAGTTTTCAAATCCATGAATTTCCCACCTATGAGTTGACCTCCATTGGGTGCAGGCTAAAGGTAATAGCCACCTGCCAATCTTTTTTTAACTTTTGATAGAAGTATGTTATATGGAAAGAGTATAGCATGATGGATTTTCATTAACTGAATACCTGTGTGCAACCTGAACCCAGATCAAGAAGTAGCACCTGACCAGCACCCTAGAAGCCCGCTGTGTCCTCACCTAACCACCACCTTCCCAAGGGTAACTACTATCCTAACTTCCAAATGCATATATCAGTTTTGACTATCTCTGTTTTTCATGTAACTAGAATCACACAGTATGTATTATTTTGAGTCCAGTTTCTTTTGTTCAACATTATGTTTGTGAGAATCATTCACATTGTTGTGTGTCATTGCAGTGTGTGCATTTTTATGGCTGTGTAATATTCCATTGTGTGATGTACCATGCTTTAGCTATTCCACTGTAACAGGCATTTGGATAGTTCTCATTTTGGGGCTATTTTGAATAGTCCTGCTGTGAATATTCTATAGGGCAGGGCTGTTGGTGAACTAATGTAGACATTTCTATTGGGTATATCAATGAGAAGGGAATTGCTGGGTCATAGCATACTGGTAGATCCTAGTAATAGATCCGGCTAACCAGGGCTCTAAAGTGGTTGTACAGTTGCTATCAGCAAAGGAGAGTTCTTGCTCTCCCACATCCTCATCAACACTTGATTTTGCCATTCTTTTCATTTTACCATTCTGGTTGGTGTGAAGAGTTATCTCATTGTGGTTTAATCTGATTTCTCTGATGATAAGTAAAATTGAGCACTCCAAATCCCTTTATATAAGAAAGTCAGAAAACAAAGCCATTGCAGAACTACTGATTTTTTTTTTCTTTCTGAGAAGTCACTGAAATAAACCTCCCATTCTGTTTTCAGGATGATGTAAGAGACCTACCTCTTTCTTGAGATCCAGTGAGTAAAGTCCTGAGCTCAGACTGGACTGGCTCAGGGCCAATACTCAGTCCCCTTCATTCTCCTTCCCTATCCCCCTCTTATAAAAGAGTTAGGACCCCCCAGATCGCAATAAAACATGACAAAGAAGGCTTGTGTTCCCATAGTCTTTGTCAGATATTTGCATTTCATCAAACCAGTATATCTATCAAGGCCATGTACACACAGACCCAGCCTAGCAGAGCCTTTGCTAATCCAGCTTTGTCACTTAGACTTAAATATGCCCCAGATCAACCACATCACTGAATCAGATGGAGCCACAAGGCTTTCTTCTCTGACAGCAAAACCATAGAGGAATTTGCTATATAAGATTCTTCCCCAAGTGATCTGTTCTTTGAGCAGTTGTCTTGATCCATCAGAAACAAAACAAAGACCTTTGAAGCAACTGTCATTTAGATGTGCCAAGATGGATGTCTTAGTCTGTTTGTGTTGCAGTAACAGAATACCACAGGCTGGGTAATTTTTTTAAGAAATGTATTTCTTACAGTTCTGGAGGCTGAAACGTCCAAAGTCAAGGAGCCAGCATCTGGCAGAACCTTCTTGCTGCATCATCCTCTGGTGGAAGGTGAGAGGCCAAGAGAGCACATGCAAGAAAGAGAGCAGGGAAGGGGGCCTAACTCATCTTTTTATCAGGAACCCAATCCCACAATAACTAACCCACTCTCACAATGACGGCATTAATCCATTCATGAGGACAGAACCTTCATGGCCTAATCGCCTCTTAAAGATCCTGCCTGAACTTTGCAGGACACATTCAAACCCTAGCAATGAACAACTGGAATCAGTGTCAAGAGGGCGTAAGTATGGCAGTTCTAGAACCTGGAGACAAAATTACGAATGAGAGGCAAAGGGTAGAACAGAACAACCACAGCCACTGCACTCTGCTTGGTGCTTTACAAGATCTTCAGTTGGGCATTCGTCATTGACAGCTCTGCACGTTAGGAGCCATCCTCATTTGGCAGAAATGGAAGCTCAGTGAGGTCATGGCACTTACCTAAGGTAGCACAGCCTATTGGTGGGGGATCTGGAAGGCAGACCCAACTCCTTCCAGCACCAAAGACCCTGTTGTTCTCCTTGGCCCTCTAACAACTCCCAGAAGGCGGCCTCAGGAGCTGACTCATAGGGAGCTAAACACCTGATCCCACCTTTGGGACTGGCATGTGGAGACAGGAAGTTGCCACTGTAAACCTACCAAAGGAGCACTGACTACAAAGCCAGGTGACAGCAAGTGTTGTGGAGGATGTGGAGCAAGGAAGGCTCTCCTCCATTGCCAGAACACTTTGGAAATAGTCATTTTGTAGAGCATGCACGTGGACCTCACCCAGCTATTCCACTCCTGCAGCTATCCCCAGAGAAACTCATGCCTTCAGAGACAGGTACAGAATTTTCATAGTAGTACTGAGTGATAGCAGAATCCTGAAATAACCTCAAAGCTTGCTGATGGTGGAGTGATAATAATTATAGTTATAGTTATATATATATAGTTATATATACTAGTTATATAGTTTATTTGACTCATAGTTTGAGGATGGCCACCTAGGAGCATAGATTCAAGTTGCCCTGAATATACACTCTGATTACCAGCAGTTAGAGTTAGGTTTTTAAGGAAAAAAGAAGAGGCCATTCCTAAGATGTTTACCAAGAATTTATATTAAGATAACATAAGCTATTGATTGACTATACATTGTTATTGGTATCACAAATTCCCTTCTTCCCCTCCCTGAAATCTCATTATCTATCTCAGAAAGTAAGACTGAGGAATGCAACCACACATGGATGAGCTTTTTCACAAGATAATGCCTGCCTGTCGGCTCATTCAGATTCCGAAGAGAATCATTTATAAGCTAATTTCTGTCCACTCATTCTCCCTAATAATCATTTGCATTTCCCCATATGGGAAATTGCCTGCATTTCCCATCTCCCCCGTTTCCTATGAATAAGGGTATATAAGCTTCTGTATCCCGTTGGGTTACTGGGTAATCATTCTCCTGTGGTGCCCCCTAGTTATACATGTCAAAATACATTTTGTATTTTCTCCTATTAATCTGCCTTTTGTCAGTTGATTTTTCAGTGAACCTTCAGAGAAGGGGAACTTTTCCCTTGACCCTTATACATGGTTTATGGGAGTGGTACACTATGATTTGTGAAACTAGTCCCTACTGTTGGTTGGTTTCCAATGTTTGGTTACAGTGAACAGTGATGTTTGTAAGTCTTAGCACAATATGCTGTTACTTTATCCCTTGGGAAAATCCTACAGGAACAATGTGGAGTCTGCAGATATGTGCCTCAACTTTAAGACTTTTGATACTACTGCCAAAAACACCTGAATCCTGGGAATAGTGAGCTTTGGTCAGAAGACAAGAAAATTCTGGTCATTGGAACACCTAACCCCTATAACGTTTTTATGTCTTTTATCTTCAGAACACTGTGAGCATTATGAGCCCCATTTCACATATGAACTCAGTTAGTCTCAGAGAGGTTAAGTGGTATAATCACCCAGTGGGTTCTTCCTGCCTGTTGCACAAATGAAACTAGCTCACCGAGACCATGGTATTGCAATAAAGAAAGAGTTTAATTAATGTGAGGCCAGTCACACAAGAGAACTGGAGTTATCACTCAAATCAGTGTCCCTGAAGGCTTGGAGGTTAGGATTTTTGAAGGATAGTTTGGTGGGCGGTGGTCTGGGAAATGGGTGCTGCTGATTGGTTGGGGATGCAATCATAGGGGTGTGGAAAATGGCCATTGTGGGCTGAGTCCACCTCTGGGTCAGGGGAGGCCACAGAACTAGCTACGTCATGAGTCTGTGTAGGGTCAGTTGGTTGCCACAATGCAAAGGTCTGAAAAACATCTCAAAAGACCAACCTTAGGTTCTACAATAGTGGTGTTATCTATAGGAGCAATTGGAGAAGTGACAAATCTTGCTAGGAGTGGTGGCTCATGCTTATAATTCCAAGTGGAAGGGCAACATAGGAAGACCCCATCTCTCTCTCTCTCTCTTTTTTTTTTTTTTTTTTTTTGAGACAATTTCACTGTTGTCACCCAGGCTGGAGTGCAATAGTGTGATCTTGGCTCACTGCAACCTCCGCCTCCCAGGCTCAAGCGATTCTTCTGCCTCAGCCTCCCAAGTGACTGGGATTACAGGTGTGTGCCACTATGCCCAGCTAATTTTTGTATTTTTAGTGGAGATGGGGTTTCACTATGTTGGCCAGGCTGGTCTCGAACTCCTGAGCTCAAGTGATCCACCTGCCTCGATCTATCAAAGTGCTGGGATTATAGGCGTGAGCCACTGCGCCTGGCCTACAAAAATTTTTTTTAAATTAGGTGGATGTGGTGATGCGCAGCTATGGTCCCAGCTACTCAGGAGACTAAGGTGGGAGAATTGCTTGAGCTTGGGAGGTCAAGGCTGCGGTGAGCTGTAATTACACCACTGCACCCCAGCATGGGTGACAGAGTGAGACTCTGCCTCAAAAAATAAATTAATTAATTAAATAAAATAAATAAATAAAATAAAAATCTTGTAACCTCTGGCCACATGGCTTCTGAGCAGTAAAGGATTATAAAAACCATGCCTACATTTTAGCAGAATTCAGGCCCTTCCCAGGATCCTATTTTTGTGGCCTTTCATTCATCTTACAAAGGTGATTGCAGCCCCCAAACAAGAAGAGGCATCAGTTTTAGGGAGGGACAATTATCATCCTTGCTTCAGAGTTAAACTACAAACAAAATTCCTCCTATATTCAGCTTGGCCTACACCCGGGAGTGAGCAACATGCCCAGGGTCACGCTGGATCCAAGCTTGAATTCACACTCAAATCTGTCTGGTTCCAAACAGGTCAGACTAGAGCGGATTTTTGTTGTTGTTGTTGTTTTTTCATAAAGAGGTAGCTCCTGGCCAGGAGCAGTGGCTCACACCTGTAATCCCAGCACTTTGGGAGGCTGACGCAGGCGGAGACTTGAGGCCAGCAGTTCGAGACCAGCGTGGCCAACATGGTAAAAACCCATCTCTACTAGAAATACAAAAAAATTTAGCCAGGCCTAGTGGCACGCACCCGTAGTCCCAGCTGCTTGGGAGGCTGAGCCATGAGACTCGCTTGAACCCGGGAGGTGGAGGTTGCAGTGAGCTGAGATCGTGTCACTGCACTCCAGCCTGGGGAACAGAGCAAGACTCTGTCTCAAAAAAAAAAAAAAAAAAAAAAAGAGAGAGGTAGCTCCCACTATTTAATTATCAATAGGCTGAGTCTTCAAACACTTCCCTTCTATGTTATTTATTATTCTTTTGCTTGCAAATGACAGGAGCCCCTCTCAACCTAGCTTAAGGAAAACGGAAGCTGTTGACAAGTTACGGGCACATGTCATGGTGCACAGGCCAGAAGAGCAGCTGGCACAGGTGTGTGAAGGAAGGTGCTCAGTTGGAGTGTCCCCCAATCCCCGCCACTTTCTCCTCTGCTCATCACAGATGTGCTGTTGGCTTCCCTGGCCGTGGTGACCATCTTGAACTCCTATCCCCTGTTAGAGTCTGGGCTCTCAAAAGATGATTGACTCTCCTTTTTCTGTCCCAAATCCAAATTTCTGGGGAGAAACTCTGGCCCAGCTTGAGCCACGCGATTACTCCCAGCTTAGCACCATTGCCAGGGTGTGGGTTGCCCTGTATTAAAGCAGGTATTTCAAACACCTAAGTAGTCACCACAGCCAGGGAGGGGGAATGCCATGACTCCCAAAGTTTTCTCTGGAAGGGAGAGAACAGGATCTTCCATTGGCCCTCTCAGCTCACAGAAATCGCTTTGAGGGAGAGAAGCACATGTTCTTGAGGGAGAGCTCCACCCTAGAATTTGGTCAGAGAATTGTGTCAATGCCAGAGAACAAGTGTCCTTTAATTGCTCAGCCAATTCTTTATGTTGCTAATAGGGCGGCCCATGAGCAGATGCACTTCAGCCTAGGAAAACAATCACATTCTTGGTTATAAGCAGCCTTCCCCCACCACAGACACATTCTTGTGGTCTAGAAGGAGGAGACTGAGAAAAGGGGGAGCTAACAGGTCTGCAAATATAGTCGCGAGAATTTTCAGGGAGCCTGTTAAGGGGTATCATTTGAAGGAGATCTGAAGGTTGAGAAATACCATCGTCTCAGGTGGGGAGGGGCATTCCTGCAGAGGAATGTGGGCAAGCAGGGCCTGAGTAGCTGGAGTGGGAAGGGCACTGGGTGAAGGGATGCTGAGCTGGGTAGGGGCTGGGGGAGTTGGGGTCTCACGGCCCATTACTGGGTTTGCTCATGGGGATTGGTAAGAAAGTGTGACATAACCTGCACTAAGCTCTGAAAAGATGACCACAGCCGCCATGTTAAGAATGGACTTAGGGACAGGGTTAGCTGCCAATGGGAGAAGATGGGTGCTACATCTTTTTGTTTGTTTTTTGGAGACAGAGTCTCACTCTGTCACCCAGGCTGGAGTGCAGTGCTGCGATCTCGGCTCACTGCAACCTCCACCTCCCAGGCTCAAGGGATTCTCATGCCTCAGCCTCCCAAGTAGCTGAGATTACAGGCATGTGCTGCCACACCTGGCTAATTTTTTGTACTTTTAGTAGAGACGGTGTTTTTCTATGTTGGCCAGGCTGGTCTCGAACTCCTGGCCTCAAGCAATGTGCCAGCCTCAGCCTCCCAAAGTGTTGGGATTACAGGTGTGAGTCACCACGCCCAGCCATGATGTCTTTTTTCTGACATCAAATTTGTGGTTTTTCCACACCAAGCCGTTCTCGAATTCTCTGACATCATCTGGGTGTTGTCAACTGAAAAATCATGAAATCTATACATTTGGAGAGGAGACTTTATTTCTGATAGAGGGTTACAGCCTGCAGGCTGGCCATTCCCAGGCTGGGAAGCATAGCCGCCGGCAGAGCCCAAAAGGCAGGCACTTTGAAGGAGAACGGGTTGGAACAGGGGTTTATGCCAGATGGTTGGCCAAGTACACACATTCAACAGGTTATAGGAGGGGCTATGAATATGCATGAAGGGGGTCCTGATGCATGCCTATTTAACAAACATGCCTGTATCATATAACCCAGGTTCACTTTGGGGTGGAGACTTAACATTCAAATGCATTACAATTAAGCCCTATATGTCAGAAGGTGAGGAAGAGACATGAAGGCACCCCAGTGCGCAGCCTCTGTCAAACCCAGCCAGAACTAGCCCATGGTCAGTGGTCTCTTATCAGGAGAATTGTATAGAAATCAGTCTTCTGTCCTATCAAGGCTGTAGTGTGGCTTGTAGAATGGGGAATCAGACAGCCAGCGTCTGTGGGATGAACCGCAATTGTTTCAGTATTGCTTATCTCAAGGCCAGTGCTTGTTTAGGGGCTAGAGAAAAAGAAAAACCTTGTGGCAGTTGGAACATAGTTTATTCTTTAAGTGTAGGGTGTGTGACCTCACCCTTGCCTGGCGCACCGTTAGGTCTTGTTTGTAATTTGGTATCTTATTGCCACAAAGAGTCCGTTCTGTTAGTCTTAGGATCTCTGTTTTCACATTAACGCTGGTGAGTTGTGTCTAAACTGTGAAAGGGAGGGAGTATACTGAGGCGAGTTTGACCTCCTGTCCCGTCATGCCTGAGAATTCAGTTTTTAAGGTTTCCCTGGGGTCCCCTTGGCCAAGAGGAGGTCCATTCAGTTAGGTGGGGGGTTTAAGGTTTTCTTTTTAGTTCTCACTCTCCAAACAATTCAACACTTCTGACACTAACCGGAGTTAGCACAGATGCCAGGCTAAGGGCTCAGTCCCACAAGATTGCCCCACTTCTGACTCAGCCAAAAAGTCCCAGGTCCCAGTCTACCTGTACCTCTGTCCAACTTGGCTACCAATTTGAGGGTTCCCATGACCCCCTCCTCAGGTTCAGTACTTGGCTAGAATGACTCACAGAACTCAGGCAAATGCTTTACTTACATTGACTGGTTTATTATAAAGGATCCAACCAGGAATAGCCAGATGGAAGAGATGCACAGGGCAAGATGTATTAGTCTGTTTTCACACTGCTGATAAAGACATACCCAAGACTAGGGAATTTATAAAGAAAAAGAGGTTTAATGAACTCACAGTTCCACATGGCTGCAGAGGCCTCTCAATCATGGTGGAAGGTGAAAGGCACGTCTTACATGGCGGCAGACAAGGGAGAATGAGAGCCAAGCAAGAGGCGTTTCCCTTTATAAAACCATCAGATCTTCTGAGACTTATTCACTACCATGAGAACAGTATGGGGGAAGCTGCCCCATGATTCAATTATCTCCCATTCTGTCCCTCCCACAACATGTGGGTATTACAGGAACTACAATTCAAGATGAGATTTGGGTGCGGACACAGCCAAACCATATCACAAGGTGTGGGGGTGGGCAGCATGGAGCTTCCTTGCCCTCTCCAGGTGCACTGCCCTCCCAGCATATGGACATGGTCACCAACCTAGAAACTCTGTGAATCCCAGTCTTTAGGGCTTTTTATGGAGGTTTCATTATTGCAGGCATGATTGATCAAATTCCTGACCATTGGCCATTGAACTCAATATTCAGAACCTCTTCCATGTAGGTCAGGGGCTGGGCTGACAGTTCCAACACTTTAATCACTCCTGTCTTTCTGGCACCAGCCCCCAACCTGAAGCTATCTAGGCACCCGCTTCCCTGCAGGAGTCATCTCATTAGCATAAACTCAAGTACGGTTGAAAGGGGCTTGCTATAAATAACAAAACACAGTCCTATTATTAGCAGCTGGGAATCCATAGAGATCAGCAGCTACCTCAATTCTTGCCTCCTCAGAAGGAAGAATCCGATGGAGGGGCATAAGGCAGAGTGAGAGACTGAGGCAAGTTTTAGAGTAAGAGTGAAAGTTTAAATAGGAATGAAAGGAAGTAAAGTACAGTTGTAAGAGGGTCAAGCAGGCAACTTGAGAGAGTCAAGTGTGTGGTTTGAACTTTGACTTGGGGTCTTATAGGTTGGCGTGCTTCCAGGGTTGCATTGCTTCTCCCCCAACTCTTCCCTTGGGGTGGGCTACCCAAGTGTGCAGCTGCCTGCGGCACTTGGGAGGGGCCACATGCGCAATGTGTTTACTGAAGTTGTGTAGATGCTCATTTTTCCCTTACCAGTCGAGTGTTCATAGAGGAAGGTCACATACCAGTTAAACTCTGCCATTTTGCCTATTAGTGCACATGCTTGAGCCCACTCACCCAACTCCTGAGATCTTACTGGGAAGCTGCTGATCACCAGCTTTAGATGTTTTCTATCTACCGGGAGACGGCCTTTCCCTGGTGCTGGCTGTGACCAATTATTATTTCAGAGAGATAGTTTAACAACTTCCTGACCATCACCTGATGATTGCCTGACATTCCTGTTGCCCGGGAGCCCTCTCCTGTCCTGCTCGTATCTGGCTAACTATCTACTCTAACACGATCACAGGAAATTCCAGAGGGTTTTGGAGCTCTGGGAGCTGTGTGCCAGAAATCTGGGGCAAAGGTGAAATACATATTTGCTATTATACCACACCTGAAGTGTTCAGAAGGCAGTTATAGCACAGGTGAGGTGATGGGGGCTGATGTCAGGGAGGTGACACTGGAGCCAGAAAGCACTGGAGGGACTGACGAACTCAAGAGAGCTCTGGGTAGTGGAACAGACTGAGATTGTGGGTAGAGATACAGGAAATGATATAGAAAAGGGGAGAATTGCTAAGTTTCTGGTTTGAGCATCTGGGAGAGTTGAGTGAGAGTTGGCCATTTATTGAAATGGGACAGATTTGGGGAGAAACATGTTGGAGAGAAAAAAAAAAGAGGAGAGGTGAAGAAATCCACTGAGTGTTCTGAAAGTCAGCGTAACCTCCCCACATGTTCTTCTTGCCTGCTGCCCAGGTAGAACTGATTAATCAAGACAGAGATTGTAATAGATAAAGAGTTTAATACACATAGAGCCAGCTAAATGGGAAGCCAGAGTTTTATTATTACTCAAATCAGCCTCCCTGAAAATTCAGAGGCTAGGGCTTTTTAAAGAAAGTTTGGTGGGTGGGGGGCTAGGGAATGAGAAATGCTGACTGGTTGGGTCAGGATGAAATCATAGAGGGCTGAAATGGGCTCTTCTTGCTGTCTTCTATTCCTGAGTGGGATTGCAGAACTAGTTGAGCCAGATTACCTGTCTGGGTGGTGTCAGCTGGTCCATCAGAACATAGGATCTGAAAAATACCTCAAATATCAATCTTAGGTTTGATAATAGTAATATTATCTACAGGAGCAATTGGGGAGGTTAGTGATCTTGTGGCCTCTGGCTGCATGACTCCTGGGTCATACTTTCTAATCATGTTGTAGCAGGACAAGCTGCAGACAAAACCCCTCTGACACCAAGTTAAAGAAGGAAGGGCTTTATTCGGCCAGGAGCTTTGGCAAGACTCAAATCTCCAACAACCGAGCTCCCCGAGTGAGCAATTCCTGTTCCTCTTAAGGGCTTACAACTCTAAGGGGGTCCACATGAGAGGGTCATGATCGATTAAGCAAGCAGGGGGTACGTGACTGGGGGCTGCATGCACCACTAATTAGAATGGAACAGAACAGGACAGGGATTTTCACAGTGCTTTTCCATACAATGTCTGGAATCTATAGATAACATAACCGACTAGGTCAGGGGTCAATCTTTAACTACTAGGCCCAGGGTGTGGTGCTGGGCTGTCTGCTTGTGGATTTCATTTCTGCCTTTTAGTTTTTACTTCTTCTTTCTTTGGAGGCAGAAATTGGGCGTAAGACAATATGAGGGGTGGTCTCCTCCCTTAATGTGGCCAATTTGGTTTTGTTTGTTTTTTTTTGAAATGGAGTCTCACTCCATCACCCAGGCTGGAATGCAATGGTGTGATCTTGGCTCACTGCAACCTCCGCCTCCTAGGTTCAAGCAATTCTCCTGCCTCAGCCTCCTGAGTAGCTGGGATTACAGGCACCCGCCACCACGCCCAGCTAATTTTTTTGTATTTTTAGTAGAGACTGGGTTTCACTGTGTTAGCCAGGATGGTCTTGATCTCCTGACCTCGTGATCTGCCCACCTTGGCCTCCCAAAGTGCTGGGATTACAGGTGTGAGCCACCATGCCCGGCCTCCAATTTGTTACTTTTACAAAGGTAGTCTGGTCCCCAAGCAAGGAGGGAGTTTGTTTCGGGGAGAGCTGTTATCATTTTTGTTTCAAAGTTAAACTATAGACCCGGTATGGTGGCTCACACCTGTATATCTTGACATTTTGATAGGTTGAGGCAGAAGGATCACTTGAAGCCAGGAGTTTGAGACCAGCCTGAGCAGCGTAATGAGATCTTGTCTCTACAAAATTTAAAAAAAAAAAAAATTACCCAGGAGTGGGCCAGGCATGGTGGCTCACACCTGTAATCCCAGCACTTTGGCAGGCTGAGGTGGGCAGATCACTTGAGGTCAGGAGTTCAAGACCAGTCTGGCCAACATGGTGAAACCCCGTCTCTACTAAAAATACAAAATTAGCCAGGCGTGGTGGCATGCGCCTGTAATCCTAGCTACTTGGGAGGCTGAGACATGAGAATTGCTTGAACCCGGGACACAGAGGTTGCAGTGAGCTGAGATCATGCCACTGCACTCCAGCCTGGGTGACAGAGCAAGACCCTGTCTCAAAAAAAAAAAAAAAAAAAAAAAAGGCAGGGCACAGTGGCTCACACCTGTAACCCCAGGAGTTTGGGAGGCTGAGGCGGGCGGATCACCTGAGGTCAAGAGTTTGAGATCAGCCTGGCCAACATGGCAAAACCCCATCTCTACTAAAAATACAAAAATTAGCCAGGCGTGGTTGTGCATGCCTGTAATTCCAGCTACTTGGGAGGCTGAGGCAGGAGAATTGCTTGAACCCAGGAGGCGGAGGTTGCAGTGAGGCAAGAATGCACCACTGCACTCCAGCCTAGGTGACAGAGCGAGACTCCCTCTGAAAAAAAAGAAAGAAAAAAAAAATTAGCCAGGAGTGGTGGTGTATGCCTGTAGTTCCAGCTACTTGGCAGGCTGAGGTGGGAGGATCACTTGAGCTCAGGAGTTCAGGGCTGCAGTGAGCTATATGATTGTGCCACTGCACCCCAGCCTGGGTAACAGAGCAAGACCTTTTCTCTTAAAAAAAAAAAAAATAGTTAAACTATAAACTAAATTCCTCCCAAAGTTAGTTTGGCCTATGCCCAGGAATGAACAAGGGTAGCATGAAGGTTCGAAGCAAGATAGAGTCAGGTCAGATTTCTTTCACTTTCAAAATTTCCTTATGCCAGATTTTTCTCAATGTTGTAATTTTTACAAAGGCATTTTCATCAGTGGATGTGAAATTTGGTGCCATTGGTGTTTGATATCATGGGCCTGAGTAAGCTCATCTGGGCAGAGGGTATAGAGAAGAATGAGAAGAATAGAGGGTCCAGGACCAAGCCCCCAAGAATTCAAAGAGAGGAAAGAGCCAGAAAATGAGGCTGAGACAGCGCGGCCAGGAGGCAGGAGAAGA
This sequence comes from Homo sapiens, assembly GCF_000001405.40. Lineage (NCBI taxonomy): Eukaryota > Metazoa > Chordata > Mammalia > Primates > Hominidae > Homo > Homo sapiens. The sequence continues at coordinate 45,569,121 of NC_000003.12, read as the reverse complement.
GAAAGAAGAGTGTGTCTGTAGAATTAAGACGAGGGTTGAAAGTGTCATTGGCTTTGCAATACGAAGGTCGTTGGTGACCTTGAATGGGCTAGTTTCAGTGGTGAGAGGGCACAACTTCCCCTAGTTTCATGATATTAGTGGTTGGATCTATTTTTTTTGAGTAATAAATAAGTGGATTGGAGCTGGTGGCTATTATTCTTAGCAAACTAATGTAGGAACACAAAACCAAATACTGCATGTTCTCACCTACACATAGGAGCTAAATGGTAGGAACTTATGGACACAAAGAAGGCAACAACAGACACTGGGGCCTGCTTGAGGGTGGAGGGAGGGAGGAGGGAGAGGAGCAGAAAAGATAACTATTGGGTACTGGGCTTAATAGCTGCGTGATGAAGGCCGGGCGCGGTGGCTTATGCCTGTAATCCCAGCACTTTGGGAGGCCAAGGCGGGCAGATCACGAGGTCAGGAGATCGAGACCATCCTGGCTAACACGGTGAAACCCCGTCTCTACTAAAAATACAAAAAATTAGCCGGGCGTGGTGTCAGGCGCCTGCAGTCCCAGCTACTCCGGAGGCTGAGGCAGGAGAATGGCGTGAACCCGGGAGGCGGAGCTTGCAGTGAGCGGAGATCGCGCCACTGCACTCCAGCCTGGGCGACAGAGCAAGACTCCGTCTCAAAAAAAAAAAAGGACTATGGACACAAAGAAGGGAACAACAGACACTGGGGCGTGCTTGAGGGTGGAGGGTGGGAGGAGGGAGAGGAGCAGAAAAAATATTGGGTACTGGGCTTAATAGCTGGGTGATGAAACAATCTGTACAACAGACCCTTGTGACACATGCTTACCTATGTAACAAACCTTCACATGTACCCCTAAATCTAAAATAAAAAAATGGGTGACTCCAGAAGGCCAGAGGACTTGGGGACATTTGAGGTGCATGTGTAAGGCAACATCAAAAAGAAAAAGCCCCTGTGACATTTTCATTAATCCACATGGTTGGGATGTGAGCTACAAAAGAGGCTCCTCACAGCTTGAGGGCAGGCTCGGGAAAACCCTAGAAGCGGCTAGAGAAACTGAACTGAGGATGTGGCTGTGAAGTTCCCCATCTGCTCCTGGGGAGGAGAATTGACCCACCTCTTGGAGATGGTGAGCCCTACAGACAGGAAGGAAGAGTGCCCTGTTTATTTTTGTCTGCCTGATTTCACATCTGCTGACGTCTTCCCGCCCTTTCCCGCCCACTCTGCTCCCCATCTTTAAATCTTAACCACTTAGGAGATAAAAACACAGCCCCGAGGCCACAGCTGTGTGATATACCAGGTCAATTGGCACAACCAATCTACTGGGGAACTGAAGCAGGTGATGTTCAGACGGAACATGGAGAGAACCGAGTGAGCATCTCTCCTGGGCTTTGGGGCCTCGGAGGAGCAAGTCACCAGGCCTGGAGACTGAATATCAGACTTACATGTTCACCATCCTGTCTTCTTGGAAAAATGGATTTTAAATCTAAATCTTGCCACTGAGCAGGGCCAGACTGGGAATCGAAGGTGCTGGCACAGACTGGCAACTGGCATGGTGTTTGATTCTTTTGCAAAATGCTCACAACCCTCTAAGTCCATTTAAAAAACAAAAACAAACAAACAAACAAAAAACCCAAAACATGGAAAAGATTCGCTCTGTGCCTACCAGGAACTGTGAATGGACCACAAGGCATCACAGACGTCCACAGGGTACCCATCATGTCTGAGGGCTGTTTGGAGCCACTGTTTTTTTCCCTTGTTAAAATAAATGGGCTTTTGTGTTGGAAATGATTTCACGGTTTGATTTCCTCTGAGGACATGCAACCCCTATTGACATGAAAGTGCCTCACAGATCCTCCCTCTGCTGTGGAGCTGGTTGTCCTGGGTGACCTTCCCTTGAGGCCTGCAGGGAGGCCTGTGTGGGGATGGCTGTTTCCCTCCCACAGTCTCACCACCTTGGGAACTGACTTTGCTGGGACTGGCTAGGCGCCGAGCTGGTGGCAGGCTGTGGAGAGGACTGGGCCACAGCCCTCTTAGCCCACTGCCAGGCCCTCCAACCTTCCACTGTGGGAGCGTGATTGCCAGAGACCCCAGACACTGTGCTCGGGACCCGCCACCCCATCTGTGCCAAGGCTATGCCTCCCACAGGCTGCTCCCAGCCTATGGCTGAGCAAGGCAGGGATACTCGGGCAGGCCTATTCCTGAGAGATGTGGGGCTCCACTGACAGATGACTCTGACCCAAGGACTCCCTTAAACAGCTGTCTAAGACCTCCCTTACTTCTCTCCTTCACAGGGGTCAGACTGCGTCAAAATCTGATGGTTCTCCCAATGCCCCCATCTTGCTCTCTGTTCTCCTGCACAGGCATTTTCTCCAATACATCTCTTGCGTGTCATATCCCATCTTGGTATCTGCTTCTCAGAGAACCTGAATGAACACACCTGGAGCTTCCAGTAATTTATGGAAGACAGCAGCAAAAAGCCCCTGTGTCTGCTGCCTGGAGGGCAAAGGCGGCCTTATGCATAGTTTCATGGAGATGGTTGTAAATGATTCGGGACAGCTTGTGTTCTCCTGAGAGGTGTGCACTGCGCCCCGTACCCTTGTGTGGCCTGCTGGAGGATACGGACACAGAGGCCCAGCTTATGTTTGGGGCTGTCTTACTTAATCCATGTCCACTCAAGTAACTGAGTGTCCCCATTACTGGTGTCTCCATAAGCCAGTGATTCCCACGGTCAAGTGCAGACTACATCTTACTTCACACTGAAAAATGTAAAGGGCACTGGGGTGTGGTCAACAGTTCCTCCTCCTGTTTGTCAGGGGATGTGACACTTGTTGGCCCTCACCAGGGATTCTGGGTGTTTTGAGATTACAGAATAGAGAAGGAGAGAGGAAGGAGGGCTGTGGGGCAGAAGAAGGTGGTGTAATGGTCATCTAGAGAATCATTTACAAAATAGTGTCTGCCTCCTGTGTCCACACGTCTCTCCCTATGAAGAGAGTATTAAACCCTCAACCACCTGGCCCCTCTTCAAGTCTTAAACTTTGGGCACAGCTCCCATGTTCGTATGAGTGTTAACAGATTTTGCACACCATTCTCTCCTGTTAATCTGCCTTTTGTCAGTTCATTACCTTAGGTGAGGAGAGGAAGTTTTTCCTCTACCCTTACACTATATTAAGGAACAGACCCACACCTGGGAGAGTGAAGGCTTCCCCTACAGCTAGAAACATCTGAATTCCCATGGTGCAGTCCAGGAAAGAAATTCTCAGCACCTCTGGCCTTGAATAAGGCCTCACTATTCCTTCTTCAGTAAATGGAATTACTTGGGTCTCCATTTTTACGCTTGTGTGCCTCTCATCTCTTTACTTGATAATAGTCATTCATTCACTCTCTCACTGTTTATTCAACCCATGTTCATTGCAGTCAATATTTTGAACCTGCAAATGGAGCATCACCTTTGAATAAATCCAGAATCCTTAATGTGGCTAAGCTGGCTCTGGTCCTTCTCTTCATGGTCCCCCACCTTCATTTGCTGTGCCCTGGTCACATTTGCCTTTCACTTCCTCAAAGACACTTAGAACTTTCCTGCCACTTAGCATTTACATATATGCCACCCCTTCTGCTGGGACTGCCCTACCTCCTAATTTTCAGTTGACTGACTCTCATCATCCTCTGAAGCCAAAGATTTCCATCTGTCCCCTTAGTCCTCATCATTTGCCCCCACATAGAAGCCAGTATCTCACCATTTCACATGGGCATCATCTTGCTGTATCTGCTTCTGTCTTCCATGCCAGGAGAAACCACTCCCCAGGATCCATTATTCAGACATGAGGACTATCTTTTTTTCCTACAGAATGGGTTGCCCATCCACCCTCATTTTCATCACATACAGCTTATGACTCTGGCATGCATACAGATTTTATGTTAGAAACAAGCTTACAAAGTGACACTGGATAGGTGCCAGTGTGCCACTGGCCAGTGAGGAAGGCTGTCTCTGGGTCACCTCCTGCTCACCTCTACCTTTATCCAGGCCTCTATGATGGGAAGCCAATGCCTACAGCTTCTTTTCTTCCTTAAGGGAGTTCCATAGTTCCACCTAGATATGCATAGATTACTCCAAATATGCTTCTCCCCCGCGTAACAACCATCCTCAAAACTTGCAGAGCAAGGTTAATGTTGGTTCCCATGCCTTCAATCACTTTGCTGTCTCCTTTTCATAACTGCTTAACAGAGCCACAACCATCAGATGGGCTGGACATACTGGTAGGGCCTTCTCTACTCTGGGATCAACTACAGGCCCAGTGCAAAACCCTGTTCTAAGTGCTTTGGTGACCCGCCACCCCTCTGTTAACATATTCCTTCTCCAGGAATTTGTTCATTCAACAAACATTTATTGTGTTTGCTTTTGACCCAACTCATAACCACTATGCATCAATGGGAAACACAGATGGATGAGGCACAGTCCCTGTTATCAAGAAGCATACATGGTGTGGGGGGAGGCAGGGAGCAGGAGAGAATCCAAACCATCCCAAAGCAATGTGGCCAAAGCATGAAGAAGGAAAGACCCCTCACATAATCTGGAGGTTCCCTCCAGGAAGCCTCATAAGATGATGGTGGTTGGCTTGGTAAAGAAGAGTGTCCTGCAGAAACCCAGCAGACTTCTTGGGGATGCCATTCAGTGTTGCCAAATCTCCTTAGCACCTGTTCAGAGACCATCTCTGCTGGAGGGGGTGGCCTGAAACCACACTCAAGAGTTGAAACTAAGTGAACTGAAATTACCAAGGCTGCATCTCAGTGTTCACAGAATGCAGCTCTTGAACAGATGGGCCCCTCTCTCTAGCTTCCTGAAAGATGATAGTTCTTTCTGGGGGGAATATTATGCACCTCATTCTCTCCTGTGCTTTTATATCTATCTCTGGCATACACTGAAAAAATGATAAGACATGTGAAAGACAATGTAATCCTTCATCAGACAAAAAGAAATTATCAACAAAAGCAGACCCACAGATAACCCAGATGCTGGGATTAGCTAACAAGGATTTAAGATAACTATTTAAATATGTTAAAGAATTTATGTAAAAAGATAGGCAAACATAGGAAAATATGAAGTATTTGACAGAGAAATAAAACTTTAAAAAAAGGAAATGTTTGAATTAAAATATACAGTATAAATGAAGAATTCATTTATAAATTTAATAATAGAGTCCACACAGAAGAAGAAAGAATTAGAGAATTCAAAACACATGCCAGTAAATATACAATTATCCTGTGACCTAGGAATTGCATTCTTGGGCAGTGTTTTAGTCCATTTTCTATTGCTTGTAACAGAATACCTGAAACTGGGTAATTTATTAAGAAAGGGAATTTATTTTTTACAGTTATGTAGCCTGAGAAGTCCAAGGTCAAGAGGCTGCATCTGGTGACAGCCTTCTTGCTGGTGGGAACTCTGGTGTCCTGAGGGGGTGCAGGGCATCATGTGGTGAGGGGCTGAGCATGCTAACTTGCCATCTTAAGTCTCTTTTCTTCTTTTTATAAGGTCACCAATTCCCCTCCCATGATAACTCATCAATCCACTAATTTATTAATCCATTAATCCATTAATGGTGTAATCCAATCACCTTTTTTTTTTTTTTTTTTTTTTGAGACAGAGTCTTGCTCTGTCACCCAGGCTTGAGTGCAGTGGTGCGATCTAAGCTCACTGCAACCTCTGCTTCCTGGGTTCATGCGATTCTCCTGCCTCAGCCTCCCAAGTAGCTGAGATTACAGGCACATGCCAACACACCTGGCTAATTTTTGTATTTTTAGTAGAGATGGGGTTTCGCCATTTTGGCCAGGCTGTTCTTGAACTCCTGACCTCAGGTGATCCACCCGCCTCAGCCTCCCAAAGTGTTGGGATTACAGGCGTGAGCCACAGCGCCCGGCCTTCCAATCACCTCTTAAAGGCCCCACTTCTCAATACTGCCATTGGGGATTAAGTTTCAATAAGAGTTTTAGAGGAGACATTCAAACCACAGCATTTACCCAGAGAAATGAGAAGTTATATTTACACAAAAACCTGTACATGAATGTTCATAGCAGCTGTATTGATAATAGCCAAAACTTGAAATAACCAAGATGTCCTTTGATGGGTGAATAGTTAAACAAACAATGATATATTCATACCATAGAATTCAACTCAATGATAAAAAAAAGAACTATTTATAAATGCAACAACTTGGATGAATCTCAAGGGAATTCTGCTGAGTATAAAAAGGCAATCTGAGAGGCCACATGCTATATAATACCATTTATGTTAACATTCTTGAATATCCAAATTATAGAGATGAAGAACAGATTAGTGGTTGCCAGAGGTTTGTGATGAGGTAGGGGTGTAGTAGGAAGATGGGGGTGGTTATAAAAGGGTAACTTGAGGAAACATTGTAGCGATGAAATTGCTCTGAATCTGAACTGTGATGGTGCATACATGAACATACATCTGTGATTGAACTGCAAAGACTAAATACATGTGTGCACGTGCACACACACACAAACACATACAATCAATACAAGTAGAACTAGGAACATCTGAACAAGATTGATGGATTTTATCAAGGACAGTATCCTGGTTGTGATATACTGTAATTCTGCAAGATGTTATCACTGGGGGAAACTAGGTAAAGGGTCCAAAGGATATCTATTAATAATTTCTCACAACTGTATGATTTCTTTTTAAAATTAAAAAAAAGTACAGAACAGGCTGTCAGAGGACTGTGAGACAATATCAAATGATCAAATGTAAATTTAAGTGATACACCAGAAAAAGAAGAGAGGTGAAATTGGGGAAGAAATATTTGAAGATGTAATGGCTGACAATTTTCCAAAATTGATGAAAGATATCAACCCACAGATTCCTAATCTTAAAAACCCCAAGAGGGATAAATACAAAGAAAAAAACTACAACTAGGCATATCCTAGTCAAACTATAGATAAAATCTTTAGAGTTAAAAGAGAAAATCTTATAAGTAGCCAAAGGAAAGAAAACATTATCTTTAATACAACAACAAAAAGAATGATGGTTAATTTTCATCTGAAACAATGAAATCCAGGAGTCAATGGAATGACATCTAAAATGTTGAAAAAAAAAAGTACCATGCTAGAAGGCTATATCCAGTATGGTATAGGGAAAGAAAGGTTTCTCAAGCCAACGCTATGAGAACTTACTGCCAGCAGAACCACTATAAGAAACACTAAAGAAAATGCTTTAAGCTAAAGGGAATTTATCTCAGATTGAAGCCCAGAACTACAGGAAGAAGAAAGAACTCCAGAAATGGTAACTATTGAGGTAAATATAAAAGTATTTTTTCTTTTTAAAATTTCTTTAAAGACTTGACTGTCTGAAGCAAAAATAATATGCATTTATGTGGGATTTATAAAATATGTAGAAAAAGTATATGCCCATACCTTCAAAGGACAGGGAAGGGAAACTGTTGCAAGAATGGGTCAATTTTTTTTTTTTTTTTTTTTTTTGAGATGGAGTCTCACTCTGTCGCCCAGGCTAGAGTGCAGTGGTGTGATCTCGTCTCACTGCAAGTTCCGCCTCCCGGGTTCATGCCATTCTCCTGCCTCAGCCTCCCGAGTAGCTGGGACTACAGGCACCTGCCACCACGCCTGGCTAATTTTTGTATTTTTAGTAGAGACGGGGTTTCACTGTGTCAGCCAGGATGATCTCGATTTCCTGATCTCGTGATCTGCCCACCTCGGCCTCCCAAAGTGCTGGGATTACAGGTGTGAGCCATCGCGCCCGGACAAGAATGGTTCAATTTTTACCTTGTTTGTAAAGTGGTATAATATTAACTCAAGGAAGATTATTATAAGGTTGTATGTTGTAATATCTAAAATAATAACTAAAAATACCTCCGAGGAGTACAATAAATATATTATCTGTTCAATATTCACACCTGGGTAAGATGGGCATTGCTACTTGATTTACAGAGAAAGAAACTGAGGCTTGGCTAAAGCTTTGCCCTAGGTCACCAGATAGGGATATAGGTACACTAGAACTCAACCCAAGTTTTTAGACCCCCAAGCCCAGTGACTCTTGTGTCATTGACAGATTTTCCCTGTACAGGGGTAGATAATAAATATTTTAGACTTTGTAGGACATAAAGTCTCTGTCGCAACTACTCAACTCTGTTCAAAAACAGCCACAGATGATATGTAAACAATTAAGCATGGCAGTGTTCCAGTACAACTTCATTTACAAAAACAGATGCTAGGCCAGCTTTGGCCCACAGGCCATCATCCGCCAATCTCTCCATTATTCCACTGCCCAGTGGTTTTCAGTTCTGGCCCAGAGAGGGCCATTCTGATCCATAGCCAAGGTCCAGAACCACCAACACACCCAGTGGCTTCTATCTAGTTTAAACACTTGGTTGTCCTCCCCACTCCTCTCCCCTTCCTGGTTCCCATGAGCTCTGGCCTCAGCATTTTGGTGAATAGAAATGTTCAGTCCTTCTGTACTCTCACCTCAGGGGAAATATCCCCGCGAAGGCCAGGGATTGCTGGGCCCCGTTACTGAAACACGTTGTACTTCCTCAGCTTTCCAATTTTCCAGTCTTAAAATAGACCCACAGTACTTCCTCTGGCAGCTCCCTCACTCCCTCCTCGCAGCTGTCTTTGCTTCCCCGTCCGGCTTCTTCACTTTTGGGGTCAGCCCAGCTCTTGGCCACCAAGACTTGAAAACACACGCAAACTATTTTGCAATGGGCTACTGTGTTCAGACGATGCCCCACGGCTGATCCTCAACAATCAGTGATTCTGTGGCAGCCAGAGAGACCAGAGCCAAAGTCTTAACTGAAGGGCCAAGCAGGAAACCCTCCAATTGTTACCCTTTTGTTCCCCATGAGGAGAAATCTCCAGGCATCATTTAGGGCTGCTCTGCAGTTTTCAACTTACAGAATGTCCCCAAACTATTTTCAGCACTGTTTCCTCTCAGAACTCCCACCCTACCCACCAGCTGGCACCCCCGGGTCAACTTTGGAATTAAAGAAATCAAAATCCCATTTCTGTTGCACTAACTTGAGGTCACAGAGCCGGCGTAGGGTCAGAATCAGAACTAAAGTTTTTCCTGCACCGCCAGCTTCACCCAAAAGTCTGTAACCACTTCCCCCGCCCCAACAACATTCATCTGGGCCAATCTGAAGGTCAGGCTTTTAGCCCATCCTGACCAGCTGCTTAGGACTCCTAAGGTCAGAGGCACTGCAGGGAAAATTCCACTTAGGGCCTGAGGAACAAATCCACTGATCACCTCCATCGCATGTTTGTAAAAATGAGAAAAGCTGCCTGTACTGGGCAGTCAGTCCCACGGGCACATAGCCTGGGCGGCACGTGGCTTGGGCAGCAGGGCAACCACCAACTTCAGCCCCACTGGGTCTCTTGTCTGGGTGCCTCTGTGCAGTGCACAATCTATACAACCACACCAGGGGCCTTGCTGACGAAGTGGTTTAGGGATTCTAAACTCTGCCCACCCTCCCAGAAAAAAAAAAGTGCAGGTACCTTTATGGCTGGTATATAGGAATACACCACTACCCAAACCCAGTGGTTGACAGGACATTACTGTGCTCCCCTACTGTACATTGTGTTAGATTCTAGAGACTCTCCATCATCAAGGTGCTGCTCAGCCCTCAAGGAAGTAGCCAGCCTAGCAGGGAAAACAGACACCAAGACGATTTCAGTACAATGCTATCTTAGGAGTCTAACTCAAGGTATTAAGTAGACTTCAATGGACAATTATCCACATTTCATTAAATCAAAGATCTCACTGATTTTAAGGTGCATGTACCACACATACACACACACAACAAAAAAATGCTGACATTAAACTATGGCACGGTGTTCTCTTATTACTTAGATTTTTAATTCTATACTTATTGAACTACATACTTCAGACTTATTTAGATTATTATTTTTAAATTTAGATTATTATTATTTTTAGACAAAGTCTCACTCTGTCACCCAGGTTGGAGTGCAGTGGCGCAATCTCCACTCACTGCAACCTCTGCCTCCCAGGTTCCAGAGATTCTCATGCTTCGAAGAGCCTCCTCCCAAGTAGCTGGGATTATAGGTACGTGCCACCATGCCTGGCTAATGTTTGTATTTTTAATAGAGACGGGGTTTCGCCCTGTTGGCCAGGCTGGTCTCAAACTCCTGACCTCAAAGTGATCTGCCCATCTCTGCCTCCCAAAGTGCTGGGATTACAGGCATGAGCCACTGTGCCCGGGCATTATTTAGATAAATTTTACCATATATCACTATGATACATATATAAAAAGGAAAATACAAGTAAAATAAGTTAGTTAAGGCATGGCTGAAATTTGTTCATTCAGAACTCTTCTGAATCACTGTTTTACAAGAGTTGTGATGTCCACATCTTCTATGCTCTGATCCTTCCCATCGTCACGAGCACTGAGGATGTGGCATTTCCTAACAAGCTGCTCCACTCTTGTCTCTGGGATTTTCTTCCAAGTTACCAGTGGTCATGTGCAAGATTTGCAGCAATGACATCACAACTGTTCCCTTTAAGAACACATCTTGACTTCAGAGATGCTAAACTGGAGAACTGTGCACTGGTGAGACAGGTTATCCAGCTGTGGGGAGGGCAGGTTGGTTCTGCAGGCTCCCTGGCAACAATTGAGAAGCCAGCTGTAGAGTCTTAAACCTCCCTGTGCATAGCGATTGCAACAAGATGCTGAGAAACTGTATTCAAACTCCTCCAAAAATGGTGGTTTGTCTCTCATGAGGTGAGCAGGTTCCCTGAAAGAGGGACTGGGGAGGCAGCTGAGCATCCCTGGGCTAGAAGACCTCTGAGGGCCTCTGCAGCCCGAGTCCCATGTCCTTGTGATGGTTACAACAAAGAGATATAGAGCTGTGGCCTTTCTTCTCCTGCCTTCTCACCACCTTCTGCACATGGGCAGAGAGGTAGCCATCAGGGAAGCAAATGGGCACTTGCCTCCCAGAGGCCTCTCCATGGGCCATGCAGGGCGAAACACACGCTGCTGACTCACTTCAGCCATCATAACCCAAAGGCTGGCCCCAGGGACATGCCTCCTTGGAATGGACACATTCTCAGTCTGCCCTACCTTGAGATCCTGTCTTAGGAGATTAACTCAAGGTATTAAGTATCTTAGGAGTTTAACTCAATTTCCTCGGGAGGATACAAAGCAGGTTCACGCGTGGTGGCTCAAGGGCACACAGTGACCCCTTCCCAGCCAGGCCCCCTCAGCTGTAGGCTCTGGACCCCTGAATGAGCCTGCCCTCCTGGCTGTCCCCACAAGGCAGCACCCTCTACCCTAGTAATGTGCTGATGTTCCAGTCCTGGTCTTTCCCTCTCCAGCATGCTGCCAGGGCCTGTCCACTGGCAACACTGCTCCATCTGCCCCTTCTCTCTCATTCCACAGCTCTGCCCTCACCCAGAGCCCCAGCCATTCCCTGTCTGCTCGGGGGCTGGCCCCAGATGAGCTCCTCACCACCTTGCTCTGGGCACTGGCTGGGCGCAGTGGCTCACGCCTGTAATCCCAACACTTTGGGAGGCTGAGGTGGGCGGACGACCTGAGGTCAGGAGTTCGAAACCAGCCTGGAGCCTGGCCAACATGGCGAAACCCCATCTCTACTGAAAATACAAAAACTTAGCCGGGGGTGGTAGCAGGCACCTATAATCCCAGCTACTTGGGAGGCTGAGGCAGGAGAATCGCTTGAACCCGGGAGGTGGAGGTTGCAGTGAGCCAAGATCATACCATTGCACTCCAGCCTGGGTGACAAGAGGGAGACTCTGTTTTTGTTTTTGTTTTTTTTTTAAAAAAGGTTCTGACCTTGCCTCTCTGTAACCTAAACCCTTTCAGTGATTGTTCAAGGCACACAAGGAGCTAGCCAGGGAGAGCGGGGAAGGGTGTTCTGGGAGAGACCAGCCCCTGCGAAGGCCCGGAGGGGAGATGGAGTGCTGGTCCCTGACACCTGCTTGGGCCTCCTGTGTCTGGAGTGGAGAATGTGTGGTGGTCCAGGGCCTGGAGAACAGGTTCATGAGATGGGCAGGGGCCACATTGTTCATGAGGGTTTTGTGAGCCATACTGGAGATGGGCATTCTAGGGAAGGCCCTAGAGGGACCATTTTCCAGAATGAGTGTAGCTCTTCTCAGACTGTAATGTGCATTTGGGAATCATCCAATGATCTCAGTAAAATGCAGTTTCTGATTCAACAGGTCTGGGGTGGGGTCCAAGAATAAGCATTTCTAACAAGCACCCAAGGTGATGCCCATGGTGCCGGCCTGGGATCCCCCTGAGTATCTAGGGGCTGCAGTGAGTTGTCTGACTCCCATAATACACTAGCCAGGTGCACAGGGGTTCATTCATTCGTTCAAATACTTATTGAGCACCTATGGTGTGCCTGAATGGCAGTCTAGGTCTGGAGATATAATAGATGATAAAACTGCTATAAATAAATAAAGCTGCAAAAGTCCCTGCCCTCATGATGCCGATATTCTGGAAGGGAAGACAAATGATAGAACAAGACACAGGAAATTAAGCAAAATATACTGCTATTTGCTAGGGGGTAGGGAGTGCTGGGGTGGGGTGGTATTTTATGTAGGATGGCCAGGGAAGACCTCACTGGGAGCAGACAACAGAAGGAGGAGAGAGTGAGCCATGTGGGGAGGAGCTCTCTGGGTAGAGCGACAGCAGGTGTGAGGTCTTGAGGCAGGAGCGCACCCTGCCTATCCAAGAAGCAGTGAGGAGTGAGGTGGGGGAATGGACAGACTGTCTTATTCAACTCCAGATATAATTTGCTTAGCATACTACAGAGCAGTGAGGCTGATCCAAGGTTTGTAGTAGCTTGTGGGGTTGTGGCAGCAGGTGCAGGTGAGCACAACCCTCTAGGTGACCTGGTGGTCTTTGTCCTCCCCTGGACTCTGCCCTTGAGCCACTGCTCAGTGCCTGGGCACAGGCACACACACACCCTGGGGGAGCAACAGACAGTCACAATTCCTATCTCTTGAACTGACCCTTGGGTTTCAGGGAGAGATCAGCACCTAGAAAAAAAAAACAAGATGGAAGACCCCTCCATCCCACTACCATTGTCTCTCCCTGACTCCCAAAGCCAACCTTGAGCCTCAACTACCCTCTGGGAGGCCCTTGTTTGTCACTACCTCTCACGGGTCCCAGCATGGACCTCGATTGAGCCTGATCTCCGCTGCAGCCCCCAGGGAACACCCACCCCACCTGTGGTCACTCAGTAGTCTTTAAAATTTTTATTGAGATAGGGTCTCGCTCTGTCACCCAGGCTGGAATGCAGTGGCGTGATCTTAGCTCACTACAGCCTTCACCTCCTGGGATCAAGTGATCCTCTCACCTCAACTTCCTGAGTAGCTGGGGACACGGGTGTGCACACCACACCTGGCTAATTTTTAAATTTTTGTAGAGATGGGGTCTGACTATGTTGCCCAGGCTGGAACCCGCAGTCATGAGTGGCCAAAGGAAAAGGAAGGGCTGCAGGAAGGGAAGCCCATGAGAATCAAGACCAGGCCTCTGACCTCCTCCTCTCTCCCTCCCTGGATAGCCAATGCACCCCACAGGACTGCCTCAGGACTCACCTTTTCCTGGCAGGCCAGGGAGACTGGCAACTCCTCTTCCTCTGGAGGCTGCTCCTCAGGGCACTGGAGGGCGGAGAGGCTGCCTGTTCCCTGTCCACATCCCCATCAGGATGTGGCACTGGCTCCCAGGCTTACCCAGGCCAGGGTGGGGCTTCTGCCGGAGCAGAAGGGAGGCCAGGTGGCCTCAGGCAGGTTACCTGATATTGCCAAGCCTGTTTCCTCATCTGTAAAGTGAGCACTCCTCACACATGGCTGGTGAGGATTCCATGGGATGAAACACGTCCTCCTAAGAGTGCTGGATGACCGAAGAGTAGTGCACTCACTGTGCGCCCTGCGCTGTCCGGAGCCTGTTACACACACATTGCTTCAGTGCACCCTCACAAGGCAGAGGTTGGAGCCATTCTCTCCATTTCACAGAGGAGGAAACAGAGGCACAGAAAGGTTAAGGAGCCTGCAAAGATCTCATGGTTCATAAACAATAGAGCCCAGACAAGTTCCTGAAAGCCCCCTCACCCTCTGGGCCATCTGTCAAGCTCAATCTGTGGCACAAAGGGAGTAGGTCCCTGTCTGTACAAACAATCAAAAAAAATTAGCTGGGTGTGCTTGTGCATGCCTACGGTCCCAGCTATTAGGGAGGCTGAGGCAGGAGGATGACTTGAGCCTGGCAAGTTGAGGCTGCAGTGTCATGACACTGTACTCCAGCCTGGGTGACAGAGTGAGACCTTGTCTAAAAAAAAAAAAAAAGTAACACTCAATATACCATGGCCATTACATATGATTATTATTACTACGCTTTTTATTAATCATACAGAAGACTCCCACCAGAGGTGGGTGCTGTCAGGGGAGGGGTGCACCTGTAGTTGGAGGCCTCAGGTGGGGGAGCCCCATGTGAGCACATGTGGAAATGGGGGCAGCCTTCCTGTTTCACTGTCCACCTTGGCCCCAGGCCCAGGCACTTCCCTAACAGCTGTGACTCTGATGAACTCTCAAGACTACGTTGCCCTCTCCACCTCCACAGCCACATGGTGTGAGGCACGTTCTTCTGTCAGGCAAAAATAAATTACCTTCCCCCAAAGCAGGCCCTCAGCTGTGTGGTGTGTATGAATGTGTGGTATGTGGTGTATACGTGTGCATGTGTGTGGTGTGGTGTAGGTGGTGTATGGTGTATGTAGTGTGTGGGGGGGGTGGGGTGGGGTGTGTGTGTGTGTTGGGGTGAGGTGTGAGTCTCCTAGACCAGAGCACAGTGAGGCTTCTGGGGAAGTGTCACATTTCCACCCTGAATGAGCAGCCATGACCTTTTAGGAGCAGGAATCTGGAGAATTTCCCAGGTTTCCTGCAGGGCATCTGGGAAGCCTGACTTTCTCTACCTTTCAAAATGTCCTGACACCCCCTAAAACAAAATACTCCAAACTGTCTCACAAACCAATGTGTTAGCCTCACAGAAGAAGGAAGGTGGGGAGAATTGGGGACCAATAAACAAACCCTCGGAGTAAACCCGGTATTTTATAAAATGGCACAAAGCACGTCCGTGACTTCACACATCTCCATGCAAAGTCTCGAGCAAGGGGCAGGCACCATCCCAGTTTGGCAGGCAACAAGAGTCTGTGATTGCTCTGCTATTTTAGACTCACAGCAGCTGTCACAGATTTAGAAGCCAAACAGCTGTGACTCAGGAGTAGCTGCAAAACAAGGTGGTTAGCAGACACCTGAGATACTTAGAAGGTAACTTAGGTGTACACTGACAAGCAACAATTCGAAAACAAAGATTGTCCATGTGGCAGAGGCAGCCAGCTGCCCTCCAAGATCAGGCCCCCCTTCCCTCCTGCAGAGTTGCTGCTGGGAAGTGGCTACCCAGCCCCTAGCAATTGGCTGAGGCACGTGACTGAATTCTGGCCAAGAGGAAGTGGGCAGAAGTGATGTACACTGTTTCCAGACCTGGCCAAAGCCACTGTGACACTCCACCTCTCTCCCCCTTATCTGCGGGCTGGATTTGATGTCAGGGGCAACCATGAAAGCCAAGAGCTGAAGACTGTGTAGTCTGCACGAACCCTCCGTCAAGCTGGAACTGAACGGAACAGAACCTCCTCCCCTGTTCCCTTCTCTAGAGGATTAGACTCATGGGAAAGAGAAATAAAGTTTGCTGGGTCAGACCACTGACATTTGGGGGTTTATTTGTTATGGCTACATTAATTATCAGCTGATAATTAAAGCATGTTTATTGCTGAAGATGATTGGTAGACGAGATATTAGCAGACCACTAATTATTAGTGCATAACTGGTAATAATGAAGTAAATGATGACTAAGAGGTCTACTACATTCACTCAGAGGAAACTGACACCTAAGATGTTTACTGATGACTTAGATATTTGCTGATGACTCTGATGCTAGTAGTTAATTAAAATATTAATAGAAAACTAAAATATTTCCTGGAAACTATGATGTTAACTGAAAACTAAGAGTTAGCTGATAACTAATAATGGGGATATCTGGCGACACTTGCTTTAGGTTCCCTCTTCGCAGCTCTCAGCCTATGTCTGTGCAGTGGCTGCCCTCTTGTGCACTGACAAGTGAGTCTCTCTCTGAGTCCACCTGACAAAGCCCCTCTGGCCCAGTCTGGCCTTGATGATTGACAAACCAGACCCAATGAATGGCATCAATCTTTGGGTGCCTGCTTCCTCTATGGATCTCACAGTGTAAAGGACACATTATTCCTTTCTACACCCCCGCGACAGTGCCTGAGGAAGGGGAACCCCTCCCCTAAGATCTAGTTCTCCTCTGAGTTCTGAAGGCAGCCATGAGTATGCAGCAGCAGATGTGGTAGGTGAGGCCTCCCTTGGATGGGACCAGGGCTGAACCCTCCTCAATTAATCCCAGATGGGGCTCTTCTATTGTTTGTGGAAAAGATGATCTGCGGAAGACACAGATGGGGCTGCTGAGATGCCAAGGAGTGCTTATCATCGGGGAGGTCTAGAACAGGTCTCCCCTCTCCCCTCTGCCATGGGATTTTCCTCACAGTAGGTGGAGTTGAGCAAGGATGGCTTCCTGGCTTCTAGGTCCCAGGGATGGTGTCCAAAGGAGGCTCTGTCTGCCAGGGGTGATGGCTCCCTGGGAGCCGTCAGTCCCAGGCTGAGAGAGAGCCGACCCCACATGCTGAATTGGGTGCCTCAGAACTTCAGGGATGCATTCAACCAGGTGTGTGCCCACAGCGAGCCAACGTTCACAGATACACATGAGGAAGTGTGGTTTTGGCAGGCTCTAGGGCATTTGGGGAACAACTGGAGAGAAAGCTATAAATAAGGACCATCTGGGAAAATTCAGGAGGTTCAAGGGCTGGTTTGCATAAAGGTCTTTGGGAACCAGCGAGGTGGAGCAGAGTGGGATCACGGCTCTGCCACCTTCTTGTGTGTGGTCTTGGGCAAGGCTCCTTATGTGGCAAAGCACTTAGAACAGGGCCTGGCCCATAATTAGTCCTCAGAAATGATAGATATTATTGTTGTAATGTCGGGAGATTGCAGCCCATGGCCCCTGTATACAGGGTGTCTGTCTTAGGTGTGCTCTTCCAGAGGCTGAATAAGAACTGAAATTCAAGTTCAGGGCTTAAGGCACAGGGAGATGAGTCATGGGGCATTGGGTTCCAGCAGTCCTGGTCACCACCTCCCCTCCAGGGCCTCATTATCTCTGCACAGCTGCCTCCAGCCCCTCATGTGGACAGGCTGAGGGAGGGCACTGGAGGCCTGGAGTGAGGTCATTGGGCCCACCCTTGGATCTGAGGCCTCTGCCTACAGGACTGGCCTTTCCCTGGCTGCTCCAGGCTCTCCCCTCCCTACCAGCACCATCACCAACCACCCACCCGCCCTCGGGGGATTTCCCTACTTGCTCGTTGTTGGTCACCCTAGATTCCTTTCTCCAAGCTCATCAGCTTGGATGAGAGCCTTTAGCCACCCACGCTCTGAGTGTCAGGCAGGGACCCAGCCCACGAAACAGCTGTTTTCTGCTTGCTCTTCTCACAGGAAGAAAGACGAGGGAAAACTCTCCTTTTTATCTACCCCTCTGCCTTTCCTTGACTTATACAGTCCAGCTGGGCCCGCCAGTTAAGAAAGTTTACCTCCTAAATTAGCTGGGTGTGGTGGTCCATGCCTGTAATCCCAACTACTCAGGTGGCTAAGGCACGAGAATCACTTGAACCCCAGAGGCAGAGGTTGCAGTGAGCTTAGACTGCACCGCTGCACTCCAGCCTGGGTGATGAAGTGAGACGCTGTCTCAAAGAAAAAAAAAAAAAAAAAGAAAGAAAGAAAGTTTACCTCCTGCACTACACTTTGCCTGATGGTAGTACGGGGAGGGGGTGCTCTAAGTGGAATGAGCACAGATTGGGGGTCAAGATACATCATCACTTACTGTCATGGTCTCAAGTTTCGTTATCTGCAAAAGGAGGTGATAATGCCTCCTTTTTCGGTCTTATCCACAACCTTGAATCTGACAGCAAGTGAGCAGGAGAGTTCCATTAGGGGAACGTTGCCTTCCGTTCTTCTGTTGCAAGGTTGCAAGAGCCTAAGACTGAGATACAAGAAAGGGAGCTCCCCACACCTGCCCAGACTGAGCAACTCCGTGAGCAGGAACTTCATGGGGGCTGCTTTTTGTTTCTTTGGATTCCACTTCATACAAGGAAAGGAGCATGTTTTCCTAGCTAGGATACATCCTCACAGGCAGCTAGATATCCTGCCTGGGAGAAGAAAAGAAAAATCAAGGGAAACAGGTTTTTAGCTCATTTAGAGCTTCACAAAATTGTACATTTTGATGTTTTGCCTCATGAAGTATTACTGAAATACTTCATGGCCAATAAAAATGAGAAAATGCAAAAAAGTAGACAGAAGGAAAAAAATGACTTGTAGGAGTCTCAGCCTATGATATGCAAGCAAATTTCCTGCTCTCAATTTTCTTTGTAAGCGTTGAAAAAAAATGGTCAGGATTGCATTGTGCATGTATCTTCCTTCATTCATGAGAAAATTTCCAAGCTACATGTTTTTGAAAAACCATCTGTTGCTGGCTGCCTCGCCTTCCATTGACTGGATGTACCCTGCTTTTCTTAGCCAATCCCCTGAAGGTGTGCATTTAGGCTGGGATGAAATATGCCTGTGCTGTTTCCCAGCTTACTAATTGTTTTAGGGTCTTAGAGATCAATTTTCTTAGGCAGACAGCTGGCTCCTATTGTGGTAGCATTTGCCATGGAGCACCACTTTCCCTGGGCACAAACTCTGTTCTCTTATTGCCCCAATAGAAATAACCCTGATACCCGCCCACGAGTCTACGTCTTCCACTTGCTGGATGACCTTTCCCAGCTCTCTGGAACTAACCACATGCTCTTGGCCTCTCACCCACCACTGCCCCTGCAGAGAGGACACCACCTCTGTGATTTCCCAGGTTTACAGGCTTTCCAGGAGGGAAACCCCAGCCACACTCTGCTCAAAATGCCAGTGGTTTTGGGAGCCATCTCACCTGACTGTGTACACCAAGTAACATGGACAATTAGGTGAGGGGACTGGTAGACATGGCGGGGAGGCAAACGTGGAGGACAGAAGATGTGGGCTTGGATCCCAGTTCTCCTACTTATTAGCTGTGAAAACTGAGACAATTATTGAACCTCAGAGCCTGGGTTTCTTCTTTTATGAGAGAATAATTCCTTCCCTCTAGAGTTTTTGTGGGAATTAAATAAGATAATTATTGTGAACCTGCTGAGTCCAGTTTCTGACCTCAACAAGACAGTCAATAAATGGCTGAGATTATTCCCCACCACCTCACTCCCAGGGGTCAGAGTTTTCTGTCCAGTTGTTCCATTACCCATACTGTCTCTTAGTATGTACTGATGAGCTCTTGTTTGCAAAAGCTTTATCCTCTTGGAGCAATTTCTTCAGAGCCATGCTGGTGTCAGCCAGCTGGTCAGTCTAGCAGCCTTGAGGCTTTACTGGCCCATTGCTCTGGTCAGATCACATGCAAATAAAGGGCTCCCTTCCCTCATCTTGTTCAAGACCACTTAGCTTACTAGGAAATAACAAGATAATCAAAATCACTCACTCCTTCCTTGTACCAAATATTTTCATGGGCTTATATTTAATCCATATTCACTGCCATGTGCAATGAGACTGAGTACATTCAAGTCGGCTCTAGCACTCTAGACTTCTGGCCCCTGTCTTCCCTTTTGGTCCAACTCTTGGTCCTGGACCAAACTTATCCCCGCTAACCTGAAGATTAGGAAGAGGAAGAACTAGATAGAAATGATGGCTCAAGTGCATCAATGTGTCCAGTGATTCTCAAACTTTGCTGCCCATTAGAATCACTTGTGGAGTTTTAAAGATTCCTGGTGTTCAAGCCACACCATGGACCAATTAAATTGGAATATCTGGGCATGAGGACCAGGCAGAGTATTAAGTCTGAGAACCAGTGACTTAATTGCTGTTGCTAGTTTGCCTGTATCAGTGTTGTCTACCATGGACTGTAAGTTCTGGAACAAGAAGAACCACATGTATCCCACTTTATAGCATTCCATGTGGAGTCAGACACACAGCCAATGCTTCCGATGATGATGGAATACCTCAATCTGTTTGTAATTAACTCTGAAATTGGAATATGGTGTATTCCAGGATCACACATATGTCCTGAAGTCATAGATGATAAACATTTTATTACACTAAAAAAGTCATCTGTTAACTGCTGAACTGCAGGGGGACCACATGTGAGGCTACTTCAGAAAAATGGCATCAGATAACATATATAGATTTCTGGCATTATAAAATGGCTAGATTCTCCCCTACCTTCCCTCATTAAATATTAATCAGTGGCTTAGGTCAGTTCTAGTGGGAACACTTAATTGCTGACTTCACATAAAACCAGGATTAGCCTAATGTGCCAATGGTATGAGTCCATTCCTGGCCATCTTCCCAACAGCCAGACCGCTGTGGCTTGGACACCGGAGGCAACATCTGGGGGGCCTCAGTTCCACTCCTCTGTGGTGAGCTTGCTCTTCCTAATAACTGGCTCTGGAGTCACATCAACAATGGTGGCATTGCCATCTGGGGCCCACATGAGCCCTCTGGGGCGTGCTGCATCCCTACTGGGCTGCGGTGGGGCTCTGAGGTTGGGACCAGCAGCCTGAGCCTGGTTCCACTTCACTACACAGCAAATTGTATACCCAAGGGAGTGGTTATGACTTGCTGCTCCTCATTCATGTGAGGAAGTGGTGCCTTGCCTGGGATCCTGTGTGTCAGAACCACAGCAGGCCTGGGAGGCACATCCAGCTGGGGTTGGGGAGGACAGGCCTGCATGACAGAGCTGGGGAGTGGTGGGGACACAGGCAGAGGAACCAGCACTGCCTGCCTTTTGATTCAAAGCAACTTCAGAAGATCCCTGTGTCCATTTCCACATATTGGTTATTTGAACATTTCCTAAATGACTTCCTCATCCAGCCTGAAGGCAAAGAGACCATTCACTACCATCTGGAGGCTCAGTTAGCAGTTCCAAGTGGCTGGCACATTGCACCTGAGTCCTGCAGTTCCTCAGGCTGGCCTCAAATTCCCGAGAAGTGCCTAAGGCAGAGCCATTTCCCAGATCCGCAGGCTTCCTGGCTGCTCGAGGGGCACTGCTCCTTCCTGCTCCCACCAGCAGTGTCTCTGATGGCTTCCCATGGGATCAGATGGCCTCCTCTACCTGCAGTGTGGGTGGGGGGTGAGGGGCAGGATGTCCAACCCCCTCCTCAGTAGCTCATATTTCTCCTTTGCCCAGCTCACCTTCACCCCAGCACCAGGCCACACTACAGAGGCACACTGTTGACTGCAGTCTGCCACAGGACCGAGGTCAACAGTCAAGACATTTGTCTTTTCCCTTCCCCTGGGCCAGCAGACATCGCCCCCTCATCCCAGGCCTGGAAGGAGGTTCCTCAGAGGCCCTCGTGGTAGCTGCAGCCTCCTGGCTGTCAATCTTGCACCAGGAAGTTGATGAGGGCAGTTCTCGGGGAAAGGAAGGACTTCTTGATGCTTCGTCCTTGCAAAAGCCTGACACCCAGCTCGCTTTGAAGAACAAATTCGTGGACTTTGTCCTGGTCCCGGGCAACTTGTTGGGGCACAGGAATTTTGCCACAAGCTTTATTGTTGATCTGAGAAGGAGAAAAGCCAAGATAAACAATGAGGAACATCCTCAGAGTGGCAGGCGGCCCAATACCAAACCTCCTGCCTGTAAAGGGCATGGCTGCATTTGTTTAGGGGAAAGGAATAGAGGTGGAGAAAGGAGGAAGTCAGCACTCTGCTTCCCATAAGGGTAAAATGCAACCAGCTGAATAGGATTAATGCCTAGACCTGCAGAAAGAGACCGACACTGAGACTGCATGTGAGTGCCCGTACGTGGAGTGAGGACCGCCTTGCATTTTCTGAGCACTGCTCCCATACACAGCTGTGGTAGAGATTATGTCAAAAAGCCTCAGCATGAGATGGCTTGGGCCATTTCCAGGCAGAAAGGGATTATTCTGTCATCGGGGCTCAAGTTTAAGTTCAGATCCAGGTTAGAGTGAGCTGTCCCCTCAGATTTTACCTAGGTCTCAAGTGGACCAAACAGTTGACGGTTTCAAGGGGGACACAGTCAAACTTCTCTCTCTGCTGACTGGCTCCAGAAGGGGGCGCTCTAGTGTGAGGACTTAGAAATTGGAGCCACATCTTGTCACATTAATCACTCTTTCTCGCTTAACATGGGTCAGTACAGTTCCAGACACAGGTGGGTATTCACCGAATATTGATTCAATGAGGGAAGGTGACCACGTGGCTCAGTTTCTGAAGTCATGCTTCCAAATCCTCAATCCCATTGCTCCGAAATCTACACACACATTACTTTCACTAGCTCTTATTTTTCACTTGGAAAATATAGTCACAGTCTTAGGAAAAGTTACTAGGAATAATTTCTCAAGTTTCAACCAAAGCACATTATCAAATGTCCCCTAATCACCCACTTCATTTTTTCAGTTTTGCAGAACTTGGTGGCATTTTTATTGTCTGCATTAGCCTAGGTCACAGGGAGAGGACGAATAAAACACAAAGTCCTGGCATATTATGAAATACTGTTTTGAAAGCGTGAGGCTCCATGCTGCAGCGTTTTAAAGCGTTCTGAAGCTGGGGAACTAAGTGTGTGGTGTGAAGGACTGTGGCCCCCCTGCCCTGGTGTTTCTGAGCCATTAGAAGCTGCCTTCTTGCAAGGCCACATGCTTGGCTGGACTGAGACCCTGGAAGAGACCTCCCAACTGTCACCCAAGAGCCATGCCCCTAGTGAAGTCCTGGGGTCCCCAACAGGGAATTCTCAGGACATGCAGTTATTAGTGAATCATGTCTTTCCTCCTATGGAAGAGCAGCCCAGGGCAACATCTCCTCTGGGCCACCACCTACAGAGGGGGTGCTGGGTGAGGGGGAGCATGGTGCTCTCATGTGGGGAGATTCAGGTTTGACTCTTAGGCCTGGTCTTACAAGCTGTGGGATCTTGAGCTTAGTTTTTTTTTTTTTTTTCCTTAAGGACAGAATTCTCCAGATTCTGGAGTGAATAACCTGTGTAAAGGGACCAGCTCACTAAGCTGCACTCCCTCTGCCTTTGTCAAGAGTGCTGGCCAGGATAGGAGCTGGCTGTGGGATGTCCTCTTTGACGCATGGCCTCAGCACAACAATGACCCATTTCTAAACCTTCGAGCTTCCTGTGCTTTGCTGGAGCCGGGCAGGCTGGTCCTAAGTCATCACTGGTGACAGCCTGTCCAAGGGACCTGAGTCATTCTTGTCCACAGCTGGGGCTTTGGGGGCAGGGCATGTGATCTCTGAATGTGGCCATCGTGCTCTGAGTCTTTCCCTTGCTGCCTCGGGCACCCTCACACGGTTCTGGCTCCCCAGGCCTCCCCTGAGTTGCCTTACCAAGGCAGTCCCTTCAGGGTGAGTAGGTGCCAATCATGCTCCCCCTGTCTCTGGCATAAAGCGCCAATGAGATGGGCAGAGAAGTCAGGTTGGGACTCAACACTGAGCCTGAGCTTCAAGGGCCCAAAGAGGAAGAAGCACATTGACATCACTTCAAAAAGAGGCTGCTATGCTGTGGGGCTCTTGCACCTCCATCTTTGGAGAAGGCCTAAGCATGACTCTCCTGGACTTTTCTGACACCTGCCGGACAGGGCCCAGGCCACAGGTGTTCCTCCCACTCGAATCCATCACCTGTCCCCATCATGAGGGTAGCCTTGCGATGGCTAATAACAGTACAAGCTTCCATTTGCTGAGCTCTCACTCTGTGCCAAGCATTGAACTATGCAATTCACTTGTATGAACCTGTGAGTCGATGCATGAATATCCCATCCCATTTTACAGATAGGGAAGCTGAGGCACATGAAGTGAAGTCACTTGTCCACCTAGGCTCCACCCCAGGCAGTGGAAGAGACGGGATGACCTGACACAGCCCCTCTCTCTCCTGCTCACACACCCTGGTAGCCCCCTGTCCTCTGAGGGGTGTCTGGCCTCTGAGGAGGGGACACTCCCTACCTTTAGCTTTGTCTCCAGCACTGCCCTATGCCCTCTGCTCCAGTACCTCCCTGGCTCAGCCCGGGTCTCTGTGGGCCTGCCCCCCTATGTTTGTTCCTGGTATTGCGACACCCTTCTCTCCACTGGGGAGAGGCTGCTCCTCTTTCAAAGCCAAAGCTGCCTGTCCTTTTCCTCATAACGTATTTTCTGATTCTCCAACTGCCAGAAGTGGCAACGCTGATGCTAGCAGCAGTCACCATTCAGAGTAGATTCTGGACTAGCTGTGTGACCTTCAGTGAGTTATTTAGCTCCATCCTGCCACCATTTCCTTGCCTGTAAGATAGGGTTAGTCACACATCTGCCTGTCTGTGAATGGGGATAACAACAAGCCTGCCTCACAGGGCCACTGTGCTTAGTAAATAAGCTCACACCTGGGAAGTTCTAGGGCAGAGCGTGGCCCTGGGTCGGCGCTCACTCTGTATTAAGAGGATTTTGTCATTAGTGCATCCAGAAGCAGGCTAAGCACTTCCTGGCATTATCCTACCTAATTCTCTCAATAGCCGGATAAGGCAGGCACTGTGTGTGCCTCCATTTTATAACTCAGGAAACTGAGGCTTAGAGGTGTTAAATATGTTGTAAAACTGAGACTTATACCCAGGATGGCCTGACTTCCGAGCCCTTACATAAACTGTGTGTGACAGCTCATGTGCCCCCAGACCTTTGTTCCAAGGTGACAAGGCGGTAGCTCTTGTCTCTGTATCCCTGGTGTGGGCAGAGCCCAGCATGTCACAGGCACAAAGAACATGGGCACAATTGAACTGAATGACATCGAACTGCGCTTGCAGCCTGTTTCTGGCCAGGACACAAAGTGAGATCACATGGAGCGAGAACCCAGGCCTTCACAGAAGTCCTTGCTGCTGGCACGGTGCTGACCCAGCCTGGGTTCTCAAGCTGGGTGTACCTGCAGGGAGTCTTACACATGCTTTTCATTTTAGGTTTGCATTTCAATGATTATCTAAAATTATTTTTACCAACGATCAAAACTCAATTTCTTTTCTGCAGTGGTAATTTAAGATAGATATTTTCATAGACTAAAGCCCTCTCTTTTTCTTAAGTTAGCATTTCTCAACCGGGCTGAGGACAAGTTCTCAGGGATGCATGAGCTATTTATTTCTCATAAACATTACTCAAATTAAATAAATTTCTGGGCTGGGGCTGGGTGCGGTGGCTCCTGCCTGTAATCCCAGCACTTTGGGAGGCTGAGGTGGGCAGATCACTTGAGGTCAGGAGTTTGAAACCAGCCTGGCCAACATGGTGAAACTCCATCTCTACTAAAAATACAAAAATTAGCTGGGCATGGTAGCACATGCCTGTAATCTCAGCTACTTGGGAGGCTGAGGCAGGAGAATTGCTGTAAGTGGAGGTTGTAGTGAGCCAAGATTGTGCCACTGCACTCCAGCCTGGACAACAGAGTGAGAGAGACTCTGTCTCACCAAAAAAAAAAATAAAAAAATAAAAAAAAAAAATTCTGGGTTGGGTGTGGTGGCTCATGTCTGTAATCCCAGCAATTTGGGAGGCTGAGGCAAGAGGACTGCTTGAGCCCAGGAGCTTGAGACCAGCCCAGGCAACAGAGTGAGGCCTTGTCTCTATTAAATAATAATAATAATCATAAAAAAAGAAATTTCCTCCATGCCACAAGGATGGTTTTAATAATAATAACAATAAAGAAAGAAAAGAAATTTCCTCCATGCCACAAGGATGGTTGGTTTTGGTTTTGAAGATTTTTGGAAGAAGCCTGCCAGGGCACCCTCACATCCTCTTCCCTTGGGGTGGGGTGGCAGAGAACACAGTGCCAGGGGAGTTGGTGCAGAGACAAAGGGGCTGTGAAGGAGCCCGGTCTCCTGGGCAAAATATTGTCTTTCCAAACCTCCAGCTTCCTGCTGGGCCTTGGGTCTGCACAGGTGCAGAGGGGCCAGGGCCTGGCTGGCCAACCTCTGTGGGGTTATGCCCTCCCTCAGCCCCTAGGTGGGTTTGTTCAGGGCACTTTTCACAATTTGCAGCCATTTTATTTATCTTACTCTTTCCTTTTTATTCTTCCCTATCTCTTCCACTATGCTTTAAGCTCCATGAGGGCAGGGAACCTGTCTGTCCTATCTTGATTTTGTATCCCCAGAGCACTATGCCTGATGTAGAGTCAGACTTGCTAAGCATTTGTGAATAAACCTGGGCAAGGTGGACCAACTTCACTGAGGCTGAGTCTCCTCAACTGAAAAAATGAGAATGGCAACGCCCACGTTATAGGGTGATAAGAGTGAAATGACAATTTTGAATGTGAATTACCTGGCCCCATGTGTGGTTCCGGGGAGACATGTGGTTCCAAGTCTACTCCCTGTCCTCTTTTTTTCTTCAGACACATCAGCATATTTAAGAGATATTCACCATAAATGTGTCTCATTTAACAAATTAAACAAATGTAGAAAAATCACATATAGGATAAACTATAAGGGGGTTACTTGCTCTTAGAAAGGGTTTAAACGATAAACTCCTCTTATGTATTTAAAATCACCTAATTTTCAAGTAAAAATTATGGAGCCTTTCTGAAATATGTTTTACAGGTATTACTCCATAGCCACCCACCTCACTGTCACCCTTCCCCAGCCCCCAAAAGTCCCCAGGAGCATACGAGTGAAATTGAGAGTGACTGAAACACGGTCCACAGTTGGAAAGGAAGATAACGAGAACCTGTAAGGCGGGCCAGGTTTATTACTCCCCTTTCCAAGCACTTGAGGGCCATGAGAGTTTTATGCTCACATGCTTCTGGTGTGTGGTGACCTACAAAACTGAGGGTACTGGCAAAGGAAAGACAGGCCTTTGTGCCTTCCGGTCACAAGGTGTGGCTGAGGGCTGAGCTGAGTGAGCTAGAAAGGCCTGCTAATAGACCTCTCAAAACCACCACAGTATTTAGGGGCCACCAGCAGGGCAGGGACTGCTGGGTTCTGGGGTTGAGGGGAGATACTTACCAGAACTGCCATCTGGACAACCTCAGGCTGCTGCAGGAACTCCGGGTCCACAGCAGGCCATGCCTGGAGCAGCACACTGGCATCCCAAGTGTAGTGGGCACAGAGCTTCCTCGGCACCAGCGCCAGGCCTGCAATGCCGAGGCACAGAAGCGTGGGGTCACTCTAAGAACAGGGAGGCTTATGAGAGCAGGACCAAAGCTTCCATCCCAACACAGCCTGGCTTGGAGCTGTGTGAGGAGCCGGTGGGAAGCCAGACCATGGCTGCTGGGTGCTCACCACTTTGGCCTGGTTTATAATCCCAGGTTGTTGGGTAGCTTTTGTTTTTCACAAATGGCACGCAGAGCTGTAAAGATGGATGGATAAGCCATTCTAAAGTGTGCATTTGGAAAAACAAGGCTGCTGATTTGAATGGGTCATCTCTCTGAAGTTCTGCTGGTGAAGGAATGCCTTTGTGCTACCCTGAGAGCTGATTCCAAAGTACTGAGCAGCATTCGCTACCTATCTTGCCTATGCATTCTATGGTCTGAGAATGCCTCCCAACCTGTTCTTTTACTCACAATTACTGGAGCCAGGATGCAGTGAACGGCAGGACACTCCTCACCACGTGCAGGGGGATCCTAACCTTCCTGCAAACTTCCTCTCGGGAGAGGAGCCCTCCGTTTAGTGGAATGGAAGGAGCTTTCCTTGGCTCAGGGTGGGCCAAACACGAGGAAACACTGAGGAATGAAACCCTCTCAAGCCCCGTTTCCCAGAGTGCTTCGTGCCGCAGCCCCCAAGAAGAGGTGGCACTAAGGGTAGCAGAGGGCCAGCTGTCCAAGTGCAGCTGCAGTGGCCAGTGCTCCAGGACTTTAACTAGGGCTTGTCCTAGCAGGGAAAGCTTTGACTTAAAAGCCTCTGCTGTAATCTCAGCACTTTGGAAGGCTGAGATGGGAGGATCACTTGAGGCCAGGAGTTTAAGACAAGGCTGGGGAACACAGCGAGACCCCATCTCTTAAAAAAAAAAATTAGCCGGACATGGTGGCTCATGCCTATAATCCCAGGTACTTGGGAGGCTGAGGCAGGAGGACTGCTTGAGCCCAGGAGTTTGAGGCTGTAGTGAGCTATGATTCCCCCACTGCAGTCCAATCTGGGTGACAGAGCAAGACCCTGTCTCATAGATAGATAGATAGATAGATAGATAGATAGATAGATAGATAGATAGATAGATAGACAGATAGATACATGCAAGCCTCTGTTGATTTCATGAGTATAAGAGATGCCCCCAAAGGCACAGGGAATACACACCACAGAAAAATAGATCCCTGGGCAGAAGTGGGCAAGTGAATATGGCCAGCATGCCCATTCTGGAGCAGTGCCCTGGCAGCTGCAGTCCTCACCTGGGAATAGCTTTTCCACTGGTGGTGGAGGTGGAACTGGCCCTTTGACACCTCTCCCTTGTTATTAGCCCTGAGACTAGTACAATGCATTAGAGGGATAGGTCTATGGCTCAGGGTATGGGCTGAAGCTGAGTTTGTGACAGAGGGAGTCAATTCCACCAAAACCAGCCCCAATAACACTGGGTTGTGAATGACAACTTTTTGTTTTATCTTCCTTGATGACAAATGTAGTGTACACACTCCTTGCAGAAAATTTGGAAAGGCCCAAAATATAAAAATAAAAGTCACGTTCAGCCAGATAGCATTTTTAACTTTTTTTTTTGAGACAGAGTCTCACTCTGTCATCCAGGCTGGAGTGCAGTGGCGCGATCTTGGCTCACTGCAACCTCTGCCTCCCAGGTTCAAGCGATTCTCCTGCCTCAGCCTCCTGAGTAGCTGGGGTTACAGGCGCCTGCCACCATGCCTGGCTAATTTTTTGTATTTTTAGTAGAGATGGGGTTTCATCATGTTGGCCAGGTTGGTCTCGAACTCCTGATCTCAGGTGATGCACCCGAAGCACTGGGATTACAGGCGTGAGCCACCGCACCCAACCCCAGATAGCATTTTAAACTTATTTTAAAATATAGTAATTTAATGTATTTAATAACTATTTGTATATATAAAGCAACTCTACAAAACACCACCACCACCACAAGATCATGCTGTAAATACAGTTTTGTATGTTCTTTTTTCCCATGTTTTAAAATGATATTTAATTTCATGGCAAAGAATGACACACAATTATATATATAATAGGACCCTAGTTTAATAAAAATTTTATATGAACAGATTGGAAGGAAATAGTAATAATATCAGTTGCAATAAAATAGTAATAACATTGGTAGTAAATAAATCAAAGTAGTATCTCTGGGGAGTAGAAGTATGGGTAATTTCTCTTTGTTTCTTTTTTTGAGACAGAGTCTCACTCTGTCATCCAGGCTGGAGTGCAGTGGTAAGATCTTGGCTCACTGCAACCTCTGCCTCCCAGGTTCAAGCGATTCTTGTGCCTCAGCCTCCTGAGTAGCTGAGACTATAGGTGTGCACCACCACGCCTGGCTAATTTTTGTATTTTTAGTAGAGACAGGGTTTTACCATGTTGGCCAGGCTGGTCTCAAACTCCTGGCCTCAAGCGATCCGCCTGCCTCAGCCTCCCAAAGTGCTGGGATTACAGGCATAAGCCACTGTGCCCAGCCTTCTCTTTCTTTTTTAAAGACTATGTTACAGATTTTCTACAAGGGATATTTTATTACTTTTTTAATTTGAAAAAATATTTAACATTTTTTCGTCCTGTGAGATCAGTTTAAGATTTTTCTTTTAGGTTCTTTTCATGATTTCATTTTCTTCTCCATTTAACTTTCAAATCTATTAGTAATTTCTTTTGTGTTTACTGTGAAAAAACATTATTTAAAAAAAAATAACATGGTCAACTTTCCAAACCCAATTTGTTGAATATATCTTCCCTTCCCTATTGGTTTGTGATTTTTCTTTCAAGTATTATACCAGGGACTGTTTCAAAAACTGTTCACTTCTGAGCTACTCAAAGTGCCTGTTTGCCATAAGGTAAATAACTTGGGCCAGAATGTAAATCAACACATCACCTCCTTCATTGAGAGGGAAAAAAAATGGTAGCCTAACTCAGCGGTGTCCTCGGTGACACAGCTGACTTAGGAGCTAGCACAAGCTCCTTATCTTGTTGTGGACTGGAACTGAGAGTTCCACCGACCGCTCTGACTTGCACTGTCCATCAGTCCATTCTGTTCTGTTGACCTGTCTTGGTTCTTGTGCCAGTGCCATAGCCTTATTTGTTGTAGCTTTCCATGTTTTACTACCTGGCACTCTTGCTGTAACCCTGTGTTGCCAGTCAGCCTGAGGGAAGTGAAGACTCCTTAGGAGCTGAGGATCATGTGGTATGAAAGACAGATTCCTGCTGCCCAGATGGTTCCTGTGGCCCGGGGCTTTTGCGCTTGCTAATGAACCTATTCTGTGTCTAACAGATGTGCCTTTTGGCAGAAGGAGAAAGAAGATTCCTGCTTGTTCCTCAGATGGAATCCTATTAAAACTCACATCTGAATATGAGACGGAGGTCACAGAAGAGAGATCATCACTTCTTTTAGTGAGCTGGTCCTGTGTGGCTTGTCCTGTGACCCAGCTGCAGCGGGAAGATTTCCAAAACCTCCGTATGGCAGTTGTACAGGATGCCTGGGAGATGAAAGGACCTTGGACACAAATGTTCTGGGCAGAAGCTGTTACAAATTCCACTTTAAAAAAAATGAGGAAGCCCAGCCTTCCTGGAGCAGTCAGGATGCTTATTTATAGTAGCCTGGGCCCCTGCCAACATTTCCATATAGATGGGAGTGGGGCCATCCTGTTCAGCAGTGAGGAACAGAAACTCAGGACCCTGGTTTTTATGTAGCGTTTTCGCCTCCTTGCTCATTTTAGGGAAGTAAGAATACCTAACACTTGCGTGGAAAATACAATGATTCCTTTATGTGGTAATGCCAAGGGGAGAGGTCAGGTGGAGAGCTGGCCTTCAGGACACACAGTCTAAACACAGGCTGGGAAGTGGCAAGGCCCTGGCACACAAGCCTACCTGACAAGGTCGGCTATGGCCCACAGCCCACCCCCTTCCTTCCCCTCCTCTGAGAGAGCTACTATTGCAGACTTTCCTGCAGAATAACCGAAACAAGCCTCCTCTTCCCACTGAGAGGTGGTGAGGTCACCATGTCACCATGGCACCCCAGAGTGATCATGGCTTCTGTGGATGGCAGTCCTCTCCTGGTGGCCATCTTCAGGCCTGCCTCCACCTCATCTCCTCACCCCTGCACTCATAGACACACCAGGGGGGAAGAGTCAGGGACTCTGCGGCGTCCGATCCCTGCTATGCCTCATGTAGCCTTGGCAATTCCAAGGAAGTGAATAGGAAGGAGGCCACTTTGCTTTATCCTTTACACAGAGAAATAATTTCATTGACAGTATTTTGAAACAGCAACATCTACACAGCACACACATTCATGTATAAAAAACTATCAGAGCATCAGTGGGTATCTTATTCTCCCCTGTAATTATCACACATACTTTTACATGATTTTTACGTTTATAATTTTGTTGAAGTTAATGAGTACAGTGTAAAGACAGCAAAACACAATAGCTACATTTCACAACCACTTTTTATAAAAAGCTACAAAGAAAGTCATCCCAAATTATTTTATGAAGAAAAATAGATTTGTGGACTGAGACCTCAAGAGGGAGAATTCCTTCAGAATCCCTAAGGGACGTAAAGGCTCTCTCACTGTGCTCTCAAAATTAAGGTGCTGATGGATTACTTGGAGATCACGAGTCACACACCAGAGGCAAATATTGAGAAGGAAAAGTCACACAGAACTATAAAAATGGCCAGAGAAACAGAAATGTTAAGGAGATCTTACTTATTTTAAATAACATATTTTGGACAAGGGACTAATCTCAAAGAGGCACACAAAGACAAAGACACACACACACACACACACACACACACACAGAGCAAAAGAAGGACCATCACCCAAATGCCCATCACTACATTCACTGGTTAGGACACCCTATCTCTGTTAAAAAAAGAATGGAATAGTGTTGATACAGAACTACTCTAAAGAACAGTAAGAGCAAAAAATGTTTGTATAGGATGTTAACATCTCTATAAAGGTAGACATGTCACATCCATCCACCACATGCTTCTGTCAGATTAAACATAGCATTGGTGACAAAGGTTCTCTGGGAAGCAACTGAGTGACAGCTTAGGACACACTCTCTTGTAACGTTGAATGCTTTACAAAACACGTATAGACATGCTTTTCAATTTAAAAATTAGGTTTCGCTTTGCTTCAAGAAGCCCAGAGAGGCACACTGGAAACTGGACAGATTTTCTGCAGATGGTTGTAGGCACTTTTCTCCCGAAGCTGGGCACATACAGAAGTGAGTTCACTCCCCAGGAGCAGTGCCCTGAGGACAGGCCAGCCAGGGCTCCGAGTGCTCCTGCAGGCACATTCCACGTACTCTGCCACACACAGCAGGAGGAATGCCTGCCTCAGACAGTAGTAAGATGAATGGTTGGATCTGGTTAGGTGTGTGTGTATGTGTAGGTGTTAAAACCTTCTTCAGACCAGGTGTGGTGGCTCACGCCTATAATCCTAGCACTTTGAGAGGCTGAGGTGGAGGTATCACTTAAGCCCAGGAGTTCAAGACTAGCCTAGGCCCTAGTCTCTACAAAAAAATAAAAAATTAGCCAGATGTGGTGGTGCATGCCTACGTCCCAGCTCCTCAGGAGGCTGAGGCGGGAGGATCACCTGAGCCTGAGAGGTTGAGGTTGCAGTGAGCTGTGATCATGCCACTGCACTCAGGCCTGGGCAACAGAGTGAGACCCTGTCTCAAAAAATAAACAAATAAAAATAAAAAATAAAACTTTCAATTGGAAATAAATTCCTTCCTCCCTTCCTTCCTCTCATAGTCTATATTATTTTCCAGAATTAGAATCTCAACACTCAAGACTTATGAGTTTAGAAAGGCAATTTAAAAAATCCTTTATTCTGCAATAATTATAGATTCACAGGAAGTTACAAAGAAATGTTCAGGAGGTCCTATGTGAGGTCCTGTGCACCCTTCACCCAGCCTCCTCCAATGGTCACAGCTGGCATGATTATATCACAATATCAAAACCAGGAAGTTGACATGAATGCAATCCACAGAGCTTATTTGGATTCCATCAGTTTAATAACTAATGTGTGTGTATGTGGGTGTGGGGGTGTGTGTGTGTGTGTGTGTGTAACTTAGCATAACCATGTGTAGTTTCATGTAACCACCATCAGTTAACACAGCCAAGAGCCAGAAGAGTTCCATCATCACAAGGCTCCCTAGCGCCACTCTTTTATGGCCACCACCCACAACTCCTAACCCATGGCAACCATGAATATGTTCTCCATCTCTACAATTGTGTTATCTCAGGACTGTTATATAAATGGAATAATATGGTAGATTGCTTTAGTGATTAGCTTCTTTCAATCAGCATATTCCCCTAAGATCCATCCAAGCTGTTGCCTGTTGGGTCATTTTTCAGGATGGTGAAATTACGTCTCCAACACGAGCACCACCAAGGAGCTCGCTGTTTGGTGATTTTCTTTCTTTCTTTCTTTTCTTTTCTTTTCTTTTTTTTTTTAATTGAGACAGATTCTCACTCTGTCGCCCAGGCAGGAGTGCAGTGGCACAATCTCAGCTCACTGCAACCTCCACCTCCCAGGTTCAAGCGATTCTTCTGCCCCAGCCCATCCTGAGTAGCTGGGATTATAGGCATGTGCCACCACGCCTGGCTAAGTTTTTGTATTTTTTTAGTAGAGACAGAGTTTTACCATGTTGGCCAGGTTGGTCTCCTGACCTCAGGTGATCTGTCTGCCTCGGCCTCCCAAAGTGCTGGGATTACAAGAGTGAGCCAGTGTGCCTGTTAGATGATTTTCTGCTCTTTTACTGTTGACCAGCAAAGGAACCCTTGAGTCTTTTGTCTAGAAACAGTGTCAGTGGCTCCAAATACTCAAAATTTCCCTAGGCAAGCAGCTACCACCCTCATCTAGATAGGACAATATTATGGTAAACAAAAGAAACTTTGTGAATTCAGATGTGGTGTCTTTAGCTTCTCAGATCCGAAGCTTCAGGAAGGAAAAAAAGATTTCCTCATCCTGTTTGCAAACTGCCAAGACGCTGGGTCTGTTTCTTATAAAAGGTCTCTGTTTACTCTTTAAGCAATTGATAGAGGACTGTTAGGTTCTAAGTACTTTCGGCGTCTCTAAAATGTTTGCTTTTTATCCAGGGCAATAATGGCCATTATGCCAAGAGGACTTCACATCTCCCTTAAGATATAGATCTCAATTCTGTTGCTCTTTGGGGAGAACTTCTTTGAAAATCAGCCTCTCAGGGGAACTCTAGGAATGGTCATTTCTGACATGCCACCTTGGTGGACCATGTTTTCTTTAGTCATTCTGGAGTTATCTTTCTAAGATGCAGGAATAAAACTGAAGGTATATGAAAGGTAAGTGTTTTAGAAAAAATGAAATATGCATAAAAGCTGTCCCAGATCCTTGGGACAGGAATGACTTGACAGTCTGAGAAGACAATATTAAGGCCCTATCACAATATAGTGCTTCTGTCTGCAAAGGACTTTCAACACTCTGTTACATTAACCCTCCTCAGATGCTGGGAGAGGCAGGAGGCATCATTTCCCCATTCTCTCCTGGGGGCACCTAATACCCATGAGTAATGACCTAGGGGGACATTCCTGGTACATACGACTCCTCACTTGCCTGGGCTATGTCCCCAGCTGCTCATTCAGGAAAAAACAATACACATCTCATGGGGGAGAGCAGGAGACATAGGTTTCCCACTGCTTCTTTGAACTGAAAAAAAATGAGTTGCTATAGATCTGTAAAACTTCAGGGAGGACTGCAACTGAAATGAACACAATGTCCACTGCTCCAACTGCTCTCTCCCGCTTTCCTACAAATGCCTAGAACACTGCCTGACACATAGTACACGCTCAATAAATGTTTATGGAATGACTGAATGAAACACTGTAGCAAAACTAAGGTTCAATCTAGATCCACTCTTTATTATAAAACTGATCACAAAAGCCCCAGTGGGGTGACGTGTAGAAAAATCACGGTGCAAAGTTTGAAATGGGCTAGTTTCTACCACACTTCTTTAGAACATGTCCTGTTGGAGATCTGGTCACAGAAATGAAGGACAGACTGATAGAGGCAAACCACAGTGTACACTACCATAAGACCTGCCAGGGAGAGGAAGGACCCTAGACAGAGTAGATCCTCTGACCCCTGTATTCCAGATGCAGAGAGGGGCATGCTGGAGGGAGTTTCTGAAAATCCCATTTACATCAGTCCTTCCTGGGAGAAACAAAATGAAGGAGGTAGACAGATAAAGTGGGCCAAAGAAGGAAGATGAACGGGCGAAATATATATTCTGCGATGAGAGTGGGTGAGTTTATCACAAATTGGATCAGTATTGTTTTATAGAAAAGACTACGACAGA
Organism: Homo sapiens; assembly: GCF_000001405.40. NCBI lineage: Eukaryota > Metazoa > Chordata > Mammalia > Primates > Hominidae > Homo > Homo sapiens. Next base: position 45,533,479 of record NC_000003.12, on the reverse strand, counting down.
ATTAACAGCAGGCTACTTAAAAGACTTAATGTGGGGCCGGCGCAGTGGCTCACGCCTGTAATCCCAGCAATTTGGTAGGCCGAGGCGGGCGGATCACGAAGTCAGATCGAGACCATCCTGACCAACATGGTGAAACCCCGTCTCTACTAAAAATACAAAAAATTAGCTGGGTATGGTGGCGGGGGCCTGTAGTCCCAGCTACTCAGGAGGCTGATGCAGGCAAATGGTGTGAACCCGGGAGGCGGAGCTTGCAGTGAGCCGAGATCGCGCCACTGCACTCCAGCCTGGGCGACAGAGCAAGACTCCATCTCAAAAAAAAAAAAAAAAAAAAAAAAAAAGACTTAATGTGACCACCAAAGCTAAATGAAAGAGCCATGTTTCCTGCTTAAGAAGATAATAAAAGTCTGCAAAATATAATATAATATGGCTGCAGCTTGTCAGGGCCTAATACCTCCCTCCCTTAAGGGTGTCTGTCTATTCAGCAAGGAACAAGTTAAGATCTTGTCCTGAAGTCTGCTGTAACACAGTAAAAAGAGGTGGCCGGGCGCTGTGGTTCACACCTGTAATCCCAGCACTTTGGGAGGCTGAGGTGGGCGGACCACCTGAAGTCAGGAGTTTGAGACCAGCCTGGCCAACATGGCAAAACCTCGTCTCTACTAAAAACACAAAAATTAGCCGGGCATGGTGGCACGTGCCTGTAATCCCAGCTGCTCAGGAGGCTAAGGCACAAGAACTGCTTGAACCCGGGAGGCGGAAGTTGCAGTGAGCTGAGGTGGCACCACCGCACTCCAGCCTGGGCGACACAGTGTGACTCTGTCTCAAAAAAAATAAAAAAAGACAGAGGCAACTCATTCCCTCTGTGAAGTCAGTGAAACCCTCTTTCACTAACCTAACAATGCATATTGAGAAAAAGCTAGTCTTAGTAAAATAACTGCAAAATTCTATATAACCCCAGCAAATAGATTTTTTTGCAAATAGATTTTTTTTCCCAAACAGAATTTAATGGTATATTAAGTCTACCATGACATGGTCAATATGAATTTATCTGAGGATATCTCAATATTAGGCAATCAATTAACTGAACATAAATCATATCTAAAGGGCAAAAGGGAAAATTAAAAGCAAATAATACATCACCTCAACAACTGGACAATAGGCATTAAGTAAAATATAACTCCCATTCCTAATATGAGTGCTGATAAACAAAACCAGAAGGCTGCTTCCTTAACATGACAGAGACTATCCATCCCAAACCAACAGCCAACATCACATCTAACCAGGGAAGCGTTTGTTGCATTTATATCTGGAAATAAGACCTGACTGCCTGTAGCCAGCATTCTTTAACACTGCATAGGGTTTTCTAAAAAGTATAATAAAGAAAATAATCAGACACCATGGCATAACTATTAGAAGAAGAAAACATCCTTATTTGCTGATCATAGAATCCTAGAAAATCTAAGAGGATTTTACCTGTTAAAGTAAGATCAGTAGGGAATTAGGATAGAAAACAAATATGCAAATAAAAATTTAAAAAATTATATGCCATTGGAATAAGTTCTGGAGATCTACTGTGCATCCTGGTGACTACAGTTAATAGCAATGCATTATTTAGTAGAAAATTGCTAAGAGAGTAGATTTTTAACATTCCCATCACAACAAATGATATGTGTGAGGTGATGGATATGCTAATTACCTTGGTTTAATCATTCCACAATGTGTACATATATCAAAACAACACATTGTACACCATAAATATATGCAATTTTTCTCAATTACATCTTTTTAAAAGGACAGTAGGCTGGGTGCAGTGGCTCATGCCTATAATCCCAGCACTTTGGGAGGCCAAGGAGGGAGGACTGCTTGAGCCCAGGAGCTCAGGACTAGCCTGGGCAACACAGTGAGACACCATCTCTATAAAAAGAAAAAATACAAAAATTAGCCGGGCGTAGGGGCATGTGCTTACAGTCCCAGCTACTTGGGAGGCTGAGGCACGAGGTCTGCTTGAGCCCAGGAGGTCAAGGCTGCAATAAGCCCAGATTGTGCCTCTGTACTCCAGCCTGGACAACAGAGTGAGACCCTGCCTCAAAAAATAAAAATAAATTTAAAAAAATTTAAAAGATTTAAAAAATCAATTATACTAAGAAAATAATGAGTTATTTTCCTCATATATTCCAGAGGATTCATGTTACTTGGATTAATCTATTAGATTAATAGATTAATTCTTTCTTATAGTTTTTTATCAGTCTACATATATTTTTCTTAACTGATCAGATTTCCATGGTATTAACCTTTATTTGACAACATTAAGAAGACTATCAACTCACAATAAATCTTAACTGAAATAAAACAAATGTTGGTGTCAATGTGGTTTTACAGAAGAAAAATATGCCAGCCATTATCAGTCAGAAAATATAGCAGAAAGAGATTCTATTCTACAAGAACACAAAAGAAAAGAAAATACTTGAGACAGACCATGAGCTAGGATGAAAGTTTGGATGAGGTAAAGATGTGAAACCTTCCTGAATTAATTCTAAGTTTAACCACATTTCAATTGAAATGTCATGGTGATTTTGGGGAAACTTAACAAATTATGCAGAGTTTTGCTGAGAAAAATAAACAGGTGAGAAGAGGTAAAATAATTATAAGAAAAGAAATGAAGAAAGGCTAGTCTGCCAGGTGTTAAAACTGTCTGTAAAAATGCAATAGTTAAATCATTGAAGCACAATGTACAATTCAAAAACAGATCCTAGAGTGGAAGATGGAATAACTTCTTAGGAAAATAATTTGTTAATATATATCAAGAGTCTTAAATAGATTCATATCTTTTCCACTTCAAGGAAATAATATGAAGTGAGAACAAGATTTATGCACAGAATTGTCCATGGTGGATTGTTTATGGGAGTGAAATGTTAGACACACTAAGTCATGGCACACATGGACAATTAATGCAGTTTTTTTTTTGAGACGGAGTCTTGCTCTGTCACCAGGTGGGAGCGTAGTGGTGCGATCTTGGCTCACTGCTACCTCTAGCTCCCGGGTTCAAGCAACTCTCCTGCCTCAGCCTCCTGAGTATGTGACTTCACAGGCACATGCCACCATGCCCAGCTAATTTTTGTATTTTTAATAGAGATGGGGTTTCACCATGTTGGCCAAGATGGTCTTGATCTTTGACCTCATGATCCGCCCGCCTCGGCCTCCCATAGTGCTGGGATTACAGGCGTGAGCCACAGCGCCCAGCCTAATGTGGTTATTTTAAAAGTTTATATGTTAAAAAAACAAAAACAAACAAGCAAACAAACAAAAAACTCCAAATATCATATTCTTAAATATCATATTGTTAAACTGGAAATACTGAGAATTTAATTTTTTGCTAACCTGAGAAACCGACCTAAGCCCAGTGTAAAGCAAAGATGGTCAAACTGTTGCTCTGTGTTCTGACTGACTCTCTGAAGTCGTGTTTTGACTGACTCTCTGAAGTCTGTCCAGACAGGATGCACTAGGGCTCTGATGCTGACACCACCACCACAGCCTGCTGCTTGAGCTCCTCTAAGACATATCTCCTCGCTCTGGGCCCAGGTGTATGGGCCCCTGTTACCCATCCTCACAGCTGCAAAGGTGTGAGCAATCACTCAGGATTTCAAAGACATGGGATGGGCCCAGGTTGGGCTACTCCAGTTTGCAGAATGGGTTTATCACAAAGGGATTGAAAAGTCCATATTTAACATCTGGAATCATAATATCTGCTCATGTTTCTGTTCAGGCATATTCACAGAAGACCCAGAGAATTTCTGGAATTTGATTTGAGAGTGTGCATCAAAAGCCTTAATCTTTTGTATCTCTTCTGACCAAGCAATTACAGTTAGTTATGTGTTCTTAGGAAATAATTTTGCACGTAAACATTAGCTATTTAGCATTTTTTTTTTTTTTTTGGAGATGGAGTTTCGCTCTCATTGCCCAGGATGGAGTGCAATGGCGCAATCTCAGCCCACCGCAACCTCTGCCTCCTGGGTTCAAGCGATTCTCCTGCCTCAGCCTCCTGAGTAGCTGGGATTACAGGCATGCGCCACCACGCCCGGCTAATTTTGTATTTTTAGTAGAGCCTGACGGCTGGTCTCGAACTCCCGACCTCAGGTGATCAGCCCACCTCAGCCTCCCAAAGTGCTGAAATTACAGGTGTGAGCTACCGTGCCCGGCGGCTACTTAGCTTTTAAAAAAATAATGTATAACTATAAACAGTTTGAATGTTCAATGATAGGGAGTGCGTAAATTCAAACAATGGAAAACTGTATGACCATTAAAAATGATGTTGTAGGCCGGGCGCGGTGACTCACATCTGCAATCCCAGCACTTTGGGAGGCCGAGGCAGGCAGATCCCCTGAGGTCAGAAGTTTTGAGACCAGACTGGCAACACGGTGAAACCCTGTCTCTACCAAAAATACAAAAATTAGCCAGGCGTGGTGGCAGGTGCCTGTAATCCCAGCTACTTGGGAGGCTGAGGCAGGAGAATCTCTTGAACCTGGGAGGGGAAGTTGCAGTGAGTGGAGATTGTACTACTGCATTCCAGCCTAGGCAACAGAGTGAGACTCCATCTCCAAAAAAAAAAAAAGATGTTGTAGAAAAGTATTTAATGGCCCATAAATATATGTTCATGGAATATTTAAGTGAGTAAATCAGGTTATAAGATGACCTCTCGCTTAACAATAAAACAAGTCATCAATAAAAGGGAATGAACTACTATAAACAGAACATGGATTAATCTCAAAAGCATTATGCTAAATGAAATAAAACAGAAATGACTACACATTGTATGATTTCATTTATATAACATTTCTGGAAAAGGCAAAACTACAGAGACAGAAAGATTAGTCATGCTGGGGGTTGGAGTGGGTGTGGGATTGACTAATGGTGTGGGGAACCTTTTTTCAGTAATGGAAATCCAGTTCTAAAACTGATCATGGTGATGGGTGCACAAGTATATAAATTTACTTAAAACACTGAGTATATACTTAAAATGGGTAAATTTTAGGGTATTTAAATTTTATAAAGAGACATGACAAAACACAACACAACACAGACAAGTGGACACAAAATACAATACACATAGGTAAGTGAACACAATCATTTTACTTTTTCTATGTTTTGTGAGACAGGCTCTTGCTCTGTCAGCCAGGCTGGAGTACAGTGGCATGATTATGGCTCACTGCAGCCGTGAACTCCTGGGCTCAAGTGATCCTCCCACCTCAGCCTCCCGAGTAGCTGAGCCTACAGACACATGCCACCACATCCAGATAATTTTAAAATTTTTTGTAGAGATGGGGTCTCCCTATGTTGCCCAAGCTGGTCTTGAACTCTTGGGCTCAAGTGATCCTCCTGCCTGGGCCTTCCAAAGTGCTGGGATTACAAGCGTGAGCCACTGCACCCAGCCACCATATCCACTGCAATGATCTGCGCTAAGATGCTGATGGTGGCTGTTTATTTCTAGAGGGTGATGGTTAGGGGATTTTTATTCTCAGTCCTTATCATCTGGGAACTGGTCTGACAATTATAGCTAGGCCTCAGTGTTATAAGAAATTCACCAGTTGTGCATAGCTAGGCCATATTATTCTCCTGTTCAACACAAATGATCTCACTGAACACCAACATCAGACAGTCACACTGAAAACATAAAAGGAGACCAAAACAAGACCATGTCATAATTTTGTCAAAGCACAAAGACAAGGTCACTGTGAAACACACAAAATATCAAACATCCCCTTCTCTAGGCAGATATGAGGGACTGCTATTTCTTTACTAATTACAACTTTATCCTTGCTCAGGTGTATCTCCCTAAAGATAAGATTTCTTTTTTTTTTTTTTGAGACGGAGTCTCGCTCTGTCGCCCAGGCTGGAGTGCAGTGGTGTGATCTCGGCTCACTGCAAGCTCCACCTCCTGGGTTCATGCCATTCTCCTGCCTCAGCCTCTCGAGTAGCTGGGACTACAGGTGCCCGCCACCATGCCAGGCTAATTTTTTGTATATTTAGTAGAGACGGGGTTTCACCATGTTGGCCAGGATGGTCTCGATCTCTTGACCTCATGATCCACCTGCCTCGGCCTCCCAAAGTGTTGGGATTACAGGCGTGAGCCACCGCGCCCGGCAAGATAAGATTTCTTAAGATACCCAATCACAAAACTGTCCCCACTTACTGACAGCACTCAATCCAGAGCAAATCCTCACTTCCTGAGACCCTTCCCCAAATTATTCTACCAAAGCCCAAATTCATTATATAACAGGTCCTTCCTAGCACCCTCTGAGATGCCCAGTGTTTCCCCCGGTAATAAACCCAAATTGTTATCTGAAGGTGTGTTCCTGGTGGTCTCTGGCTGGAGGATGCTGATAGAATTGCAGGTTCATGGAATTTCAACTGAGACTCTCACTACCTTTGACTGGAACCTTTGACTCAGAAACAGTGCATGCATCTGAGACCCACTTGTGTCTCTACCTGGATGAGGTGCCACTCACCCTTGGCTGGGAACTACGTTCATGCTGAATTGAACTCCAGGATTTCACTGAAGATTTTACTGTTGCATTTATCTTATTTTCTTAAGAATAGGTCCCATTTTGGACATTTGGTTTTTTGATCAGAATTCTATTGTTCTTTGGTGAAAATGTTTTCTAGTAACTAACATCTGCTGGCCTAATGCCCTATCTATCTGCTTGTGTACTATCTTGAATGTTGTTTGTCCACTGGGAGAGGATGGGAATAGGTCCCATAAATTTGTCCTTGAGCTAGCCCTAAGGGTGAAGTGGTAAAGTGGTCAGTCAGTTACTTCTTGGAGACACGCTGTGCCCGAGTCACCATTGCAAAATCTCATAATGACTTCTCCCTCAGTCTTGTTCTTGTGTTCCTGAGAACTGCTTTTATGTTAGTTTTGTCTACCGATAAGCAGGAGGCTTTGTCTGGCTCCTGATCAATGATGACTTGACTTTGATCAAGCACCAAGATGCAAAATTCCACAAGCAGCAACCCATGGATATGTTGCGGCTCATGTCTTGGTCTTTTCAATCTAAAACTGCCTCCTCCACCACAAGCACAGGCTTTCTTTATGTTTTCTAATTACAGCCCTAACTCCTGTGCATATCTTTTTAAGTGCCACAAATTTCCAAAGACAATTTGGAATGACAGTGATCCCTTTGGGGAACTTTTGATAGGAACAAAATTGTTCATTTGAGAGGTTCCTTAGAACAAAAAGGATAAAACAATTCTGATTATCCAATGGTATGATTTCTTTAATTGTATAAAGAGGTTTCTAACATAAATCGGACTCAAAAATTGTCTCCCTTAAAGATTCAAAATGTGAGAAACTTAAAAACTGTCTCCCCTGTAGATCCACTGAAAACACATTTCAGTTTTTCCCATCTTTCCTCACCTCCTTCGTCTTTACGTTTAAAATCTTGCTCAACTCATGAAGTCCTTATAATTGCCTTCTCCTCCTCCTCTCTCTTTCCCCTCCTACTTTAAATCAGTTGCACTACCTCATTGTCACTTAAAATTGCAACCCCTATGAAAGAGGCATCTGACACTGACTGGTAGCTAGTATTTAAGCTATGTGGTTGTGTTTAGCTCTGCATGCTATTATTAAGGACTTCCCGAATTCCAGAATGGAAAGACAGGAATTAATATAGAATTCAGACTTATCTTGGGTACACTCAACCCAGGCCTCTCTGACTTCTTCCAACTAAGCCACCTGTTGGAGGGGGCCAGGAGTTGCAAAAGCTTGGTTTAAAAAGGGTAACTAAAAGAGTAACTGGAAAGACCCAGAAGATGACTTAAGACACAATGAAATACACTTGTACTCAATCAGGATGTCTTAAAGCATATAAAGTAGGGCAGAATCTGTTGGGAGCTACACCACATCTCTTTCCTGCTAAAGTAAACTGGACCTTGATTCAGTCTTGCAAGCAGCAAAGAATGAACCAAAGGAAACTTCAGAGTCAGACCCATCCAAATCCTTACCCAGGTTTTAGGATTAGTTCCTGATTTCCAAAGCCCTTTCCACTTTTTTGGTTGATGCTTAAAGTCAGAAACTGTAGATATGGTACATAAACAAAAAACTGGCTGGCAAATCCTCCCACTACGTGAACTTCAATATTTGGCTGAACAAGTTTAATTTTAAAGTGGCTTTAGATATCAAAAAGGATAAAAATCCAAACTAAGCTCATGGGTTTACAATGAAAGCGAAATAAAACAGATTCGCTTTTCCTCAAGGAATGAAAAACACTTCCTTTTGACAGAGACACTTATACTGTAAAAAAGGGGACCCTGGAAAAATAAGTCTCATCTTAGCTAAAAAGAAAAAGGAACCACTGCTCCTCCTGAGGAATTAAGAAGCAACTCTGAGGGAGATGGTAGGGCCCAATTCCCAATGAGTCCCTCAAATCAACAAGGAGTACTATGTTTTAAAGTAGAAGGCAATAAACAAGGCTTTGTGAGAGACACAGGCAATACTCTGTCAACTATAAATCCTACTGTAATTTCCACCTATTTCCTGTAGGCATAAAGTTGCTTGGGTGGTGGGAATTTCAAATAATCCTCAAATTCTTCTTATCACTCAAGCTTACACTGAGACTCGTGGTTTGCTCAACTAAACAACATGCATTTCTTCTCTGTGACACCACATCAGTAAATTTAATTAGGAGAGATCTTTTTTTTAGAAGAAATCTTTTACGTCAACGAAACTGCCAAGTCACATGCATTTCAGATGACCTATTTCTAGAAACATCTGAAGACTTTCCCATGCATGCATGATCTTTCAGGAGCTCAATTACATGTCACTTTGCCCCTCCCTATATGCTTGGCCTAATCCCAGTTCGATGATTATGTGAAGTCCTGGTTTTGTCCAGGCTAACAGTCCCAATGATGTGGAGGGTTCTAGGGGCTGAAATTCAAGCAGGCAGTCAGGCCTGCTTTGATGCCTAGATTAGGAATAATTGGTGAAGAGTGCTGAATTACAGTGTAAGTTTAGACCTATAACTTAATTTCCACCTGTACAGTGGTATTAAACATGAGTTTTTATCTTAAAAAGACCACGCAGGTCATAATATGTGGATACTGGGGGGCTGAGTCACGAGAAGGGATTAAGATGGTAACATCAACACCCACATTAGTCTGGGCACATTATTCAAAGCAGGGAAGTGTCTTTCCTTTTGGTAGGGGTGACCATGTGGATGAAGTACTACCATTCAGAGTACAGGACAGAGAGGTTGCTGAGTATAGATGCCAAATGTTGGACCCTATATCTGAGGACATCTGAGTCCCGAATGATGTTCAAAAAGAGGCTTCGACAAATTCTAGTTAGTAGTAACTGGTCAAAAAAGGACTCTGCCACGTACCTGCCCAGATCTCTGAGGTTACATGAGGGGCCAGTGGAGCAGCCATTACCATCAGGGCACACAAAGCATCCTCAAACTCGGGGCTGTGGAGAATGACGCTCTGAGAGGCTTGCTAAGGAAGAGGAAAAAAAAGTAAGAAGACTGAGGTGTAAAAATAAGCACGGGTAAGAAAGACCATTAATGTATCTGAAGTCCAGAGACACAAGCTGGTAGGAAGAAACCCCCTTTGCCATCCATTTCTGCTTGGGACAATGAACTTCCCCTACTTAATGATAGCACTGAGATAAACTACAGCAAGCCAGGTGTGGTAGCTGACACTTATACTCCCACTACTTTGGGAGGCCAAGAATTTGAGACCAGCCTGGGCACTATAGTGAGACCTCATCTCTATGAAAAATTAAAAAATAAAAAAAAATTAGCCAGGCACAGTTGCACACACCTATAGTCCCAGTTACTTAGGAGGCTGAAGTGGGAGGATCACTTAAGACCAGGAGGTCAAGGCTGCAGTGAGCTATGACTGCACCACTGCACTGAAGCTTGGGCAACAGTGAGACCCTATCTTTAAAAAAAAAAAAAAGCTCCAGCAGCAGCAACAACAAATACATGATGTTAACTTATTTAGTCCTCACCACTCTTTGAGGGTGGTATTCTTACCCCATTGGACAGATGAAGCAGCTAAGGATCAGCAAGGGAGGGCAATCTGCCCCCAGGCACACTGTAGCCAAACTCTTACCCACTCTGCTAGGTTTCCTCTGTGCTGCAGGTCCACAGAGAAATGCACTGAGACCTGCTCAAAGGTGTTAAACTGTGAAACACCTAGGGCAGGGGGGCCTCTATACCCTACTTAGGGACCCCTATTCTCTGAAATACCTTTGGTCAATTCCGGCAAACATAGTTGTGTTTAGCTCTGTGTGTTATTATTAAGGACTTCCCAAATTCCGGAATGGAAAGACAGAAATTCATTACAGTTTCATTTCAGTGTCTTGCTTTATTTTTTCTGATTAAAAAACTAACACACACTCAGCACAGAATATACAGGAAATGAAAAACTACTCATAATTATACAACCTAGAAAAAAAGGTATATTTTATCCTTGTCTCCAAAAATGCAAAAATGTGTATATAAATGCTTATTACACATGTAACATTTTCAGGATTGGTATTCTTGCCATATGAACACTTCCTTTTTTTTAATTTTAAAAATTAATTTTTTTTTTAAATAGAGATGGGGTATCTCACTATATTGCTCAGGCTGGTCTCGAAATCCTGGGCTCAAGCCATCTGCCTGCCCTGGCCTCCCAAAATGCTAGGATTACATGTGTGAACCACTGCACCCAGCTCATATGAACACTTTTGTATCTTTTTTTTTTGAGACAGAGTCTCTCTCTGTTGCCCAGGCTGGAGTGCAGTGGTGTGATCTCAGCTCACTGCAACCTCTGCCTACAGGTTTAAGCAATCCTCCTGCCTCAGCCTCCTGAGTGCCTGGGACTACAGGTGCACAGGTGTGCACCACCACACCCTGGCTGATTTTTTGTATTTTTAGTAGAGACAGGGTTTCACCATGTTGAGCAGGTTGGTGTTGAACTCCTGACCTCAAGCGATCTATCTGCCTTGACCTCCCGCAGTGCTGGGATTACAGGCGTGAGCCACTGTGCCTGGCCTTGTGTCATGTGTTTTTACTTAACATTATATCATAAACAGTTTCTGATATTAAGTATTCTTCAAGACATGAGGTTAATGGTGGTGGCACATTCCTTTCTTATTGATATGACATAAGTCATTTCACAATTCCCCCATCAGAGGACACTGGGGTTCCGAGTCTCTGTGATTATAAATTATCTGCAGTGAACACTCCTGGATCAGAGGATATAACACAATCAACCTGATAGCCGAAGTGCTTCCTGGCAAGGTTACACCAACCACACCTATCACTGGCGTGTAAAAGTCTATTCTGCCATCTTTGCAATAGCATGGGGAATAATTATGCCTTTATTTTTATTTTTTTGAGAGAGAGTCTCGCTTTGTCACCCAGGCTAGAGTACAGTGGCACCAAACAGCTCACTGCAACCTCAAATTCCTGGGCTCAAGGGATCCTCCCGCCTCAGCCTCCTGAGTAGCTAGAACTACAGGTGCATGCCACCACACTTGGCTAATTTTTAAATTTTTTACAGATGAAGTCTTGTTATGTTGCCCAGGCTGGTCTCAAACTCCTGAGCTCAATCGATCCTGCTGCCTCGGCCTCCCAAAGTGCTGGAATTACAGGCATGAGCCACTGTGCCTGGCCCTGAATAGTTACGTTAAAGTATTCTCAGCAAATTTGACAGGTATTTAAAAAAAAACAAAAACAAAAACAAAAGCATCTTGTTTTAAATTTGCCTTTCATGATAATTAGAGAGGCAGACTTTTTTTTCTCCACAAATGTATTGGCTATTTCTATAACATTTTCTATGAGTTATTATCTTTTCATATGCTTTGACCATTTTTGGTTAGGTATTTTCATATTAATATGTAAGAGTGCTTTACAAGGATATTAACCTTCTGTCTGACATGTTATAAATTTTTTTAACATACTGAAAATGTCAAGTTTTATGTAGTCAAATTTGAAATTTCTTCCATTGTTCTTTTTTATCTTTATTTTACTTTTTAAAAATTACCCTTTTAATTTTATTTTTAGAGACAGAGTCTCCTGCTCTGTTGCCCAGGATGGGTTCAAGCGATCCTCTCGCCTCAGCTTCCCGAGTAGCTACAGCTACAGCTGTATGCCACCATGCCAGGCTAATTATTTTATTTTTTTACTTTGTTTTTGAGGCGGAGTCTTGCTTTGTCGCCCAGGCTGAAGTGCAGTGGCGTGATCTTGGCTCACTGCATGCTCCGCCACCTGGGTTCACACCATTCTCCTGCCTCAGCCTCCTGAGTAGCTGGGACTACTGGTGCCTGCCACCACGCCTGGCTAATTTTTTGTATTTTTTAGTAGAGATGGGGTTTCACTGTGTTAGCCAGGATGGTCTTGATCTCCTGACCTCGTGATCCGCCTGCCTCAGCCTCCCAAAGTGCTGGGATTACAGGTGTGAGCCACCATGCCTGGCCTAATTATTTTATTTTCTACGCGGCCCAGGCAGGTCTTGAACTCCTGGCCTCAAGTGATCCTCTCAGCTTGGTCTTCCAAAGCGTTGAGATTACAGGCATGAGCCACTGTGCCTGGCCCCCACTGATCTTAAAAGCTTGGAGAGGACTTCATTTTTAAAAAGCATTTGTTAATAGCTTTAATGAATGCTTTTGTTGTCCAGTAGCTAAGAACATTTGTTGACAAATCCTTTCCCTGGCAAGAAAAATGGTAGTCACACTTAGCAAGAAGGAAGTCCATACTGAAAAGGCTGACTTTTGGCATTGGTGAGAACGATCCTGATCCATCCAGGTTAAATGAATATCAAATGTAATGATGCCGAGGAGGTATCACAATTCATTCATGAAATCAGACAGCGGGGGTGCAAAGAGCCAGAAGACAGGGAGGCCTGAGTCTGGTCCTAGATTTGTCACTAATCAACCAGACATGTCATCTAACTTCCCTGGGCCTCAATGTCCTCATCTGTAAAATATTGGGGGAGAAGGGGGTTTGGACCAGAAAATCTTTAAGAACATTCCAGCATAAAACTAGGTTGTGACTATGGAAAAATGTTTCCTTAAGATAATCAAGCCACACTGAGGCGGTGACACAGTGGGGGTGCTCTCTGTCCCTCTTGGGACCCTGTGGGGCCCCTTGCCACACCTCTCCCTCCCTCCTCTGCTACCAGCAAATGAGGACAGGCCACTTACCGAGAGGGCATTGCTGAGTCCCATCAGCTGAGAAATTGCAGAATTCAGTGAGAAGTCCTCTGTGAAATGGGTGGTCACCTATTAGTAAAGGTTCAATTATTTACTTATTTCAAAATTCTTTTAAGCTTTCCACAAAAAGACTGAATTATCAAAACAAAAAAAAAGGAAAATGAATGGGATGCAAAGATATTTATAAATATATCTACTATCTCAAATAATCGCTATGTTTCATCTACACAAATATTTTAAAATTCAAAGTCAACACTGTTTCCACTGTTTAAGACTATTCTTCCACATATCTGGGATACTGTTGGTTCTCATAGTAGGTGCTTAGAAAAACAGTGCTAGTGGCTGGGCACAGTGGCTCACACCTGTAATCCTAGCACTTTGGAAGGCCGAGGTGGGTGGATTACTTGAGGTCAAGAGTTCGAGACCAGCCTGGCCAATGTGGCAAAACCCCATTTCTACAAAAATACAAAAAATTAGCCGGGTGTGGTGGCGCATACCTGTAATCCCAGCTACTTGGGAGGCTGAGGCAGGAGAATCTCTTGAACCTGGGAGGTGGAGCCTGCAGTGAGCTGAGATTGCGCCATTGCACTCCAGCCTGGGCAACAGAGTGAGACTTTGTCAAAAAAAAAAGCAATGCTAGTAACATGAATAGGACGCAGGACCCACTGATGGGTAAACTCAACATAACAGAAAACAGGAATAAAGGATGCCACTTCTGCTTGGTTATGTGACTTTGCTTCACAGTGACGGTTTTTAGAATATGGGATAAGGTTAATTTTACTTTTTTTTTTTTTTTTGAGACGGAGACTCGCTTTGTCACCCAAGTTGGAGTGCAGTGGTGCGATCTCAGCTCACTGCAACCTCTGCCTCCCAGGTTCAAGTGATTCTCCTGCTTCAGCCTCCCGAGTAGCTGGGATTACAGGCGCGTGCCACCACGCCAGGCTAATTTTTTGTGTTTTTAGTAGAAACGGGGTTTCACCATGTTAGCCAGGATGGTCTCAATCTCTTGATCTTGTGATCTGCCCGCCTTGGCCTCCCAAAGTGCTGGGATTATAGGTGTGAGCCACTGCGCCTTGTCAATTTTACATTTTGAAATGTACAGTCAACATAAGAACATTAACACAGCTTGTCAGCTTTTTCATGTTTCTGTGCTTTTCCATTTTGACTATAGGCAAGAATACAGAAAAGTAACACATCTTTAAGGATGTCAAGAGTTTCCAACTTGTTGAAATAACCTAATTCTTTTATCTGACAGAATAGAAGAATTTGCCAAATCCAGGGAGAAAATATGTGGTATGAACTCAATCGCTCAGGCATCACTCAGACCCCTACATTCATTCAGGGAGCTCTGTTCCTCCACATAGAGAGGGTACAGAGGCCAGAAATAAAGCTGAAGAAGTGTCAACAAATAAGACCATGCTGGACCCAGGGCCACTTCAGGTTATACAAACCAGAGAGGCAAAAACCTGCCATGCATCATTGTGTTCATTATCAGAGTGCAGATGAGCGACACTGATTAACTTTATGTCTGAATCAGCATAACTTTTTTTTTTTTAAATCAGCTTAAGAAGAATTTGGGATATCAGATACCCATTACAATGACTTCAGATTTGCAGAAATTAACCCACAATAGTTCACATGGATATTGTGTAACAAAGTAACTGAGTGGGAAAGTCCTCACTATGTGGAGGACTGGGATTCTAATCTCTGCTCAGTTCCTCACTAGCCGTGTGACGTTAGGCAAGATATCTGGACATCATCTCTGTCCCCATCTGTACAATGAGGAGGCTACAGAGGATAGTTTCTTAATGCCCCTTCCAACTCTAAAATTGTATTTCTGTTAATGTAACATATGCGGTGTCATCCTGGATGACAGGGTGATCCTGGATTTGGTTCTCTGCTTGGATGTGTTAAATGTGGAAACATGGAAAGTGGCAGCTTCCTGAGACCCAGGATGGACAAATGTGAGACATCATCAGAGAGCCATTTCCTGGGGGCATCTCTTTCCATTAGAACATATGCACTGTTGATCCACCTTGGTAAAGTACCCAAAACAGTAGGGCCAATCAATCAAAGCAAGAAGGACCGCCATTGCCAGGAAGGAAGACCCACAGTGGCCCAACCCAAGGCAGGGAGGGCAGCAAAGACCACAGGCAAAGGTTCCCAAAGAGTGCTTGGTTACAGAGTTAACCCCTGGAATTGGAGAGTTTCTGACCTGAGAGATGACGGAGTTCTTGTACTCCCAGAGCTTCCTGGCCTCAGCTTTCTCCTTGTTACTCAGCAGCTGAGGCTGGGGAGACTTCCCAGAAGCCCTGGCCTCAATAAACCGAGTTGTCAAGGTCCACAGTCGTTGTTGCCATCTCAGCACCCCAGGGAGAGCATCAGCTGAATTCAGCATCAGTAAATGAGAAAGAGAGAGCGTGCAACATAAGGGTGATTGACTTGGTATAACTAAGCAGAGAAAAACACCTGTGAATTGATGTGACACTTCACTGCACCCTGATGGATTCCTCTGAGGGCAGGCTGAAGGATCCTCCCTGGCCTTCAGTGTCTGAGAATTCAGACCAGGACCAATTCTATCTCATTTTAGTGCCCAGATTCAGAGCACTGGATGGCAGGGCCACTCAAAGTGCCACCCACCAACGGTCATGAGCTCAGAAGCTTGGTCAAGATGAGCCCTGGTGCCCCGCCGCCTTGATTAAGCAAGCTTGCTGGGACAAAAATGCCATGGAGTTAACATGGTGCTTTGGAGACAGTGCTGACTCCTGCTGGTGCAAGCTCTTACCTTGTGGATAGCATGACTGTGCTTGCAGCCACACTGCTGTAGAGTGTGAAGTGCATTGGCACAATCCCTGTCCTTGCAGGTATGTGTGTTTTCCATATTTTACACAAGCTCATCCAATCCAGCTGCTGGTCTGATCTTCTGGTAAAGCTGAATGGCTTTACCTGGTGGCCCTGGGTTATACCAGTAGCCAAATTAGGGTCAGTCCAGGTCCTTGTACTGTCTGGCCACTAGGCTAGGCATTCTCAAGCCTGAATGCACAGCAGAACCTTCTGGGAGGCTTCTTAGAAAGATTCCTGGAGCCTGTCCCCTGGGTTAGGGGTGGGAGCCAGAACCTCCACCTGTCTGTGCTTTGCAAGCCCCCCAGTGATTCTGAGGCAGCTAGTTCTAGGACTGGCATCTGTGACCACTGTTCCAGACCACACTTCCCACTAGCCACAGCTAGTTGGAAATCAAAATAAACAGTGATTTCTCAAATGACATGGATACTTCACACAAGGCTCAAGTTTCCAGGCATCTGACTTCCTCTTCCCACAACAACACTTAGGGCTGATCACATGAAGTAAAAATGAATGACTGTTGGACGGGTTTATTCTAGAATAGCCAGATACTCAAGATTATTTTACTTCATGTCATTTTAGTACTAAACAACTCTGGAGAGACAAATCTCCCCTAAGTGGGGAGATGAAGGGTGCTGTGGGTGACTAAGAGGCCATAGGTAACAACAGGCCCAGACCCCTCCCGGGGCTTTCTGGATTGGTGAGGGAGAATGACACTGTTCTAGAAAAAACCTTGCAGGGTACATCAAGAAAGAGGGAACTGGCCTCTTTGGACTATAGCAGGCCTAGGAGTAGCTCAGAAGCCAGTCTGTCTCCAAGGAAACCACTCTCAAAGCATGGTCCTCGTAGAGTGTGCACTGGAATCACCGCTGAGCTTGTTCAAAGGCCACCTCCTGAGCCCCATTCTGGAGGCTGTGTCAGCAGGCATGGGCGGAGCACTGGAATCTGCATCTGCAACATGTTTCCCAAATGATTCTGAGGCTCGCTTATGTTTGTCAACACCCGTCTAAGAGTGGTGCAGGATGCTGGTCAAGCTGCTACTTGCTCTATGGAACTGATTCCTAGAATTCTCTACCACTGTCTTCAGCAAAGACATTTCCTTCCTCAAACTCCTTCAAAGTCCAGGGCAGATCACAAAGGAAGCAAGTCAGGAAGAGGAAGGTGACTTACTTTTCACATCCCACAAGATATCCTTCTCAGGAGGGGCAGCAAAAAGGATGTAGAGCCGAATCGTGTCGATCCCATACTGCTCCACAACTTCCTCTGGGTCCACCCCGTTGTGTTTGGACTTACTCATCTTCTCCCACGTCACCTCTAACTTCTCTTTCGTTTTTGCATGAACAGGAACGGAACCTAGATGCCAAAATAATCCATAGGTATGGTATGTGTCATTGTGAATTGCTTCTATAGAAATAGCATCAATAAGTAAAAACTGGGTGAGCGATGGAAAGTGTCCATTTGAAGAATCACACTAATTCACTTAACAAGCCGCTTTCTCTCCCTCTGTATTGTTATAAAAATATTTTTATTTTTAAATGAATGAGGCCCACCTTCCTCCCACAAACCTTCGCGAATAAACAGGACAGTTATAATGGCCTGTGCCAGCTTTTTCTATAAAACAAAACAATTTCCCCCTTTACAAGTGAATTATTTATACACAAAAAAGGAAAGTAAAAAAGAATTTTGAAAAACTCGCACACGTTGCCATTTTCTTGATGAATTAAGGGTCTCTTATGGAAGTTGGCAGCCTGACCTGTCCCATCCATGTTGCAGTCACCAAAACATGATCTCATACTCTCAGGGCACATGGAATTCACTTACCGGGCTCATGGTAAATGTGTTGGTCCCTTTGTGGTGCCAGCCACCCACACCCTATTCTTTGGAACTGTCTCCTCCCCTACTCACATACCACTGGTCTAGATGGTGCTGATGGAAGGGGTCTTAAATGGCCGCATTTGGATGAGGTGACCTTGTTGCCAAGCCCTACTGGAGAGGACTAGTAAGAGCACCTGGCAAGGCTAAGCCTCTATCTCACAAATTGGAGCTAAGAGATACAGAAACTCAGTTTCCATGTTGCTGAGCACTGGGACCATCAGGTCCTAAGGAGATGGGGCAAGACTTGCCACTGCAGCTACCCAAGGTCACTTGGTAAATTGAAATTGGGGAGAGGAGAATCCAAGTCTGGCAGATGAAGGAGAACAGGGCAGAAGAACAGAGAGAAGCAGGAAGAAGAACTAAGAACGAGAGAGCTGAGAAAGAGAGAAGAAAAAAGGAGTGGCTGGTGACTTCCTATGAGCAGTGGGGCCTAGCTCTATTTTCTGCAACTGGGTTTGGGTGGATTTCTTTTCCTTCCAGCCAAATAATCTCTGATTCCAACAGCAACCAAGCTAACAGGGGACCGATGTACAGACCTAAAAGCCAACTCCATACTTCATGAGAGTTACATCCATGAAGGAGACAGAAACCTGCCCTTGCTGATCAAAGTATTCTCACCCAGTAGGCAAGACTACGTGGGAAGGGAAAAGATGTTCACAATACTGCCTGACCCCATGACAGCAGAGAAGGGGAGACTGAAGTCCTAGATGTTTATCCACGCTGTGGTGAGACTCAGGGAACCACTGGCCCCTTTACCCTGCCCCAGGCTGTGTCTAGACCTTAAAACACTGTTATGCAAATTAGGAAAAAATGTATCTTTCTGGGCAGAAAAGTTGAGAAGTTAGAAAAAGTCACCCTCGTTTGGCAGATGTTGCCCTGAAATGTATGGCTTGAGAAACGGCTGCATTTCAGGCCCTACTGAAATCACAGCCTTGGCTTGGTTCTTTTGTGTAGCGCACAAACTGCACAGCTATACATGGGCAGCCTTGCCTGTTACAGAGAACACTTCACTAACTGTGAGGCTGAATTCTATGTGCACCTGAATTTAGCTCTTTCCCTCTGTCATCCATGCTGGAGAGACACTGCCAGTTCTGCTTCTCCAGCTTCTTTTTCTCCCACGGACCGTTATAAACCTTGATATATTTTGCTTTGATGAGGTAATTGCATCGACTGCTTCCCTAAACCCTGTCTCTAATGTTTGGCTGGAGAGGCTGCCTACCATTTACAGGGTTGTCGTGTGACCTAATCTCATCCATTATGCACTAGTTTTTCTAAATGTAATGGTCACAGTGCTGGGGGTTTCTCACAGCTGTCCCTATGTATACTGCATGTCTCCAACTGTTTTCTTTCTTTCTTTTTTTTTTTTGAGACAGAGTCTTGCTCTGTTGCCCAGGCTGGAGTGCAGTGGCATGATCTTGGCTCACTGCAACCTCCACCTCCTGGGTTCAAGTGATTCTCCTGCCTCAGCCTCCTGAGTAGCTGGGATTACAGGTGCATGCCTCCACGCCTGGCTCATTTTTGTATTTTTAGTAGAGACGGGGTTTCACCATGTTGGCCAGGATGGTCTTGAACTCCTGACCTCAGGTGATCCACCTGCCTTGGCCTCCCAAAGTGCTGGGATTACAGGCGTGAGCTACCACACCTTGCCCCTACCCATTTTCTAACATGTCATATATTCCACGTGTGTGCTGGGTGCACGTGATACATCCTCACCATGGCACCTGAAGATCTTGTGATCCTCAGGGTGAAAATGAAGGGTGAAATGTAAAGGGTAAAGGGTGAAAATGCAGAGTGGAAGGAAAAGGCTTGGGAGAGCTGGGACAGGAGGGAAGTTCGGGGAATCAGGGGGAGGTGTTTTACTGGGAAATGCTAAGAGGGGGCTGCTCTGGGGTGCTACGAGTAAACCGAGTGCTGCCCCCCAAGGTTCTGAAATGTGCCACTAGAACATGTTGGGAGAAACACTGGGAGTACCCCAGTTCTGGAAGAATGTGTCTTGGGCCTGGGGGCTCTATCCCTGAGGTGGGCTTTCAAAGATGGTCTGGGATAGGAGGTCATGCCTGAGTTGACTCTGTTACATACAAATGAAAACCCTGCCAGAAGCTGAGGTGGCACTTTGGCTGAAGGGGGCTGCAGCAGAGGAGCAGACGGCCAGTCCAGGACCAGGCTTCAGGGGGCGCAGGCCCAGAGGGAGCTGAGGCTTAGAGACCTCACAGCCAGCGGGTCTCTCTCCTGCATCCTCCCCACTCTAGAGGCAGATGCCTGCTTGCTCAGTAGCTCTCAGGCCTGGCCTTGGCTCTCTGGGAGTACCTGGATGGGACCAGATGGGCCATTCTTACCTGTGAGATCCACTTCCTCTCTCTGTAGATACTGTCCAGATGGTAGGCGGAATGTCTGCCCCTTGATAAGGCCTTGGGCCAGCAGCTTATGAAAAGGCTCCCTGAGGAAAGATGACAGGAAAAGAAAACAGGAGGAGTGGGACATGAGGCATTGAGAAAACAGCAACGCAGACCTTCCCTCGGATGGGCAGAAGTAGCTGCCCCTCATAAAAGCAGGCGGGCTGACCAAGGCCACTTATAAACCCAGCTTAAACAAATGGCTCCTTAGAAATAAGTGATAAGAAAATAAATTCAGGCTGGGCGTGATCCACCTGCCTCGGCCCCCCAAAGTACTGGGATTACAGGTGTGAGCCACCCCACCTGGCCTAAAAAAAGTTTTAAACCATACAAGTCATATATGACTATAAACCTTCTGTTCAAATCCAAACACTACCACTCCTTTCTAGGCCTATGTCCCTTTCAGGAGGCAGTTCTTATTAATAGTTTGGTATATATCCCTGGAAAAGTCTGGAGACATTTTTCAATGCCTTTGTATACATAAATGTGTACCTATCCACATATGGTTTTTATAGATTTTTGGGGATTTATATAAGTGGGATTATACCTTATGTATACTTTATGGTATTTCACTTAATGATATGAATGGATTTCTCCATGGCAGTTCATATAGATCTATCTCACTTTTTAAAAAGTTACCTAGTGTTCTGAAATATGAATTGATTATAACTTATTTATAGTACCTGTTTTAAAAAGTAGTTTTAGTTATACCCTTACTGGGTAAATAGTGACATATAAACTTTTTCTCATAAGAGGATAAGAACAGGTTGACCTTCATACTGAAATTATTGCAAATTTGCAGTTGTTTATTCTTAAGAATCTGCCTGATTCAATTTTGAGGCATTTCAGCAAGACCTATTCCAAACTCAAAGAATGATTCATGGCGATATCTGCTGATAACACACGTTAAGTATTTCGTGTTCAGGGTATCAGGTAGGAGCACTCATTTCCTGGAGATCCAGTGATGTTCCCCACAAACATCACCAGTACATGGCTTTGGTTGCTCAAGGTAAATTTTTAAAGGTGTTTTTAGGGCAAAAGTTAGGAGAGAATGATCTGGATTCAAAGATAAAGATAGGTAGGATGATCAAAATCAGCAGCATTGGCCAGGCGCGGTGGCTCACGCTTGTAATCCTAGCGCTTTGGGAGGCCGAGGCAGGTGGATTGCCTGAGCTCAAAGTTTGAGACTGGCCTGGGCAACATGGTGAAACCCCGTCTCTACTAAAATACAAAAAGTTGGCCAGGTGTGGGGGCGCGCACCTGTAGTCCCCGCTGCTTGGGAGGCTGAGGCAGGGGTTGCTTGAGCCCAGGAAGCGGAGGTTGCAGTGGGCCGAGATCACGCCACTGCACCCCAGCCTGGGAGACAGAGCGAGACTCTGTCTCCAAAAAAAAAAAAAAAAAAAAAAATCAGCAGCATTAAGCCTCAAGAAGGGGCTGGGAATCCAAGGAATCCTATTCTTAGGTCTTGTATTTTATCAAGTGGCACAACACTGCCACCTTCCGAGAACGGACAGAATTGCAACCTGCGAAAAACTGACTAACCCCAGCTGTTCAGCCTAAGGCTGCAACTTTTGCCTCGTCTTTTATAACTTTTTTTTTTTTAAGGTAAACTGTTGAGGTATAGCACACATATTGAAAAGTGTAAGTCCTAGCGGTATAATGATGAATCTTCACAATATAAAACACACTTGTGTAACTGGCATTCAGCCCAATTAGCAGAACGTGAAATCAACCTTCCATCCGCTTCTAGGCACTGTCTCCTCACTATGGGCCCCTATAGCCTGACTGCTAACACTATTATTTCATCTGCCTGTTTCTAACCCGCTTGTAGCCATTTCTTAGTGAGAGCTCTCAGGGGATGTCCACATGGGAGGCTTTCCCCAGAACTGGCAGGCAGGTCCTCAGCAGTGCACCCACACCAAGACCTGCTAGTTACATGAATATATCCTAATGTCTGAAAGCTTCCAACAATGAAACTTGACAGTTGAAGCTCTTCTGGACTGTCTTCTCTGAGGGTTGCAGTGCAGCAGGGGCCATCTCAGATGGATCATCTAGAGCAGGGATGGCAAAACCTAGCCAACTATCCCCAGTGCCCTTGCCTACAACCACCCAGACACCATTCATCGACAGCAGCACTCCTGGTGCTCAGAACGAGTCTCTGAATTCTTCTTCGTACCATATAATCAGAAAGCACAGAGTTATTATGTGAAATGTATCACTTATTTCTTTGGTATTTCTTGAGTGCTTGCTATGTGCCTGGCACTGAGCTAGGCACTGGGGATATAATGTTGGGCAAAGCAATCTCTGCCCTTGGGGAGCCAGCCTGTTTACGATCACTGAACCAAACCAATGCCTGACAACTCTCAGAGCTGTGAGGGAGGAAAAGAAAGAGTGCAGTCATATTTGAAGAGCTCCTCCTCCCAATCAAGTCCAAATTCCTCCGCATAGCCATCCAGGACTTCTCCCTGTCCCCTGCCACTCCCTCTGCTCTTTCAAATGTTGCCTGCATGTGCTTCCACGTCTTTACTCACGCCATTTCCCAAACTGTTATCAAAACTCTAGTCCTCCTTCCTGGCTCAACTCAAATGCCATCTCCACTGAGAAGGTATCTCCTGGTCAGAATTAGAATTAGTTGTTTTTTCCTTCCTGATGCATCCTGTGTAGTGCCTGTAATTGTATCTAGCAGCTATTACATTTTATTGTGTATTTAGGTAAGCTGCTTGCCTGTCTTTCTCCTGTGAGGAGTAGGAGGATGATTTTTTTTTGAGACAGGGTCTTGTTCTGTCACCCAGGCTGGGGTGCAGTGGCACAATCACAGCTCACTGCAGCCTCAGTCTCCTGGGCTCAAGTGATATTCCCACCTTACCCCTGCAAGCAGCTGGGACCACAGGCGCGCACTACCACACCCAGCTAATTTTTTGTATTTTTGGTAGAGATGAAGTCTCACTATGTTGCCCAGGCTGGTCTTGAACTCCTGAGCTCAAGCAATCCTCCTGCCTCGGCCTCCCAAAATGCTGGGATTACAGGCATGAGCCACTGCTCCTGGCCTTGAAAATCCTTAAAGGCCACTCTCAGTCTCCAGTTCCTAACAGATGCTCAGTAATGTTAATTGCCTTGAACTCAATCAAGCTTGTTTCAGTGGATGAATAAACCTACCAGCAGCAGGGGTGGGGGATAATGTGAGTAGGACAAAGTGGAGGCAAGAGAGGAGGGAAGAAAGAAATGAGTGAAGTGGGGCACTGGATGCTATACTTTCCAGCTAGTGCCACCATCTTTTTGCAGGGAGGGGTGCATTGAAAGATCCCAAGCAGCTGAAGCAAGAGAATGAGAGCAGGGGAATGCCCCGATGAGTGCTCACATGGAATTTCCCAGTGGGGAAAGGGGCGCTTCCCAGCTCCTAGAATCCTGCTCATTCCCAAGTGTTTTCCCTCCACTTTTCCAGGGAGCCAGGGAATGGGCTATAGGGAGTTGGGAATCTGGTTTTCACTCTTGGCTGAAGCTGGCCATGTCTACTCTCATGCGTAGTTTAGCTCTGAATGAGTCACACTTGTTTATTCATTCAACATGTATTTACATGATAATTGGGTACACAGCACTAGGCAATTAATTGGAGAGCTTACAATAAGAACAGGCAGCCCAGGACATGCTCATAAATAACCATCAGCACTACAAGAAAGACGTACCAAATGTGATTTGGAGGCGCAAGGTGCACAGGAATGAAGGACAAAGGACATCAAGGGCCCTGCTGGACTTGGAACCCAGGCCTGCTGGAGCAGAGATCACATCACATTGCCAAGTTCATTATTCAGATTCACAATTGGGGTAATGTGTTTCCCTTTTGTTCACTCATTCATTCACTCAACAGATGGTACTTGGGAACAGACTTGCGTATGCAACTGAGTTATTCATTCATCATAGTGACTGTGCACAGCAGGGGCCTTTATAAGTGAGTGGAAAATCTGCAACTCTAAACCACTAACAAACCGTTCTGACTCAGGGACCATCAAACGCGGGAGTATTAGGCAGGGCCTCTGCCTTGAAGAAGGCCCTGGATTTCTGAGTCAGCTTTCTTCCTACTCCTTCGGTACATCCCTGGAGGTAGATCATGCTTGCTTGCACTGAAGCACAGCTATATGTAAGCACAGTGATGAAAACTGGGGGGAGATCTTCACAATTTCTTCATTAGTTTAGACTGCACTAACTCAGAAATTGCAACAACTGATAGCTGCTGGGCATTGAAGGCCACATTTGTCCCACTTGGAAGAAGGAAAGAAGGAAGGGAGGGAGGCAGGGAAAGAGGGGAGGAAAGGTAGGGAGGGAGGAGAGGGAGGAAGGGAGGGAAGGAAGGGAGTTGCTAATTATTAGGATAAACAAGGAAATTCAGAACATTGATTGATTGGCCATGTTAAGTGCTCTTAAAAAAATCACTATATACAAGGAATGTGCTAATTACAGTATGAGCAAAGAATATCAGGATGTATCAGAGCCCCACCTTCTTGCTGCAGATGACATTTACCTATTCATGAAGCCCCAGAGAGCCTGCTGCCCACTCCCCTGACCTGGTGCGAGAGTGGCCTGCCAGGCTGCAGATCTTTGAAGGCCATAGATCTCTGAAAATGGTCTCCAAATTGGACTTTTCATTAAATCAGACTAAGTTTACCTTCCTCTTCTTCCTTGTTCTGTGCCCAGGGCCATCATGTCACATAATTAGCCTAGTTTCTAAGTATTAGCCATGGCTCATTCTTGAAATATCACCATTCCCATTTCCTAGCAGCCAGTTAGTGGCGCAGAAGGAGGGTTTACTAATACAGCAGGACCCAAGTAAAGCTTCTCTTCCCTTCCTGTTCCTTTTCCCAGTAGCCCCGTTTCTGGCATGATCAGAGTAACAGAGAAGAAAGCTCTGTGGATAGGGGCTTGCTGTGCTCTCCACGGTCAGCAGGCGGCCTGCCCTTCTCATGGGAGCTCCCTGAGCAGCTGCTTGCTTCTGACAGCCACCACTTTCTGTTGATTCCAAACTGAAGGGAGAAATTCAGTTTGGGGAATTTAGTGTCTAAGTTGCATTACAGAGCTACAACAAAAAGTGACAAGATTCCATGTTTACAGCGGTCTCCCACAAAGGGAGAGAAAAGGCTTCCTGATCTCATTCAGTGAAGATGGGCCATGACATGTTCCCACGCTCTAATGTGCCCCCTCTCTTTCAACCTGGTGCTAACCACCGGAAGGAGGGAAGCTGAAAGCTGATCCTACCCCACACCCACAACCACAGCAGGAGGCTCAGCATATTTTCCTTCTTTGGAATATATACCATACTGTAAATGATAAAGTTACACAATCATTGTAAAAAATCTGGAAAAAATCAGAAGTATATTGGGCTCACCACCCAGAGATAGCTAGTGTTAACATGTTGGCATGAGTTTTTCAAGTCTTTTCTCTTGCTTTGAGTATGTGTATATATGTGCTTGTATATATAAAGACAAAGATAACCAAGCTGTATCTTGCTTTTTCTATTTCTCATTACTTCAGATGAATTTCTCCATGTTATTAAACATTCTTTGTAATTTAATTGAAAGTGTTGTATAAGTGTGCTCCACGTAGATGGATTATACTTTATTTACCCTGTCTCAGCATTTTGGGGCATTTAGATTGTATCCAAATTTTTAGCTACTTGAAATAACACTTACATGAACATCTTGGTGCATAAGTTTGCATTTCTGATTATTTCCTTAGGATAGATTTTTAGCAGTGCAATTAGTGCACCCAAAAATGAATAGTTTTAAGGCTCTCACTATGTATTGCCAAACTGCTTTTCAGAAAGATTGTTCCAAGCTACTTCCTGCAATATATGAGAGCTGCTCTTATGCTAGCTTCCTTACTACATGGAAGATGGCATCTCACTGCTGAATAATTTATATTTGCCAGTGAGGGAAATTTTTTTTTTTAAAATCATAGAAATGGGGTCTTGCTGTGTTGCCCAGGCTGGTCTCGAACCCCTGCACTCAAATGATCTTCCTGTCTTGCAATCCCAAAGTGTTGGGATTACAGGTGTGAGCCATCGTGCTGGGACGGAAACATTTTACAGTGTAAGATGTTTATTATTTTATAGTGTGATAAAATGTTTATTAATCATTTGGATATCTTCTTTTGTGGGTTTCCTGCTTACATTAATTCCCGGTTAATCATTAACTTGGTATTTCAGATCACACAACTAAGGCACCTGCTGTCCTGTGTGGTGGCACACTTAACTTGGAGGCCAGCCTCTTACGTAAGGTAAGGAGACCTTAAAGTACAAACTGCAAGCCTAACTGTGCAGGTGATGAAAAAAAATGTCCACAACTCTTACAAAACAGGAAAGATGATTAGATATACATAAACCTTTGCTGTCTGTATTTGAAGAAATTAGAATCAGAGTGAAAAGAGTGCTCAGAGATAACTGAGTTCCTAACATATGAGGCCACTGAGACCCAAAGGAGTTCAGCTTCTTGTCCACACAGCTAATCAGGGGCACCACTGAACATGGACAGAGGTCTTTGGATTCCTGTTTCACAGCTGCTACTTGAGACAAGGGCTGAGGGGCTCAGAAATGTTAAACTAAAATGGAATAGCTGTACTATCATCTCAAATAGCCTCCTGAAATTACAATGCTAATCAAAAGGAATACAGAACTAGACTAGGAAATCCTGATTTATACAGATTTCAGAAATACACATGTGGTTGACAGGTCTCAATTTTTCCTCCCAGCCCAGCTTGATAAAGTTGTTTGGAGGCTCTCAAAAATTCTGACTGTAGAATTCCAAATTACTCATCTCAGAAAGTGGGTGATTTTCATTTCATGTGTGGCTGACTGGTTTACCAATACACCTCTAAGAAAGAGGTAATGCACCGGGAGAGTTTTCAGAGGCTGTTGCTGCCCTGATGTGATCCAACAAGAGTAATGCTGACAGCAGCACTGAGTAACAGTTAAGATGACTTTCTGTACCTTCCTCAAAGGTCAGCCTTTTCAGTAATTAAAATAAGTCTCTTTTGGAGGAGGAAAGCATGGAACGGAATCTTGAACAGAATTTAAAAACAGATTCAAAAAAACAAAACTCCATAGGTCTATTTCAATTTACACCATATAGTTGTTCCTTAATGTTGATGGTAAAGCAAAATCCAAGTGTTACCTGGAGGATCTGCAAATTGGCAATGCATTTGAGTGAAAACAAAGTCATATTTGAAACTGCATTTTAAAATTACATCAGCATGCAGCAAACCCTTTTTCCTGCTTGAATATAGTCTTAAACTATTGTAAATAAGTCATAAAAATAGTCAGACCCTGTCCTATACCTTAGGATACTTGGCCATTGAATAATTTACTGATTGAATACTTCCATAAAAAATCATTCAGAAACTGGCAGAAATATGCTCTACTGTTAAGGAGCTAGAAATCACTTACATATGGTCTTTGTTTCCAGACCTACATAAGAAGGAGCTATTCCCCCAACTTTTTTTTGTAGGCAGTGTCTTACTTTGTTGCATAGGCTAGCGTGCAGTGGCAATCATGGCTCACTGCAGCCTTGAACTCCTGGACTCAAGTAATTCTGCTGCCTCAGACTCCCAAGTAGCTGGGACTACAAGTGTGCACCACCACACCTGGCTCATTAATTTTTTTTTTTTTTTTAACAGATGGAGTCTCACTACGTTGCCTAGGCTGGTCTCAAACTCATGGCCTAAAGTGATCCTTCCACCTTGGTCTCCCAAAGTGCTGGGATTATAAGCATGAACCACCACGCCTGGCCTGAGATGTTTCTCAAGTTGTATTTGGTTTTTAACTTAAGTTTGAATCAATTCTCTCTAGCCCATGGAGGATATTTCCTTTGTTTCTTGTTTTGTTTTAGAAACAGGGTATTCCTATGTTGCCCAGGCTGGAATCAAGCTCCTGGGCTCAAGTAATCTTCCCGCCTCAGCCTCAATCTCAGCTTCTGGAGTAGCTAAGAACATAGGTGTGCACAACTGCATGAACTGGAGAACATTTCCTCTGAAGAATATAAACTTTTATCTGTTTGTTTCAAGGGATTAAACTCAATTTCTTTTTCTTTTCTTTGCTTTTTTTTTTAATTTTTAGACAGAGTCTTGTTCTGTCACCCAAGCTGGAGTGCAGTGGCACGATCTTGGCTCACTGCAGCCTCCGCCTCCCAGGTTCAAGCAATTCTCGTGCCTCAGCCTCCCTAGTAGCTGGGGGCTACAGGCGCATGCCACCATGCTCGGCTAATTCTTGTATTTTTAGTAGAGATGGGGTTTCACCATGTTGGCCAGGCTGGTCTCGAACTCCTGACCTCAAGCAATCCACCCGCCTTGGCCTCCCAAAGTGCTGGGATTACAGGTGTGAGCCATCACATCCAACCTAAACTCAATTTCTTAAAAAAAAAAACAAACAAAACAAAACAAAAAAAACACTAAAAATGTGTAGTATCTGTGAGACCATGACAGTAACAGGACACAATTCCCATTATCAATGACAATCTTTATCTAGTTAGGTAAATTAGTTTCCAGACATAAGAAATGCAAAGCAGAACTGGCAAATTCTAGAACCTAAAGTACAAACACTTTAACAAATTTGTTTATGTGAGGAGTAATGCTGTTAATGTTTTTAGTGTCCTTCTGATGCAGACCAGTTTATTTTCATACATGAAGGTCTCTGGGGCTGATGAGAATAAATTTATTTTAAGCATTTAATTTAGACCCTAAATTAATTTTCTGTACAGTAGACTTCTTTTAATCCATGCATGCATGTGCAGAGTCGGCCATCTGGTCCGAGGGTTAAGTGAAGGGAAGGAGCTTTCAATGTGCTTCATTGTAATGAAAATGGGTTTCTGTCTGCATTTCAAAAGTTTTAAAAGTAATATTTTTCTATCTATCAAAATTTTAAAGACACATATTTTTTGACCCAGAATTCCCCAGTGTTAGGACTTGAGCCTACATATATGCTCCCAATTATTTGCTAAGCGTATAATAAAGAGGATCACTGGACTTAAAAAAAAATAGTAATTGGAAGAATAGGTGACCGCTTACATAAATTATGGTATATCCATATGAGGGAATACTATGCCTACATTAAAAAGAATGTGATATCTGTTTGTGCTGATATGGAAAGACCACCAAGCTACATTATTAGGTCAAAGAAGCAAAGGACATGTATGCAATATAAGCAACATTTAAAATGACTATATCAATAAAAACACACGTGGGGATAGGCAAAATATTTTCCTGGCAGAAATAAAAAGAAACCTAAAAGTCGAGGAAAGGGCTAAAGAGTGGCGTGCAGGGAGGGAGACAACAATGTTCACTTTCTGTGTAGTTACAAAATGGTTTAGACATGTATTACTTTTTTTTAAATTGTCAACATGGGTTATCTGGATAGGGAAATAATCAGATATTTCCCCCCTTTCCTTCTCTGTAATTAAAAAATATTCTAAAGGATGTTGTAGTAAACAAACAAACAGAAAAACAACATAACAACAACTGAAAAAAAAAATCCAGCAATTATGCTTCTGGTAATACAGCAGACAAGAGAGCCTGAATTATTGTCCTGATGAAAAACAAGTGAAAAAGTCAGTTGGAGTATAAAATACATTTGAGCTGGCAAAACCAAACCAAACCCAACTTAGGAAAACACAGTTACTGAAGCCAGCTTCCACCCTGGGCATAGCTATAGAACCCCTGTGATCATAAATGTTTGTGCATGGCATGGTACACAAAAGATGGGACACCAAACCTAAAGCCTAAGCAACCTTGGGAGTCTAGAAGAAGATCTCAAACAAGGCAGGAATCGTCACTGAACCAGAAATCATCAATGAACTAGAAATAAACCTGTGGTTAGAAGAGACAAACAAGGAAACTTGCCTATCTTGACCATGGTGATGTATAGGAGGAAAGAAAAGTATTTCTCCTGAGAATCTGTAGACAGAAGTTGACCCTCATGTGGGTTTGGGACTGTATTCGTATTACCTATATGGTCCTAAAAACCTCAAGCAGAAAATTCAGTTTAAAGTGATCTTGGATTGGTAGCATCTCCAGGCAACAGGGAGAAGCTAACACAAAATCACCTCTAGCAGAGAGGTTCCAAAGAGTTCCTACAAAAAAAAAAGGGTTCAAGAAATATAAGGTCAGTTAAAACACCCCTTGCACCCCATCCCCCAAAGAACTAGGCATCATGAGTGAGAACAGCAGAAACAACAAATGACTAAACAGACCCATAATGACATTAGATAAAGAATTATCAGATAATATAAAATAGTATGTTTAATCTATTTTAGAAAATAAAGTCTTAAAAGATACCATGAAAATACTACAAAAATCATAAAGGAAAATTTAAAAACCTAGAACTTCTAGAAATGAAGAATAATTAAAATAAAAAAACTCAAAGAATGGGTTAATCAGCAGATAGAGACAGAGAGACAATTAGAAACTGGAAGATAGCTATAAAGAAATTGGCTGGGCACAGTGGCTCATGCCTGTAATCCCAGCACTTCGGGAGGCCGAGGCAGGCGGATTACTTGAGGTCAGAAGTTTGAGACCAGCCTGCCCATCATGGTGAAACTCCATCTCTACTAAAAATACAAAAATTAGCTGGGCGTGCTGGTGGGCGCCTGTAGTCCCAGAATAAAGATCCTATCAATAAGCCCTGGGATATATGACAACTTGATTTATGATGGAGAGGGCACTACAGATCAGTGGGGAAAAGGATGGACTATTCCATTAACAGTACTGACACACCGAAAGCAGTAGCCATAAAGGAAAGATTATTAATTTTTACTACATTAAGAGTTTCTGTTCATCAAAAGATGCCATAAAAACAAGACAAGCCAAGAACTAGAAAAAACTACTTGCAATACATATAGCTGAAAAAGGATTAGTATCAAGAATATTTAAAGAACCCCTTACAAATCAATAAAAGAGAAACGATCTAGAAAAAATAAAAGCATAGGATACAAACAGGGATTTGATCACAGAGATTCATAAACCTATGAAACATGATAAACTTCATTAAGAAATCAACTATAGTCAACAATAACTTAATTAAACATTTAAAAATAACTAAAAGAGTATAATTGGATTGTTTGTAACACAAAGGATAAATGCTTGAAGGAATGGATACCCAACTTTCCATGATGTGATTACTATGCATTGCATGCCCATACCAAAATATCTCATGTACCCCATAAATATACACCTACTATGTACCTGCAAAAATTAAAAATTAAAAAATTAAAAAAAAATCGGTGTCTTGAAATTCAAATTTAACTCACAACGTGACCCATTATATACCCACTGGTTTGGTGAAATTTAAAAGTTGGATAGTACAAAATGTTGATGACGACGTAGAGTGATCGGATCCCTCATTTCTACTAGTGGGAGTATAGGCTTAGGTAATCACTATGGAAAACAGTTTGGTGTTTCTCAAGACAGTTGAACACGTGCGTATCCTACAATCGAGCAATTCTACTCTTAGGTACACATTTTAAAGAAATGGTGACGCATATGTCAGGAACCACGTGCAAGAAGGTTCATAGCAGTTTTGTTCATAATTGCACAAAACAGTCCAACCACCATTAATGGTGGTATGATACATAAACTGAGTTCTATTTTGGAAGTTTCATTCCATATAATGGAATATCACGCAGCAGTGAAACAGGAATGAAATATAACTTCATCCGTCAGCACTGCTGAATCTCAAAAAACTGTTGAGTGAGGAAAGCAAGACAGAATACCTGAAATATAATTCTACCTATGTAAAGTTCAAACACAGGAAAACCAGACAATATATAGTTTAAAAATACATGCAGAAACGATACATTTATAAAGAAAAGCAAGAAAGTGAGGAATTAAAA
Source organism: Homo sapiens (assembly GCF_000001405.40). NCBI lineage: Eukaryota > Metazoa > Chordata > Mammalia > Primates > Hominidae > Homo > Homo sapiens. The sequence continues at coordinate 45,501,311 of NC_000003.12, read as the reverse complement.
ATCTGGGATCGGTATTAGCTAGGGGCGAGGTGGTGGGCGTAGAAGAGCGATACACAATTGGAGGGGGCACCTTGGGGATTCTAAGGTACCTGAAATACTCTGTTTCTTAAACTGAGGAGTGGGGCATGTATGTTCATATATAAAAATTCCATATTTAATGTGTTGTACCATTCTTTAAATACATTAAATATGTAATTTTTATATATGATACGTTTCATGGGGAAAAGTACACACACATTTTTCTGAACATTATGAGGAAAGGGTTACAATAGGCCAACAGGAAAAGAATTTACTGATGTTTTTACAATGTGATTCTCTATTTCAAATCCACTCTATACATTTTTTAGAGGGATGCATCAAGGTGGGATTCAGCCAAGCTTAGGAACAAGAGCTGACATGGAAGGACTGGGTGATAAGCATGACCTCACATGAGATGCTATAAAACACTATGGGCCACTCCTCTCTGCCTCACAGGTACAATTCTTAATTACTTAACTCAGTTAAACAGAGAAGCACTGAAGGCTAGGTTCTATGCAAGCATGCAACATCACATGCCAGAACTGACTACGCAATATAAATGGACCTCAAATGATTAAGGTTGACAACCTCTAAAGCATACTAGAAAACTAGTATTCTACTACATGCATTTACCTTGCTTCAGAAGAACTGACACCTGCTTAAAGTTGCTATTCATGGAACTCAATTATTTTGCAAAGCAGTATAAGTGCTTACCTATGTTTAACCATTTTTTGATCATGGCAAAAATGACTAAAGAATCTTGCATAGAACAAGTGCATGACGGCATGTTCTTTCCCTCCAATGTACAAATCCACAGGCATCCAGTAATCGGCCACTGCTGTGTTAAAAGGGCTGTAAAAAAGAGATGGAGGCATTTTTAAAAACCTGCTTTGCCACAATTGTGTAAATTAAACAGGCCTATTGTAATATGCATATGCCCTGAAATGAACCGTATCAGGGAATAACAATGATTTTTTTAAAATATAAGAGAAGGCCGGGCGCGGTGGCTCATGCCTGTCATCCCAGCAGTTTGGGAGGCCGAGGCAGGTGGCTCACCTGAGGTCAGGAGTTCGAGACCAGCCTGCCCAACATGGCGAAACCCCATCTCTACTAAAAATACAAAAATTAGCCAGTTGTAGTGGTGGGCACCTGTAATCCCAACTACTCAGGAGGCTGAGGCAGGAGAACCACTTGAACCCGGGAGGCAGAGGTTGCAGTGAGCCAAGATCGTGCCATTGCACTCCAGCCTGGGCAACAGGGTGAGACTCTGTCTCAAAAACAAAACAGACAAACAAACAAACAAACAAACAAACAAAAATATATATATGAGAAAAGCTTATATAATAAAAAAGAAAAAAGTCAGGTAAGTGTTAATTTATGAAATTATAAAAATGGTTACAGAAGATATTACTGACATATTTCAACAAAAGCAATTTGCATATAAAATGAGGACAAAAGGAAAACATACCAGCAAAAAAAGGCATCTTGCTACAATGCACCTTGAATATCTAGATTCACTTTAATTTTTATTATTATGATTACACAATTGAGATGTCAGAGTTCCTACCAATAGAGGGCAATGTGGTATTTACAATGAAGATTAACATGCAGATACTAAATGTTTATTTATTAATTTATTTTCACATTAAAAAACATTTTTTTTTCTTTATTAAAGTTTGGGTCTTGCTTGGTCACCCACGCTGGAGCGCAGTGGCACAATCATAGTTCACTGCAGCCTCCAACTCCTGGGCTCAAGCGATCTTCCAGCCTCAACCTCCCAAGTATCTAGGACTACAGACACACACCACTCTGCCCAGCTAATTTTTTCTTTTTTTTTTTTAATTTTCTTTTTGAGACGGAGTCTCGCTCTGTCACCCAGGCTCGGTTGCAGGGGCGTGATCTCGGCTCACTGCAACCTCCGCCTCCAGGGTTCAAGCTATTCTTGTGCCTCAGCCTCCTGAGTAGCTGGGATTACAGATGCCTGACACCACACCAGGCTAATTTTTATATTTTTAGTAGAGATGGGGTTTTGCCATGTTGGTCAGGCTGATCTTGAACTTCTGACCTCAGGTGATCTGCCTAACTCGGCCTCCCAAAGTGCTGGGACTACAGGTGTGAGCCACTGCACCTGGCCATCAGTTAATTTTTTTAAAACATTTTTTATGGAGACGAGGTCTTGCTACGTTCAGTCCAGCTGGTCTTGAACTCCTGGCCTCAAGTCATCTTCCTGCCTCGGCCTCCCCAAGTTATGGGATTACACATGTGAGCCACTGTGCCCCAGCTGTAAATGTTTATTTTAAAATAGAAATTTGATTTTATTTTTTAAAGCAGTCTGAAAATATACTCAGCTAGAGACTGTATATTGCTTACTGAATGCGATGCAACATATTTAAGGTGACTTGTCATATAATAGCCCAATAACTCTCACCTAACAGATACTAATAGAAAGGCTTTCTCATACTCTTGGGTCCTAAAGGACACTGGAGAGGAAAGGAAATGTCATTTCCATTTTCTGGCTGGGACCTTCGGTGGGAGGGGCAGCACTGGCTGGCGACAGACCTCTGTGTTGCCAAGGTAATGCCGTCCCTTGAGGTCAGCCAATCAAGCAAACCTTTGCCTTTGGAGGACTTCGAATATTTGTGAATTGGTTCCCTGACACCTCAAGCCACCTTTTTCCCCAGGATAGACTTGGCTGGCTTCAGCTTTGAGGCTAGAAAAAAGAGCCTGGCTACCACCACATATTTGCATCTTAATATAGTTTGGTGTTCTCCAGTCACTGTACCAGAATTCTGATAAAATTTTTAAAAAACACTTTTTTTCTTCGTGAAAAACAGTTCCCTAAAGAAATTCAACTGCCAATCCAGGCGACAGAAAAGAAAGGAAAGTGAAGGATGGTATTTGGCCGGAAAACAAGTTTGGGATATATTAAGGAGTGAAATGTTGAAAGTAGCTACAGCTCAGATTTATGATCCACTCAGGAAACCACCCCAGGAAGAACTCGTGCTGGGGCTGAAGCTAACTACAGTGTGTCATGAGGGAAATGAAGTGCTCACTGCTGTTCACAAACTGGGGGCTGTGACGGTCTCAGGATGTCTCTCCCGCCACGGTAACTTGAGGTCTCTCTCATCTGTGTGAAGGCTTTCCTTTGAAGCACTCTGAGAAAGGAAAGAGCCTGACCTCACTTGCATTCTAAGCCAGTTGTTACTACATGAAATGCACCAATGGCCCCTTATAGAGGGAAGGCCCTGAAGGGGAGCCCCTCTGTGGGCCAGAGAAGGCCATGCTGGTGGTTCCCAGCCACAGTCGTCACCTTGCACCCTTCCTGCCTTTGCAGGGTGTCTTTCACTCAGGATCCCCCTCATTTCTTTTTTTTCTTTTTTTTTTTTTGAGAGGAAGTCTCACTTTGTTGCCCAGGCTGGAGTGCAGTGGCACGAGCTCAGCTCACTGCAACCTCTGCCTCCCGGGTTCAAGCGATTCTCCTGTCTCAGACTCCTGAGTAGCTGGGATTACAGGTGCGTGCCACCGTGTCCAGCTAATTTTTGTATTTTTGGTAGAGTTGGGGTTTTGCCATGTTAGTCAGGCTGGTCTCCAACTCCTGACCTCAGGTGATCAGCCTGCCTCGGCCTCCCAAAGCGCTGGAATTACAGGCGTGAGCCACCATGCCTGACAAGGATCCCCCTTATATCTGATATGAACTCAAATTACAGAATCACAACACTGCAGGTTGAAATTCTGGCAGGGTGAGGGCAGGAGTATCTGTCTCACTAGAAAGATATTATTTTAGAACCACGAAGAATAGGGAGGCATATTTTATATGTAGGCAACAGGGTTCCAGAATGTTTCTGCCATGGACAAGAGCAATTAGGCAAGGCCCTTTTAAGCACAATGCTGTGTTTTTTCCTGGGCTCTGGAAGAGTTTCTTTCGGTTCTCATTCTCTCTCTTTATAAGGCTACCTACTGCTCTCTTTTCCTTAATTTGTTTCTTTTTTTGGGGGGGGCGGGGTTCAAATAAACACATGAATACAGCTTAAAAATCAAAATGGTACTGAAAGATTTACAATGAAAAACAGTGGTCTCCAGCCCCAATTCTTTCCTTGCCTCAGGCCTGTCTCTTAGCCACTTTTAATTCTTTTGGTTGTTTCTCCCAGCAATTATTGAAAAAAAAAAACATGTTTATACTCTTTATTGATTTATCAATTTAGGAAATGATCTACTATGTAGTAAGAGGTGAGGCTTCTTAGCGGTCTCACCCTCCCTACCTGCTACCTTCTCTGTAGAGTTACATTATTCTTTTCAGTTAAATAAATAACATTACATCTTTACAATCATACAAATGCAGTTCACTGCAAGGAGGGTATCACAGTAGCATTTCCTTCTTTTTCCGTTTTGTATTTGTGTTGTACTTGGGATTTACTTGGCTGTGAATAATCTAACTTAATGATGTAGCACTCTCCCTTTAAGAGAGCCTGTTCCGAGGTGCACAGTTGACTGACAGCTTCCAGCTGCTGCATCTGTGGACCCACTCTGGTGTGTTCCTGCCAGCCCATGTTGCTCTCCCAGGCTGCTCCCAGGAGAGTAGAGGGAGGGGCTGGAGCAGAGCCATTTTAGCCTGACTGTAAGACTCTAATGGACAAGCTTTGCTTGGGCCTTCCCACTGGCCAGGTCGAGGCTTTCTCAGAGTTGTGCTGTGGGCTGAGGCTCCTCCACCTGATCCTCCTTCCTTTCCCTTCTCCTTTCACACCTGTCACAGCTCCATCGTGGTCTAAGAGCACTCTCTGCCCACTCCTCCTCTTCTCCCCTTTAATCTGCACAGGCATTTCCCCCCAAGAAATCTCTTGCATGTCTAATTCCATCTTGGTCTTTGCTTCTAGGAGGAGCCACACTGACAAATGCTCAAAGACATCAGCAGGGACGTTTTACCTGTGTGGATTATGAGGGTCAGTGTATCTGAAGTAGTACCAAGCAGAATCAACAAAGGTATCCATCGTGTCTGTCTCTCTCTTGGCTGCTCCCTTGCACCTAAGAAAGAAATGAAATTCATCAATTGGTTTCTTTTTAAATTTTAATGCAGTTTTCCATCAGCTTTTGAGAGAGCTATAAGTATGAATTTAAAATGTCATAAGAATAAAGCCACAGGCTGGGTGTGGTGGCTCACGCTTGTAATCCCAGCACTTTGGGAGGCTGAGGTGGGTGGATCACGAGGTCAAAAGATCGAGACCATACTGGCCAACATGGTGAAACCCCATCTCTACTAAAAATACGAACAATTAGCTGGGCGTCGTGGCGTGTGCCTGTAGTCCCAGCTACTTGGGAGGCTGAGGTAGGAGAATGGCTTGAACCCGGGAGGTGGAGGTTGCAGTGAGCCAAGATCGTGCCATTGCACTCCACCCTGGTGACATAGCAAGACTCTGTCTCAAAAAAAAAAAAGAATAAAGCCACATATGAAAAGACAATTCAGGGAAAGCTCTCTTTTTATATTGTATAGTATGCGATGTTTTAAAGAAATTTATTTACAAATAAAAGTTTCAATTTTCAACAATTAAAAGCCTTATTTTCCACTTCTCTGAATTTAACCTGGTAGAAAGCCTCACCATCCAAAAGGACAAGACAGGATTAGGTATCTCTTTTGTGCCTTAACTTCTGTTCCAGGCATGTCAAGATTGCCTTCGCCAATGCCTACTTTATGATGCTTATGAAGCCAATCAATGCATGAAGACAAATGAGAACCAAATATAGGGAGATGTGTGGAAAATCAACTTGGATTTTTCTTCTACTTCTGTTCTGGGGTGACAGGTGCAGAAATCTACCAGGATGACTCGAGGAAGACAAACCAACTTGGAAGCCCCAAAGGCAATGGTTGCTCCAGCTCATGCCAGCCTGTAAGAATCAATTGGGGCATCTCTTCACAACACTGTGACAAAAGATGGCAAGTTGGTAGCTTGAAACTGGCCCTGATGGGAGTATGTACATCACGGAAATTGGCAAATGCTAGAAATCAGGACCCCCCTCCAAAGCTAATTACATATCTACCATGAGACCACTGCCTAAAGGTAGGTTCCTTATGGAAGAGTGAAGAAAGCCCTGGTGTTCAAGACAGAGAATAAAGTGAGATCCTTGATATGTGAAGGGTTGCATAGAAAAAGGAATCCCTGTCCTAGGGACAGACATGTCCAGCAGGACCAAGGTCTCACAAGGGCCCAAGTGTTACACTCATTATTTTTATTTTGAGATGGAGTCTGGCTCTGTCACCTGGGCTGGAGTGCAGTGGCTCGATCTCAGCTCACTGCAACCTCTGCCTCCTAGGCTCAAGCAATTCTCCTGCCTCAGCCTCCTGAGTAACTGGGATTACAGGTGCATGCCATGATGCCCGGCTAATTTTTGTATTTTTAGTAGAGATAGGGTTTCACCATGTTGGCCAGGCTGGTCTCGAACTCTTGACCTCAAGTGATCCGCCTGCCTCAGCCTCCCAAAGTGCTGGGATCACAGGCATGAGCCATCATGCCCAGCTGCTACACTCATTCTTAAGAACATTCCTAGAGTTGTGGGCCTGTGGGACTGAAGGAACCAGGTGCCAAAAGCCACACTACCTAGGAACTCAAAAGAAGGTGCCCTTAGTCAAGCCTAGCACAGGACGGGGATTAGCTGCCTTGGAGACTCCTCAAGGCCTGGATCAGCAGAGAACCAGCACCTTCTGTCTGATGGGTAGGACCAGCTATCAACAGGGCCTTCTGTGGCAGTGGGAAGCCATAGCAGGCTCTCCCTTCTAAGGCATGGATGTGAAGCTCATCGCCCCTCCAAATATTGCGCTTTGGGCAGTGTAAGTCTTTGGGTGTTATTGGAGAATTTGGGGAGAAGGGATGAGGAATCCCAAGAGGAACTGATAAATCTTCTGCTAATTTAGCATGTATGGGCTTGAGTGTATTTTTAATTTAAGAATAAAAGAAGGGTTGTATTTCTGTCTTCCATTTGTGAAGTAGTTCATACCAGCTTTACAAATATTACCCAAGGAAATGGCCAGTCCCCCACATAGTCCTCCAGCTCCCTCGTCAGCTGGTTAAATGCAGTGGCTGAGCAGAGAGCATGGGCGCCCTAGATCTGGCAGGGCTTTGGGACCCCCTGCATTTTAATCAGGGGACCTCCCAATGAGAACAGTGGTGGTCTCTAAGAGTAGAAGCTTTTCAGAGAGAGCCCTCGGGGAACCCAGCTTCCTACCACCCAGGGCTGCTCTAAGAAGCTGATCTCAACAGTGCGCCTCTAAATTGAAGCCAGGTCTTTTTATTTGGAGAGCAATCAACCAGAACACAGACACTACTTTGGGAAATAATTAGAAAATAAAGATTACTTCATCTTCCTCACTTACCTTGTGCAAGTGAGGTCCAAGTGAGGGAGAAAATGCGGGCTCAATTTATAAAAGGAATAACAGCTGGCTAACATTTGCCATGCTGATTTCCTTTTTAATGGTCTTGTTGGACTTGAAGGCAACTAACATGTTTTATTGCTGATACTAAAAACTAGATGATAAGGAAGAAGCTACGTGGCAAGCAGGAGGGATAGAAGTGATAGATAATGGTGATAATGTTATCAGGATTAGCTCCAATAGTAATAATAATAATACTGGGTAGTAGGAACTGAGCCAAGTACCGCAGAAGTATTATCTCATTTAATCCCCAGTAGCCCTGGGGATTATGAGACCGATACTGCTCATATCCCCATTTTTCAGATGAGTAACTAGGATTCAGAGAGGTTAAGAACCTTGTCCAAGGTCTTGTAGTTCAAGGGTAAGGAATCCACATCTGGTGGGCTCTGGTGCCTGTAGTCTGTACCACTGGGCTGCCTTGCTCGGCCACACTGGCTCAGTAGCTCTCAGCCTTGGATGCTCATTAAGATCATCCAGGGGCTGGGCGTGGTGGCACACGCCTGTAATCCCAGCACTTTGGGAGGCCTAGGCGGGCAGAACACGAGGTCAGGAGATGGAGATCATCCTGGCTAACACGGTGAAACCCCATCTCTACTAAAAATACAAAAAATTAGCCGGGCTTGGTGGCGGGCACCTGTAGTCCCAGCTACTCGGGAGGCTGAGGCAGGATAATGGTGTGAACGCGGGAGGTGGAGCTGGCAGTGAGCCGAGATTGCACCACCGCACTCCAGCCTGGGCGACAGAGCGAGACTCCATCTCAAAAAAAAAAAAGATCATCCAGGGAGCCTTGCCCAACACCAAGGCCTAGGTTCTGCCCTCCAGTAATTCTGCAGCCAAGCAGGAAACCTTATCCTCATCAATAAGGCCACAACTGCTGTGCTGTATGCAGGCCACCAACATCTCTGGTAGGGAAGCCCTTTGTCAGCGCTTATCAACAAAGAGGGTGTGCTATTTTCCTCCTGGAGCCAACATTTCTACCCTAAAATGGTCTGGGCCTTCCTATATACCTCCCTCCAAGTTCCACCTTGAATTTCAAAACTGCCTCAGTGAGGACCTGGGAGGATGGCTGGCAAGTCCCTGGCTGGATGGCCATAAAGTTTCTATTTATTGAAGGCCTAGAAGGTATCACTGTGCAGGATCACATGTGTTAATTCTAGTCTTCTGAAAAGCCCTTCAATGGGGTTATTTTTGTTCCTGATGAGGGATTTCACGCTCAGAGAAGGTAAATGACTTTCCCAAGGCTAGACAGTTAGTTAGGAGGCAGAGCCAGGACTTGAATCCATCACTGATTTGACACCCAGCTCAAGACTTCCAATTACACTACGTGGTTACCTAATTGTCAACCTAGTAACTCAGCTCTATACTGGCAGAATACAAAATTATTTTATAATATCCTCATCATGATCTATAAGGCAGAGAAAAATGGCTTCTCCGCAGAAGAAGGAAAATACTGGAACTTGGTATCTGCTATTTGTTTAATTAGCTGATATGGACAGCATCATTAAAAATCATGCTTGAGACATGCCAGTGAATAGACAGAAAAACATAATCCCACTTCCAAAATGAGGAGAAAGGAACCATGGTGCTTCAGCATATTAAAGAATGCAGCCCTGAGCACACTTGCTCTCTTAGCAACTACTCTGCTACTCATGATAAAATCTCCACTGTTGTTACAGTCACTATATTGGAAAACTGCAAGGTGGAGAAGAGAACATTTTCTCCCCTCTCCACGTGGCTCTTTGGAATATCAAAATGGAGGAAAGTGGTTTTTTACAAAGCTGTAAGGAAAATTTAGAGCTTTTCCATCAGTTGGATCAGATGTTTCTGGGATAGATCTGAACTGACACTGCTGCTTCCAACAGCTCAGAGAAGGGAGGATGCCCATTGCAGAGGCAGGGCCACAGATTCCAGACCCTTCTCTTAAAGGGCCCCAAAGACCCACAGTGTTCTTTCCAGCCTCATGGAAGTCAGGGAAAAAGGGAGCAGAGTTAGCACCAGGAGGGAGGAGGCTGTCTGAAGCCCTAGCAGGTATGGGGCCATAGGCACAGTCACCACTGCAGGGATGTGGCTCCTTACCTTGGGCAGGAGCAGTTCACCCACTCTGAAGCCATGGCCAGTGGGGGGCCTCCCTTGCCAGTGAAAGACGCGATGTTGGGCAGGGTCACAGGCAAGTCCTCCAGGGGCACAGGTGTGGGGCCACAGACTGGGCAGTGGACAATGGGGATTGGTGTGCCCCAGTACCGCTGCCGTGAAATCAGCCAGTCTTTCAGTTTATCACTTGTCACGTCTCCACCCACTCTCTTCCCCCGGGCTTTCTGAGTCAGGGCTAGAAAAGCATCCTGCCGGGTCATACCTGTGAACTGACAGGGAAAGAAAAGAAAGCTCACTCCTCTCCGCATAGCACCAGTCACCACCCTGATGCTGCCACCAGTCCTGCCATGTTTATGTGTGGCTCTCCCAAGGGACCAGTTCTGTGCAGAGCTGTGTCATAACTTTCATGAGCCCTAGGTGCTTCTGCCTTTGTAGGCTCCTTGCTCCTTCAGATAATATTAAAAATTATATTTTACAACTGCATCAATATAAAGACAAATATAACTTTTGACCCTAAAAGTTCATTTTTTTCTTCTGATTTTAAAAGAAATTAAAACTTTTGCAGAGGCCTCTAAAAGTATTGTGGGCCCTAGGCACTGTGTCTACTGTGTCTAATGTGTCTAAGTTGGCCCTGGTTCTGTGGCTTGCTTTATCACCAGAGCCCTGTGACACCTACAGAGATCATCAAATATCAGCTTTTAGCTGCCAGTACAGAACTGCACGATATGGATTTTTAATGACTACTCCCCTGTTGGGGGGAAAATATTCAGAAAAGAAAAATCCAATATTATCCTAAAGCAGAAGGAATTCAGGCAAGCAGAGGAACATTCTGAGGCTTCGGCTTGAAGAACCAGACCACTCTTTTTATATTTAAATGCTCCCGTTTTATAGACAGCAGGACAGACCACTAACAGTACAAAAGAGAAATTATCTTTTCACTTGGTGCTTTTCAGAGAGCCAAACTAATTATATGAATTGAGCCAGTGTGGCTTGGTAACAACCTGGATTGCGGGTACCCTCGCATTTGTTCAGTGAAGACCCACTGGGCATCTATACGTGCTGGGCTCGTGCTAGCCATTGGGGCCACAAAGATAAATATGATCTTCCCATGTCCTCAAGGAGCTTACAGTCAAGAGGCATAAAGAATAAGAAAATACAGCTATGTTTATCAAAAGCAGCCCTTTTCATGAATGGTCTGAAGTGTCTTTCTGCACTCCCATTATCACAGTCGTGATGCAAATCATAAAAAGCTCTCCTGAAAGTCAGTCTTCTCCTAACACCACTGTCTTTCCATTCCAGAAGCTCATAGATGAAAGCGGCTTTTCCCCAGCCATTCTCCTTCTACTTATTGAAATAATTATTTTACTCTAGATATTCAGCCTAGAGCCAGGAGAGGCTTCAACAGACCATCTGAAGCTGTGTGAAAGAAGCCAGGAAGCATAATTAATGCTCAGAGTACTGTACTAAAGAGTGGATGCTTCACTAGGCACTTCAGAAGCCTAATTTTGGCCACAAGTGTCCCCTTTCTTGCCCTGTAGAGGGTTAACTGGGGCTCCTTACAGACACTGTGATTTCGCTCTGCTCTACCTCCAGGAAACCTGCTCAAACAAGGTCTAAAAAAAGGCCTAAGGGTCCATATCTTAGAGCATGACTCATGTCTGGGGATGCAGTTTATGAAGTAAAGCCACAAACATGGGGTTATAAAACATGGACTCCTTACAAAGGAGAAAACCTGACCATTATTCCTTTATTCTATAGATATAAATATAGCCAGATAGTCACAAACCTGAAAAACTTGGATCTTCAGGTCTCACTGAATCAAGATCAGCCAAGATGGGACCTGTAAGCACCTCCCAGGTGATTCAGAGCCATGGCCAGGTGTGGCATCACTATGTTAAGTCAGTAGTTCCCAGACTCTGCTGCACATCAGAATCAACTAGGGAGCTCTGAACACTATTGATGTCTGATCCATGCCCCCCTCACCACCAATAACCATCAAATCGGAGTATCTGGAGTGAGACCCAGGCATCAGTATTATTTTAAAACTCTCAGGTGTTTCCAATGTGCAGTTAAGTTTAAGAGTGCTCTAAGCCAGTATTCTCAAACTTCTAATGTGCATACAAATCATATAGGGATCTTATTAGACTAGGGTGGGATCTAAGACACGTGATGCCAGTACTGCTGGTCCAGGGACCAGACATTAAGTGGCAAGGTTCTAAGCCCTTGATTCTCAAAATGTGTTCCCTGGACCAGCAGCATTAGCAGCAGTATCTGGAAACTCGTTAGAAGTGTAAATTTTGGGGTCTCACCTGGGACTACTAAATCAGTATCCCTGGGGTGGGGGTGGGGGCCAGGCTGTGATTTAACAAGGCCACCAGGGGACTCTGATGTGTGCTCAAGTTTGAGAATCACTGCTCCCACTACCTGCTCCCATCCCTCACCCTACCTCTTCCATCCTACTTTCCAGGTTAGTTCAACATAGAGGCTGGGCTCAAATCCTGCCAGATGTACCATCTTTAAGTGCTGCTGTTTCATGCTAGCAAGAGATAACCCTGACCAAATAAACATGACTCTGAACTTCCCTGTTCATTTCTATAAGTGAGTTACACTTTAGGCAGAAATAATGTCAGTAATCTGGAGAGAACAGATATCTCCTCTAGGAAAAAGAAACAATTTCAGTCACCTCTCCCAAGGAACCAGAGATTCCTTAGAAAAGATAATTTTTCTCAAGCAGAGATTACCAACACAAAATTAGTTACTTCGATACCATTCTATTCAAGGACTGAATTTGATTTACAATTGGCAAACTTCTAGATCTTGAAGAATATTATTTTGTTCTGATAGATATGAGGCCACAAGGCTGTTAGGTATGGGGACGAGTGAAGGAACAGGTTGTAATTTGCACCTGAAGGAAAATGTCTATCAAAGTCGTATCAAGGTGATCATTCTGGAAGTAAGTTCTTAGTCACCAACCTCAGCAGAGCTGCTCAGTCTCTCTGTGCCATCTGGCAAAGTTTCAATGACTTCAGAGTAGGCCAGGCCCAGGGTTTGGGCTAAGATGGTGTCCTCTGAGCTAGTACTGGGAATTCCTATTCAGAGGAGAAGAAAAGAAAACATTTCCTTCACAAGTGCCCAAATCACAAAACAACTGACAGTACTGACACCCAGGTTTAGCTTCTTAAAGGAGACTATCTCTTTTAGTTATAGAAGTTTTAAAACCACATCACATTAGTTGGGAAAATGGAACACGGTCTTGGAGAAACCCACTGCCAAAACACAACTAGTTTACCATATTGGTATTACTTCCTTTAAGTCTTTTTCCTCTGCTTAGTTTTTGTTTTTGTTTTTGTTTTGAGACAGAGTCTTGCTCTGTTGCCCAGGTTAGAGTGCAGTGGCACGATCTCGGCTCACTGCAACTTCAGCCTCCCGGGTTCAAGTGATTCTCATATCTCAGCCTCCTGAGTAGCTGGGATAACAGGCGTGCGCTACCATGCCTGGCTAATTTTTGTATTTTTAGTAGAAAAGGGGTTTCGCCATGTTGACCAGACTGGTCTCAAACTCCTGACCTCAAGTGATCGCCCACCTCACCCTCCCAAAGTGCTGGGATTACAGGTGTGAGCCACTGTGTCCAGCCTATTTTTTTTTAATAGTTACAATCCTAATATATACATTTTTGAGTGCTTTTTTTTGCCACTAAAAATTATAAGCATTTGTGGAAGCCTCTTTCTTGAATTCCCTCAGTGGCAGAGGGCAGTGGGGTTCTCTCAAGAAGCGGGGCTGACTCCTCCAGCATTTCCTAGCAGTCCTAGAAAAATCCACTCAGTCAGGAAGTCAAAAACTGGTAACTATGTTTTGTTCCCAAAGGCAATAGTACATTCTAAGTAGACATTTATTCTTTAACTCACATATGTCCTTGAGGAGAAGTTGAGCATTAATAAATCACTCACCCAGGGGGGCCAAGGCCTGCTGTTTTGGCTTCGGGTATTCATAAGAATGGGTTTTTTTTTCTTTTCCCCCCAGCTCTTTGGTTTTGTAAGGGCAGGATTTCTCAACCTTGGTACTACTGACATTGTGGACTTTGTTGCGGGGGCTGTCTTTTGCATTGCAGGATGTTGAACTGTACCAATAGCACTCCCTGAGTTGTGACAAACAAAAATGTTTCCAAAATTGCCAAATGTCTCTTGGTGGCAAAATCTCCCCTGGTTGAGAACCCCTGCTATAGGGTCATCTGTAAAAGCTGCTGACATACTCATGGATACAACACATTGTGTGAAAACTGAGAGATATAAAGCTAAGGGTATTACACAAGGTGCTTAAGTCAGATCTCGGAACAATGCCCTAAAACAGTGGTTGAATGTTTGGGAGACATGTTCTAAAGGTCCCAAACATGATGAAAAGCTCTGTGACATGATGGAAAGTTTTGTAGTGTTCTAGCTGAGATTATAGACAAAATGCATCTAATGCGTTGAATAAATGTTGAGTGGAGTTGAAGGTTGAGGACAAATGGCAAGCAATAAATATACTACCAAAAGGTGTTCATAGTCAAGAAAGGAAAATAGTCATTTACTACATTCTAAAATAGAATTTGGAAGAACCAGGAGTAATGTTTAAAAGGAGACACTGTAACCACAGAATGTATTTGGCCGTATAAAGAATGCCTCAGGCCATGGTGGTAGTCATGTTGTGCTCAGTTGAATGTGAACTATTTCTAACAGTGCAGGTGGGAGGCAAAAACACCACTTTATCTCCTGTTTATTTCTGCTCTTGTTCTTCTTGGAGGGCAAAAAGCAAAAATTTGGAAAAAGTTAATTAAGAAACTATGGGAAATCAAGACAACAGGAGAAACAGTTTTCCATATGCACCTAAAAAAATCCGATTTTTTTCCTTCAAAACTCTCAATATTGTGTCAGTAATGATTCAAAATATCAAACAAACAAACAAACAAAAAACTCCCCCAAAAGCCACATCAATAAAAACTGCCTTTATGTTTATCCCGGCTGGTTATATTAATAAATTTTACTAATTGTAAAATGCATAAAAGTAACAGAAGGAATTATTTCTTTAAACAACACATTTTCTAGGTTTAAATGGTTAGAAGAGAGTAACATCGATTTTCTGCTTTGACGTTTCTTCAAACAACTTCATGAAACACTGATCTGAGCGTTATGAGGGGAAAAATGTGAATTTAAGAAGAAATGCTATTTCTGTGTGCTAGGAAATAGTGTGGAAATAACTTTCTCTGCAAGGTTTCGGGACTCTGGGGACTGGCTGGAATCTACAGTAGGAATGTTGGAATGAAAAATGCACAGGTCTGTCCTAAAGGAGGCAGATTTTGGACAGAGCTGTCTTTAGGTTCCCTTCTCTTTGTTCATTCTCAGACTTCCTGTTACATGACGATAGTTTAGAATGCTCACGAATGAGTAAGGCTGCCAAGGACATCCAATTTACAGTTCTAAATATGCCTTCAATTTTACTGCTGTTTCACAATCCTTTTCTTGAATAGCTCGAGTTCGCCTCCTCCACAAAGCCTTCACCAAAACCCAGCCCACATCTATCATTTGTGCTTCATTTGAACCCCCGTCCCAGCAGTTGCTGTTGGTTCTATGAGTTTTCTTTTCTTCCTTTTTTTTTTAAAGCTGGTAGTATACCTGGGATGGTTCTATGAGTCTTGAAATTGGATTTTCATCTGAGTTGCATTGTTCCTCGTATCATATGTACAAGTCTTAACAACAAACTCTACTGGCAAGATTTGTAGGTCAGATACTTCTTATTCTCAGTAGCAACGAGCAAAGTACAATATACCTAGTATATTTTCAAAATGTAGTTCTGAAACAAGGGATGATTAAATGAAGGGTTATTCATTTTTATGAGGAGGCAAATCAGACCATGGAATCTATAGTCAGCTCTTCCAGATGACAGCAACAGGGGAGTATTTTGATTCTAAATCTGCAAAATATACCGTTGTGGTTACATTTTAATAGCTGCTTACCTATTTTTGAATCCAGAGAGCCTTCCAAGTCAGCTTTGGCCAAAATAACGACAGGGACCTCCTGCTGGGTAAGCATGTTCACAGCCATTACAGGCGTGAGGCAATCTGAAAATGAGAGCAAATAACTGTGGATGCCACTCAACTGAGACACCAACACCATCTGAATCTCAGAGGAAACAAGTGAGAAAAGTAAGCACTAGAACTTCTGTGCTTTCTGCTAATTGTTAAATAAGTTGTCCTTTGAAGGGTATTAATAGATAATTCACACCAGTGAATAATCAAAAGATTAAATACGCACATGAAAAAATGTTCTTCCATGCTCATGAAAAGTGAAAAAACATTTTTGCTTTCCAGATGTGGAGTAATGACATTCCCTTCACTGTCTTTTCCTTTTGAAAAATACCTCAAATATACAGAAGATGAGAAACACAAAGTCCATCTGTAGTGAAACCAGGGACATCAGAAATTCCAAACCATCATAACACTTGAAGATGGAAGTGGAGAGGGAGTAGAAAATGACTGAGCAGAAAGAAGGGAAGACATTTCCAGACATCCTAAGACAAAAGAGTTCCTACCCACTTACCCTTTTCTTAGGGGATACTACAGAATGTGTTCCAGCAAAATGAAGGGGTAAATCAAGAAAGAGACAGACATAGGATCCAGGAAACAAGGGATCCAACAAAGAAAAAAGTATGAGGACACTCACAGAACAAAGACAGAGGGAAGTTCTAATAGGCCAGGTTGCAGCAGAGGCCTGGAGAATGACCAGGTCAGATCTGAGCAGTACACAGTGCCCTGGGAAGCATCTTTGGGAAAATAAGGAAATGGATAGATTACCTGGCAGGTTGGAACGTGCAGAAAACTGCACTGAGAGGAGTTTCAAAGAAATATGGGGGGTGTACAGGAAGACTTAGCCAGAAATTCAAAGAATACAAAGTAAATGAAAAAAAAAGGAAGACATTATGAACTCTAGGAAAAATAAAAAGTTATATAAAAAGGAAAATGTATTTGGCTCAGTTGAACAATATTTATGTGGCCCTAATAAAACACTTAATTTGGATTTATTCTAACATTGTATTATTGTATTATGTTACAATACAATAATTCTATTACATTGTATTGTTATTTAAAATAACATCTTATTTTAAATATATATATATATATATTTTTTTTTTTTTTTTTTTTTTTTTTTTGTAGAGACAGGGGTCTTGCTATGTCACCCAGGCTGGTCTAAAATTCCAGGTCTCAAGTGATACTCCCACCTCAGACTCCCAAAGCGCTGGGATTACAGGCAGGAGCCACTGTACCCAGCTAACACTGTATCATCTTAAATGAAGTGTATTACAACTACTGTAACAAGGAGACAAGCCATACGTGCATATATGTGACTATATGGAGAGCTGGAAGCATAATGACCTAAGTAAAGTCCCAGTGGAAGAAGAGATGAGAGATGGTAGACAATTAGTGAGTTCACTTGACTTAATTTACAATATAAGCAATTAACAGTTATAACTTATGAATTCTTACTATTTATAATACTTGCCATGTTTTAAGATTTCATGTAATTATCTACTTTGCAAACCCCAAAATTAAAATAAGCCTAAGAATTAAATCTATATTTATTTTTTAAATTATTTTTAAGATATTTATTTATTTAGAAATAGGGTTTCACCCTGATCCTCCCACCTCAGCTTCCTGAGTAGCTGGAACTGCAGGTATGTACCACCAAACCCAGCTAATTTTTTTTTTTTTTAATTTTTTGTAGAGCCAGGATGTCCCTATGTTGCCCAGGCTGGTCTCGAACTACTGGGCTCACACAATCCTATCATTTTGGCCTCCCGAAGTGCTGGAATTACAGGTGAGAACCACTGTGCCTGGCCAGGGTCTATATCTCAAAGAGTAGTGACAGATTCTATAGGCATCTAAGCCAGCTCTTATCTTTTATCACCTTGGGTGTCAGGAAGCACAGAATGAGATATGGTAGGGAAACAGTGAAATGCAGCCCCAATGGGTCTCCAGCCAGCAGCCATGGTACAGATGTGTTAGCTGGGAGACACCTGTTGCTGCAGCTGGCTGAGTGCAGACTCACTTCTCAAAGTAGAGACCCATATTTCTGATTCCATACTATCTTTTCTTTTCTTTTTTTTTGAGACAGGGTCCCACTCTGTCACCCAGGCTAGAGTACAGTGGTGTGATCTCAGCTCACTGCAACCTCTGCCTCCCAGGTTCAAGCAATTCTGGTGCTTCAGCCACCCAAGTAGCTGGGATTACAGGCACATGCCACCACACCCAACTAATTTTTGTATTTTTAGTAGAGATGGGGTTTCACCATGTTGGCCAGGCTGGTCTCGAACTCCTGACCTCAGATGATCTGCCTGTCTCAGCCTCCCAAAGTGCTGGGATTACAAACATGAGCCATTGCACCTGGCCTCCACACTATCTTTTCTCAAAGAAGAAATGTGTATTTGCAAATTTTGCAATTATAATATGATGTTACCAGGAGGCTGGGAGGTGAGGGGTTATAGAATAAAAGTCACTAGGTAATATCTAGAACTGGTGAATCAAAAGACAGCAGTATAGGCATATACGGCACATGGACAGACATACAGATAGGGATGTCTATGCCAGAGAAACAGCAGGTGGCACAGACTACCAGTTGACCCCTGTACCTGCTTCCTCTTCTAACTCAGCAATAGAATGTTGAGTTGGACACATGGCTAGTGTGTTTAGCTAACGAAAGCACTGTTCAGCCTCCCTTGCAGCTAGGTGTGGCCATGGAGGATGTGCAGAAGCAACTGCTAGGTCACGGCCTCAAAGGGAAGGAGCATGCCCTTCTCCCCACCCTTCCCCACTTCTTACTTCACTGGAACGCAGATCAAGTGTAGACCAACTTAGAAACACAGAGAAGGACAGGACTCTAGAAGGGCAGAGCAGGAAGACAAGACAGAGGATAACTGCCCTAACCACCTCACAAAGTAGACTTTTCACACATGCTCAAGAGTTTCATGTAGGTAGAATAAACTCCTGTTTAAGCCTCTGTCATAGCCACTGAACTTGTATCCTAAGAAACATATACCTAAATAAAAGTGTTTGGTTAAGGAGGCTGCTTTTATTGTTCTTGTTATTATTAGTACTCTTTGACTTTTCATATAATATACATATATCACTTGGACTTTAAAAAACAAATTAGTTTTTAAAAAGAGATGAAAATTAGAGTGATCTTGAAGTATTATCATTTTATATCTGATAAGTTAGCAAAACGTTTTAGCAAGGTGACACTAATGTTTGTGAAGTTGCTGTGAAATGCATACATCATTGGATATGGCACTCTATATAGCCCTCTCAGAAACCATGTAGAAATAGAAATAGAAAATAGAAAAATAGAAAAATGTTTGTAACCTTTGACCAAAAGAACCCCACACTTGGGAATATCTCCTAAGGAAAATTCTATGAAGCAAAGAGCCATGTGGACATAAATGGTCACAGCAGTTATCTCCATAATAGCCCCAAACATGAAAAAAGCCCAGTGTTCAACATGATGGGAAAGACTTAGGATATTAAGGTACATTGAGTTGATAGGACATTATGTATGGATTAAAAAACAATTGTGAAGCCCGCATGAAAACACAGAAATGTTTTCTGATAGCATATTAAGTGAAGGCCAGAAAATAAAGAGGCAGAAGCAGCCTGATTTTTAAGATAATGTGGGAACGTGAGTTAAAAAGTAACATGACCATGTGCAAAAGAATGAAGTTGGACCCTTACTTCATGCCATATACAAAAATTAACTCCAAATGGATTAAAGATCCAATTGTAAGATCTAAAACTATAAAACTCTTAGAAAATAAAATACGTATAAATCTTTGTGGCCTTTTATTAGGCAATAGCGTTTTAGATATAACACCAAAAGCAAAAGCAACAAAAGAAAAAACAGACAAACTTAATTTCATCAAAATGAAAAACTTGTGCTTCAAAGGGCACCATGAAGACAAACTCTCAGAAGTTGAGAACAACTTAGTAGATTACGTATCTGATAAGAGACTAGTATCTAGAATATATAAAAAATGGTTAAAATAATAAAAAGACAAACTAAAATTAAAAATTAAAATGAAAATGAATTTTTTAAAAGGGGCAAGAGAACTGAACAGACATTTCCCCAAAGAAGACATATAAATGGCCAATAAACACATGAAAAGATGTATCAGGGAAATGCAAATTAAAACTACACTGAGGTATCACATCATATCCACTAGGATGACCATAATCAAAATGACCACAGACAATAAGAAGTGTTGGTAATGATGTGGAGAAACTGGAATTCTCATACACTGCTGGTGGGAATGTAAAATGGTGAAGCCACTTTGGAAAATAGTCTGGCAGTTCCTTAAACTTCATGGCCCAGCAATTCTACCCCTAGGTATATTGCCAAAGAAATAAAAACATACATCCACACAAAAATCTTTATTAATGTTCATAGAAGTATTATTTATAACTATAGTAAAAAAGTAGAAATAACCCAAATGTCCATCAATTAATAAAATGGATAAATAAAATGTGGCCTATCCATATAATGGAGGATTATTTGGAAATAAAAAGGAAAGAAAACATTATGCTAAGTGAAAGGAGCCAGACAATAAGATGACAAATATTATATTTGATTCCATCTACATGAAATGTCCAGAATAGGCAGATCTACAGAGACAGATGGCAGATTAGTGATTGCCTAGGGCTGGAGATTAGGCAAGAATTGGGGAGGGATGACTGCCAGAGGGTCTGAGATTTCTTTTTGGGATGATGAAAATGTTCTAAAATTGACTGTGGGGATGGTTGTATAAATTTGTGAATATATTAAAAACCATGGAATTGTATATATTAAGTAGGTTCTTATATGGTATGCTCAGTTGTTACAAAAGAAAGTAATATAAAAAAATGTAGTGTACTGCTTGAAAGAGTTGAACTGCTTCTTATTACATGTAAAAGTTATATTATACCAGTTTCTCAGTTAGGACAAAAATTGGTCTTTGAACTTAAATATTAGCAGATTTGCAATGAATGCACGGTAGCAGCTCGCATGCTATACCTGGTCAAAATCTATTTCCTAGAAACAACACAATTAAAATCCAAAGTTCCTGAATAGGTCTCTAGTGTTCTCCATATTTCTTCCTTCCTTCCTAATTACTAATGTGTTCAGTAATCACTCCTGTGCTAGTGATGTGATGCAGGAATCTAAGAAGGTGAAATCAGAAGAAACTGAAGCATTTCACAATAGTAGTTAGATAACAGCAAAACACTTTAGTAATTACAAAGGAAACATTCCAGACAAAAAGGTATCTGTCCTTTGCCCTCAGGGCACCCACTGGAAAGAAGGCAGGTCTCTCACACCCTCTGGAAAAACAGACAAATGACTTACATTTGGTGTTCACCAAGGCGGCAGTCCATATAACTAGTTTCTAGGGATACTGCATGGAAACAGGGCTCCGTGGTCAACTGGGTGTGACAAGAGTGCCTATGACTTCCTCTCTCAGACAGTCACAGTGCACATTAGCACAGCAAAGGTTCTGAGAAGTCCAAAGCAAAGATACCTGTTTTTTTTTGTTTATTCCAGATTTTTTGAGCACAGAAGCTTTTCCCTTCACATAACATCAAAGAATTCTACTTGAAACAGTTTGATGGAAAACCAAACCATTACCCCAGAATTACAGATCTGCTCTCACCCTTTGTCCTCACCCCATATGGATACTATGGAGACAAGGACAAAACAGTAGTGAGCAATTAATTATTATTTAATGACCTGGGGCTTCCAGGGAGGCTCTTGCTCTCTAATGTGCCTGTAATGTGTCAATAACAACAGAGTTCCAAGTTGTCCTTTGGAGAGACCGCATCTGCCCTTTCAGCAAAAAATGCATTGTGTAGATAGTTGGTGACTCAGAGCTGAAGTGTGTGGTTCCAAAGCCCCAGGGTTTGAATATTTTAATATTAGGAATGCAAGAAAAGATTTCAGGAAAAGACAGAACAGCTTCTAGAATTCTGATCATATTTCCCCATTGATGCCTTTTATGGCTTCTAGTTCCTATCAAGTGAGAGCTTACATAACATGACTTAAGTCAGATTTGGTCAGCTGAGAGAAGGAGGCGACGTCAACGATTATGGAAATAAACTAAATTTCAAGAGCTCTAGGGGAGCACCTTGCTTTTTTTCCTCTCTTAAAGGAATCTGTGCCAAATTAAGGATGCTAAGCACAAAACAGTACATTTAGTCAATAACATCGGCAACCCAGTTGGCCAGCTAGAAATCAAGAAATCATCCAGGGATCCTCCACCCTCGCAGCCTTCCACAGACTTCTCAGACCTGTTCCCTCCCTCCATCCTGATCCCTGCTGTTCTGGGGGCCTCGCCATCTCTTTCCACAATTAATGGGGTCAGCCAGCCTGCCACTCTAGCATCACCCTGGCCACATGTGTCACTCTCCTCCACAGGGCCCCTCAAAGCTTCTTCTCTACCCACAAGGTCCTCCAAGACCACCTTGGCTGACAGCCCCAATACAAGCTCTGCCAGGAAGGCTAAACTTACAAAGCTTACGTGACCTTCCTTAAGTCATATGGATGGCTCTAGGACCAGAATCTTGGTCATCTCAGGCCAAATCAGGAGCCGATATGTAGAAACAAACTTAGCAACTACAGGAGCTCATGTTTGAGAATTGAAACTCCTGCAAGTGATAAATTTAGTCACAACTGTGTGCTGCCATGACACTCGGTGGTCACTGCTTCAACACAAATCATCCTTAAAATCTGACATTCAATGAAAAAAAATGAGGTGGTCAGCAATGGTAAATGACAGCAGTGATACAACATCCTGGTTTAAAATGTAATCCCAAAGGCCAGAAGAGGCATAAATCATACATTCCTAGGTAATCTGAATTCATCTTTTGGGAACATTGTATTACACTCAATGCACTGTACTGGCCTTCTGTGACTATGATGTCAAAAATCCAGGGACGTGATGTGCAAATTAATTTAGAGATTTTGAATATATTGACATCTGCAAAAAGAGTATTTCTACTCTGAAAATTAGAATTGGAAAATTTTACTGCCAAGTGTAATGTTCCATTTGGAATAATTTCAGAGATTATTAAAAAGAGGGGAGAAAGTAACTAATGAGCCCTTCAAATGGAACATTACACTTGGCACTAAATTTGCCAAAATGAAATGACTAGGCCAGGTCAGGTGTGTCGATATCCATGTGTTCATGAAAACAGTGCTGTTTGCGTGTACTAAAAAAAATTTCTCCATTTCCTACATATGAAAATGTTTTGAATTTATACAGTGCCTTTCATCTCAGGAACTCCATCCTCTATAATTTGTTAGCTCATTAACAAATCATAGCTCCCCTATTAATAGTACCTTATTTTCATTTGTGTCCCCAAATTTAGCCATAAGAGAAAATGTAAGGGCTAGAGATGTTTACATGTTTTAGTTTTTCAATTTTAGATATTATTCAGCCACCATAGCCCTCAAGGAATATCAAATTGCTCATGAGAGTAAAACTATGAGATTTCCCTTTAAACTAAACAGTTGAAACATATCCAGTTTTTCTTTTGAGCAAGGAAAGAAAATAAACCTGAGAGAGACAGCTATATTGGGCTTTATAAGCATGCATAGAAATTTTAACTCAAAAGACTCTTTTCTCTATTTCAATACATATTGCAAAGAGGTGAAACTGAGAGGTGACATCTGCCTTGTGTGGGGCGAGTGGCATATGCATCTGGCTGTCCTCTGTTCTGCCTCTCTGGGGCATCCAGTTAAGACTGGAATGGCTCATCTATGCCCCACCAAGAGTGCATGCAGCAGGCTCTTTAGAAAGTGCTCACTGATTTGAATCCGGCTTTAATGGTCTAAGTAAACAAAGTCTTAAGCAGAGAGAAATTGGGATGACATTGTCTATCTCTCCAACCTAGTATTAGGAAATGTTTCATTCTGGTCATTTCAGAGATGGCAACTTAATATCATCATCCAAAACATTTTTTTAGTCAAATGCTATTTCAGACCCCAATAATTCAGATTGTATACTTTGGGTTGAAGTTTATAGTTCATGAAAGAGAATAGGGATGAGATATTTGTGGAAATATTTAAATTACTTCAGAGACTTATTTCTAACTTAGAATGGATTTCTTTTTGTCTACCCAGGCTTCATATCCCCTTATCTGGTAAGAGCCCTCAAGTTTGTTTTGGAGAGCTCCCCCTCCCTCCCTGGGGACAATCTTTGTGGTCTACCAAGGAAGGTGCCTGGCCTCTCTTTGCCAAGAAATAGGCTGGGGGCCCCAGTTACAGCAGTCAAACACCTTTCCCTGCAAGAGGAGTCTTGAACCAAGTGCTTCAGGCACTGAAGGCGGTGTTAGAGTAGAATTACTGACAGTGGCACTCAGGGGACTGTCTGTGAGTTCCTGTTCTCCAAACTCTTGGGGCTGCACTCTCCAAGTCCCCCTTCGGACTGCCTCTTCAGCTGTTCCTCTAGCAACGGGCTTCCCCACAGCCTTCCAATGTGTTCTCCTTTTCCTCTGGGTTAGTCAGAGATGGAATCTGTTGCTTGCAACCACAGAATCTTCAAATCTTCACAGACCAAGTACAACTTGATATGCCGATTCTAGGTCAGCTTGATCCATTCATAAAGCAGGTATGTTAAAACTCTGTATGGAGCAGGACACTGCTCAGATGACCACATGAATTCTTTAAAACAATAAAATTGAGTTGGAAAAGTTTGCTCTCATTCTTACTGGCTTCCCTTTGGTCTCTGACAGTGTAGTTTTAGTTGATGGTGAAATTATAAATTATGAGAAGATTCTATTCCTAATAGAATAGATTCCTATATCTTCTCCTAATTTATAACTAGGAGAAAAGAACTTTAGATTATACTGAAAGGGAGAGAGCTGAGCTTTCAATCAGAAGCTCAAGACACAGACAAACTAGTATCTCATGGAGAAACCAGAGGTAATAAAAATATTTTCAGAGCTCTTTTTTATCCTCATGTTTCAAAATAAAAACATAAAAAATCAGGCTAAGGCAAAGAACAACCCACGCAAGATGACATAGAGGAAAGGACCTTGAACTCTGGGAGGCGCCATCCAAATGTAAGGTAGCAATCCTACCACCTGAGCCGTTAACTTGCCAGCTCACCTTTGCCAGGGACAAGGGCCATCCTCAAGGCTTCCTTCAGAGAGCTGTGCCCATGTAGGAGTCTGTGGCTGGGCGAGATGGCCACGTGGGAGGTGCCATAAATGGCTTCAGGGGTGGCCGTATAGGCAGTCAGCTTTTCGCCCGTGGCTTGCCCATGAACCTGGTGATAGGAAAGAAGAGTGATGTCATTTCTCAGTCCTCCCTTTGGGCTGTGTTGCTCCCTAACTGTATCCCCTTCCCCTTCCCTCCTCATTCCCCAACAGTGACCACAGCTCTGACCACTGGGCCAGGGGTGTGGGGATTGAGATGGTGCCTGGAAGAAGCTGAGAAGAGGATCACAGTTCCTCTTTCAGAAACACCCCCTACCACTTGCCCCACACCAGGCATGCAGGCATTCCCAAGTTGAAGGTGGTCCAAGAATGCTCAGAAAGATACTTTCCTGGTTTTTCTGGCTCCTTTGTTTACAAATCAAAAATAACTATTAGTGTTATAGTGTTTGTGTTCTGAGAAAGAAGCTATATTTTCTTCAAGGATATAAGGGTACGGTAAAAAAAAAAAAAAAAGGCATCTACTTTTCTAACAAGAAAAACAGGTGCCAAGGTTATTACTGCTTTGAAGAGAGAAAGGATGGCCTGAGCTGAGTTCATGACTATGAGTCCCTAGAGCTGGTTAAAATGCCTTTTAAGGAAGAGGCACACATTAGCCATCCACTGAGTGCCAAATAATGTGACAGACATGGAGGACACAGAGTGGACAGGTGCTACTTCCTTCATGCATTTATTCAAACACATTGACAGAGTGCCAATAATGAACTAAAAGACAGTCTACCACTTGGCCTAACTGCCAATTAGGTGTCACCTATGGAGCCAGAATTGGGGACACAGAGGCATAGATGTGGTCTACCCTGTAGGACTGAGATGCTTCCTTCCTGAGACACTATGTTGCCCCATCTTATTTTCAGGTGGTTCCAGGAATGGAGATAAAAACATGTTCACAGTAAAATGTTGGGCAAAGAAGAAAGTGTAGAAGATATTCCACACACAGTAGCTGACAGGCCCAGAGACCCACACCGAATGCTAGTTAAGAAGCAAAGGCCTTCAACATGAGGACCAGACTCAGGCAAATGCAAAGGCCCTGAAAGAGATGGCCTTGCAGATTTAAACACAAGTCACAGCAGGACTGAATTTCAGAACTCTCGCCACCTTCTTGGGAAAGCGGTAAGAGGAAAAGCTCAGTCCAGGATTTGTATTGAAATGTTTCCAAAGTACACACTCCCTTATGGGAGGCTTTCCATGTTTGCAGTTGGAGTAAGTTGGATCACTTTTGTGAGGAGGCTGCACAGGGAATTATAAGCTGAGTGGCAAGCGGCAGGTGCTTGCAGACACCAGGTATGGTTGTCAGCAGGCAAGAGTCTAGAAAGGAAGGCCAACTTTGTCTCAGCTGCTGCTTCCTCCTCCTAAAGGTTTTGACGGGGACGAAAGTGAGGGCAGGTTTGACGCTAAATGAACAGAGCAGAAAAGTCTTGATGACAGAAGGAGAAATCAGAAGGATAAAAAAAGAATGCCCAGGTAAAAAAAATATCAATAGAACAACTCTCTAGTCAGTAGAGACAAAGAAGTTTTAGGGACCCCTTCTAGAATAGGTGGGCCTTATGTTGTGACCTTTCAGCACTGTTTCCACAGCAGTTTCAAACACAATCCCTAAGCTCTAAGTCTATCTAGTTTTGAAATGATGTCACAGTTAGCTTCTGCTTCCCTGGCTTTTAATCTGCTTTGTGACATGAACCCCTTTGAGACTATAGTGAGAGTAATGGACCCATTGCTCAGGAAAATGCCCAAACATTTTGCACATAAAACTTCAGGGAGTTCATGGACCCCTGAAGACCCTCTGTGTCTGTGCTGTCCAATATGGTAGCCAGTAGCAATATGTGGCTATGAATCATAGCACTTGAAATATGGCTAATGTGTACTATAAATGTAGAACACAGATTTCAAAGACTGTACTAAAATGTAAACTCTTTCTTTAATAAATCATTTTTTATTGAGCCCATCTTTAAATGGAATCATTTTGGTTGTAATGGGTTAAATAAAATATGTTATTGAAATTCATTTCACCTGTTCTTTGCACTTTTAAAAAATGTGGCTACTAGAAAATTTAAAATTGTACACGTTTGGACTGTGGTGCTGTGGAGTCCCAAGTTGCTGGTTTACTCAGTGAGTCCCAAATGTAGAGGAGATTTGTGATCATGAATTGCTGGAGCTGCTATTACTTAATCACCTTTAATGTGAAGTCCAGGTGGCAGCCCACACAGTCCCCAATCCAGTGGGCTTGCATGCCTTTTATTCCATACCATTCTGGAAGGTCTGCCAACGCGTCCTGCATGGCCTGTGCAAATGAAAGGAGAACAAAGAAGTAGAGGCACAAGGCTTATTTAAGAAAAAGCAAATGATTTGCAGCTTGTTAAGGTAGGAAAAGCAGGGACACTAAAGAAGATCCAGGATTTAGCTCTCTCCTTGTTCACTAAGTCAGAGGAAGCCAGGAAAGGTTAGAAACAGATGCATTCATTATGACTCAGTTCAGTGAGATGGGTTTGACCGATTTCGCTGTCCCAAGGGAGTCACGGTTTCACGGAAAGAAGAAAATTAACAAACAAAGGTCATAATTCACATCTTTGGCAAGTGTGTCTAGTACATTCTCTCCCATAGTCTAGGAACTAAAAAAATTAAGTTCAAGTTTATGAATTTTGAAACCCTAAGTCATTCATGAGTGTTCCACAACTAAACAATATCATACATAGGACATTATAAATTTTATCTTTGCATTTAAAAAGTATTAATTTTATAAATATATAAGGGAAACATGACATTAATTTGTATAAACATTTGGCTACAGCACAAAGATTCCTATGTTAATGTGTGATAAAAAAAAAAAAAAAACAACAACAGGCCAGGTGCAGTGGCTCACGCCTGTAATATCAGCACTTTGGCAGGCTGAGGTGGGCGGATCACCTGAGGTCAGGTGTTTGAGACCAGCCTGGCCAACATGGTGAAACCCCGTCTCTACTAAAAATACAAAAATTAGCCAGGCGTGGTGGTGCTTGCCTGTAGTCCCAGGTACTTGGGAGGCTGAGGCAGGAGAATTGCTTGAACCCTGAAGCAGAGGTTGCAGTGAGCCGAGATTACACCACTGTACTGCAGCCTGGGTGACAGAGCAAGACTCTGTCTCAAAAAAAAAACAAAAAACAAAACAAAAACAAAAACACACACACACACGCACCCAAAGCATCTTTCATATTTGTCATCTATCTATGCAAACTATTGCTTTAAAATAATTCAATAGGCTATATACTTATATGATCACCCATATTTCATTTTACAATAAAAATGAAAAGCAACAACAATGACAAAAACATAACTGCTAAGTTTGTTATTGTGTAGGCTGCAACTCTTAATCCCACAGTGCTCCTGATCTGAATTCAGAAAGTATGGCACAGGGAAATGTTGGCCTGTGATCTCTATGGCTCTAATGCAAACTCTGATTTTTCTTTATATTCCACACAGGGCCTGGCCCAAAGCCTACAACTGTGCCTTATCTTGGGCAAATGCTCATTAAATTACCATTTAATTCCCTGTACTCAAGGGAGAGAATTAGAGAGCAGTACTACAGAAGCAGATCCCCAGGCATCTGGGAAGGGAAGTAATAACCTTTGCAGAATACTTCCTAAGTACCAGGCACTTTTATGTATGTTGCCTCATTTAATCTTCACATCAACAGCACAAGTCAAGTAGTAATACTCCACATCCCAGATGAGGAAACAAGTCTCAGAACTTTTCCCCAAGTCACTCCACAAGTATGGGATAGAGCTGTGGAAGCAACACTTGAAGCAAGATGTAGCTGACTCCCAAGTCCATATTCAGTCTGATACTCTGCTATGCAATTACTACTTTATAACAACAGTTCTTAAATTCAGCTTTCCCATATCTGTATTTCAGATGGCTTCAGCTTATCATACTCTAACTAAAAGGCATGTATTAGAGATCCATCTGCTTCTATTATCTTATTTATATTTTTATTTTATTCCTAGAAGGAAGACTCTGGTCATAGAGCCATGGGGCTGACATTGTCATCAGAATCCTCTCTCTTTATAGATGAGGACAGACAGGCCCAGGAGAGAGCAATCTGCCCCATATCACTCAGCTAATTGGAACCAGGCCTGAGACCACTGTACTCAGGTCTCTTGGTTCATTACTCGCTTGAAAGGGGACAAACTTGCCACCACATCCCACTCCCTTCCCCACTGACACTAAGGAGTATAACCAGTCATAGGCTCAGTACAGTTTCAGAACACTGTAGGGTGACCCAGAGGCACAGGATCAACTGGCTTAAATGCCACACCAGATTGAGAGGCTGGAGATGCTGGTACCAATGGCAGCAATGGCTTAACCAGACCATTTTGGGAAAAGATTGTGGCTGTGCCCTTGTTCTCCCCTAATTTCTGCCTGAGCTTGGATCCCCGGCATTCTCATTCAACTGTGAGTAACCTGATTCTCTTCTAATCAATTCCTCCTTGGCTTAAGTTAATCAGAGTAACTTTATGTTGTTTGCAACCAAGTTGCCTAACTAACATCAATGGATTATAAAAGTTTCAACATCCTGATACATATATATCTATATTAGCTGATACAGTAATGCCTCGATGTCATTGTAGCAAAAGTAGATCTTGAATATGTTAATTATATACTAATATGTTAATAAACAATTAATCTTCTAATAAAATTAAGTACTCTAGAATGCTTTTCAATTTTTAGAGCAATGTAGGGGGTCTTAAATGTCAACGAGCACGCAAGTATATTATAAACTTTGAAAATGACCAATAGCTTTTCCTCTCCAAAGACCAATGAGGCTCCATTTAACTTCCAAGCAAATCCATATGTGGTCTAATGGGATCTGATGTCTTTCCATCATATCAAATCCACATTACATGATCTGAAAATTGGCTCAATCTCCCTGACTAAGTCCAATTCTGATAGCACTTTACGTCCATTCCTTTACCAGCATTACCGAGCCACTAGTGTATTCACCCTCTCATTGTGCTTTTTCTTCTAGATGTAATCGTCAAGGCTGGGAAACTTCTTATGGAGGTACCTTGCTTAAAATATTCAGATCTTGATGAGGATGACAGATTCAAATAGGATGAAATGTGAATGTTTTCATATGCTAATTCTGGAACAATGCCTGCTTAAAACCTAACCAAATCTATGAATATTGTGAAAAACCAAAAGAAATTTTTAAAATTAACTAAATGAAATCAACATCTCGAACAACTCTGCAAGCTCTTTTCGGTCCCCACTGTATAATAAACACATGATTCATGACTGTTTTCTGATGAACAGGGCTTCAGAAAGTACCTTTTCCAATAGCTGCTGATAACCTTTCCTTCAATCCTGGGCTGGCCCAGAGCAGGGCTCCACCAGAATAAGATGTGAGTAGTTACGGTGCTACAGCTGTTTAAAGAGCTATTTTTGTTTTTTTGGGGTTTTTGTTTAGTTTATATCCTTCTTTTTTTTTTTTTTTTTTTTTTTTTTTTAGTGTTGTAATTACAGTGATAGATGGTATTCGCCTCATTTCATGTCTTTACATCTGGCAGACAGGACTGGTACGTGTACCTCTTCCATATACTGGCCAATCTTAAAATCCCACTGGCTCACAGAATCCAAAAACCTGGGAAAATATCAGGTTTTTAGATTCTTTTTAAAAGTGCTATGAAACCTTTTTCAAATCGAATCTGAGGGAACCCAATATGTAAGAGTTGAAAGAAATGCCCTTTCTCTCCTCTAATTCCTCAATACTTCCCTATCGACTCCCAAGGCTTTGAAACACTTTGGAAATCATTAACTTATTCAATGCCTCTCATTTAATAAATTTTAAAAATGGGGTTGAGAGGTCATGTGATTTCCCTAAACTCCATCAGCAGCAGATCCAAGATAATGAATTATCCAGATCTTCTGATTATAAAGTTTCCCTGTGGTTGCCATTTGGCCTATATAGAAGTAATGTGGTTTGCAAAGGGGCCTTAAATCCGTTTGTGCTAGGATGTGTCTGAAAAGACTGCCACTGTCACTCTAGGGTACACCATCTGAACGAAGATGTTTGAAGAAATTGAAACAGAACTAGGCATTCATGAGTCAAGATGAGCCAGTGTTTAAGAACATGCACCAATAAAAGATGGGCTGAAGTAACATCCAATCAAAAAGGTTTTACTAATACAAAATACAATCAGGAATAAGAGAGAGAAACATTAAAACTAAAAAGCTGGGGATAAAAAGAGGATTAAATATAACGCGGCTAATATGACTTTCTCTTCAAAGAAGCAGAAGTAATGCTAAGAATAAATCCATACTTCCTAAGACAGAAAGTTGAGCTGAAGCATTAAGAACAAGGTACGACATGACCACAAATGAGAATTCTAGAAAAAGTGGGTTTAAAACATGATACGTTTTAGAAGACCCAGGTAAAAAAAAGTGCAAGCAAACTGAGAAGTACAGACCCTGTAAAACAAGTGGATGTATTAGCTACTAAGGGAAGGGTGGATAATCAAAAACCTTAAGAGCTGGACACAGATTTGAGAGAATGGAAGACACAAGATTGAACAACAACATCTAATTAAAATGTACACTTTTTAAAAGCTTGACACTTAGCATACTTATAAATTGGTATGATTTGATTTGCAATTATTTTTGAATTATGATTTATATATATTTTTCTAAAACTTACTCTTGTTGCCAAAATTTCTTTTTTTGGTGGGGGGGGAGGCACAATATATAATTAAGTTCTAAAAAAGGAAAACCAATTATGAAGGCAGCAAGATGTTTAAAAATATAGACATTCCCTCTAGAATGTGCTGGAGGAATGACCTTTCTCTCGCACTCTAGTCCCCTGTCCTGCTTTGACTCTGGCATGAAGATTTATACATTAAAAAAACCCGGCCGGGCACAGTGACTCACCCCTGTAATCCCAGCACTTTGGGAGGCCGAGGCGGGCGGATCACGAGGTCAGGAGCTTGAGACCAGCCTGACCAACATGGTGAAACCCCGTCTCTAACAAAAATACAAAAATTAGCTGGGCATGGTGGCAGGCACCTGTAATCCCAGCTGCTCGGGAGGCTGAGGCAGGAGAATCGCTTGAACCCAGGAGGCGGAGGTTCTAGTGAGCCGAGATAGTGCAATTGTACTCCAGCCTGGGTGACAGAGTGAGAGTCTGTCTCAAAAAAACAAAAAACAAGAAAACCCATTTGGCATGATGTTTACCTTGTTTGACTTTAGAGAAGACATGACAAATACATAAATATAGTAAAGCCTCCCTATGATAGCCCTGCGTCAACCTCTCATTGGAATGTGATATGTATTCCAAGCAAAATCCATTTGTTGTAGCATCACAATGCAAAACATTTATTTGCAAATACCACTGTGCTATCCAAGAATCTCAATTCCAATGCAGGTGCTGTTAACCCAGCAGGGAAATAATCCATTCGGAGCAAGGCATCCTGCTAATGATATATGACTTGCCAACAAGGTGTGGTTTCATGGGATTTCAGGGCAAGAGGAAAAGAGGCACCAAGCAGCCACACATACAAGTGCACAGCCCAGAGCTATGGGAAAGAGAGGGACAAACCAAGTGCTTTATAGAATAGCTTCCAATAAGAGGACTCCTATACATGTAAATGGTGTCACTGGTGCTAGAAAAGAGGGATGTGCTTTCTAGGTATGCCCATCAGGGAATGCCCTGAGGATTTCATTACACAGCCCCATGTACGTGATCTGTGGAAAAGGATGCAGTAAAGGGAACCAGGAAGTATGGCAGCAGCCAATTTGACTAATCTCTTCTTATCCACATATCCACTCAGGTTACACTTATCCATCTTTTCTTTCCCCCTCTGACCCACCTTTTCAGCAGCAGAACAATTCTAATTCCACTAACTTTGGAGAGAAGGTGACTACAGGTTCTCAAATGTCACCACTACACTGGTAAGAATGCAGACGATGAAGGCCAAACTCTCCTAATGACAGAGCCACCTGTCTGATGAGATTGCTTCTGATTCTCAGAGCCACCTATGTCACCTCCCTGCCCCTGGGTCTACAAGATAAGAGAGAGGCTTCCACAGGAGAGGGAGGGAGTAGTCCAATAGCTACAACTTGAAAATTGTCCTCAGCCTAATCTGTGGCATTGACTATCCTTGCCTGAAAAGTGGTCTTATTATTCCAGGAAAGGGGAGTCTTGAGGGCAAGGCTGAAAGCTTTTATTGGTCTAATCATAAAAAACAAAATGGTAACAGCCATCCCAGGGGACATTCTACTCACTTACCTTCAAGTTGGAAGCCTCCCTATAGATTGAATATTTGCAAGAACATAAGACCATCCCTTTCTAAGACACTCAGGTCTAAAGAAGATGTGTAAATAAATGATGATCTAACCCGGATATCATGCTGTTTTATTTTATGATTATCAAAATGATAATAATCTTTTTTTTTTTGAGACAGTGTCTCACTCTGTCGCCCAGGCTGAAGTGCAGTGGGGTGATCTCGGCTCACTGCAGCCTCGACCTCCTGGGGCTCAAGTGATCCTCCCACCTCAGCCTCCTGAGTAGCTGGGACTGTAGGTGCATACTATAGGTGAACACCACCACATGCAGTTAATTTTTGTATTTCTTGTAGAGATGAGGTTTGCCAGTTGCCCAGGCTGGTCTTGAACTCCTGGGCTCAAGCGATCTACCCACCTTGGCTACCTTGTTGAGATTACAGGCATGAGCCACCTTGCCCAGCAATAATCTTTTTATGGAAAATTTGGAAGAGAAGAAAATTAACAATTACCCACAATTGGTCAAAATACCCAGGGAGATGACTATTAATATTTTGTTTTATATCTTTCCATCCTACTTATATTGCATCTTCTATTCACTCTAAGACATACATTTTCCCAAAAACTCTGACACTGGGACATGTCTTACAATCAGTGGTATCTTACAATATATTGAGAGCATTTTTCTTTCTTAATGGAGCATTCAATTTAAAACTAATCATGTCAGGATTGATAAAATCTTGTATGTGTGTTTATATATATGCTTTTACATAGTTAAGAGCATGTTGTTAATATACTCTTTTAAAACTACAGAATGTATTTTACCTGAGTTTTCAACTTATTACAGCTCTACTGTCTCTATTTTGAGCAAATCTGACACTTAGAGCTAGCCATCTGGTAGCAGTAAGCAAATACACAGAGAAGTGGAAAGGTGCTGTGGAAAAGTGTCTCTCTGCATAAGAGAATGGTTATTTTGAAAAACACAGTATTGACATGTATGTATCTGTTAATGACTATTTGCTTCCTTCATAGCAGCAGCCATTGGATCGGTCTTTACTGGTCTCTCTGCAGCTGGGCTCAGAAGAACCCAGGGTAAGGACAGAGCACTGGAGTAAATAATGACAAAAGCAAGACAGAGAGGACAATGAGTCAATTCCACCAAGAACAAAACAGAAAACCTCTAATCACCACACTTTCCATTACCTGGCCATTTGTGCCCATTCTGTACTTACTGCATTTCCTATCGCTAATGTGCTGCCTTCCTGCAACACACGCTGACTGGCTATTGTCTGCACATGATTCTCAGAAATACTCAGTTGCTTGGGAACTGTCCCCAAGAGCAGGGGTAAACAATGCAGGTGAAACCCCGTCTCTACTAAAAATACAAAAATTAGCCGGGCATGGTGGCAGGCGCCTGTAATCCCAGCTACTCAGGAGGCTGAAGCAGGAGAATCACTTGAATCTGGGAGGTGGAGGTTGCAGTGAGCCGAGA
Organism: Homo sapiens; assembly: GCF_000001405.40. Lineage (NCBI taxonomy): Eukaryota > Metazoa > Chordata > Mammalia > Primates > Hominidae > Homo > Homo sapiens. The sequence goes on along the minus strand of NC_000003.12, from coordinate 45,466,781 downwards.
TTGTACCACTGCACTCCAGCCTGGGAGACAGAGTGAGATTCGGTCTCAAATAATAATAATAAAAAAGAAGGCAGGACTGGGACTGAGGAGACCCAAGTTGGGTTCTGGCCCTTCCCTGCTCTTGGCACCTCAATTATATAATAAGATGTGGGCTGGGTCAGCAATTTTCAAGGATGGGACACACACCTCAGGATGGCAATCAGCCCCCTGGGAAGGAGTGAGAAGGACATGATGTGGGCCGCTCAAAATAACGCAACACCTTATTCATTTATTTTAATTTGTTTCCAGACATCATATTGATTTTGCAATTTCAAGCAGCAGTAAATGCAGGCATGAGGGGTTTTCTGTTTATTTGCTTTTATGTTTTTCAGATCAGGGCAGGGATTAAAAAGAGACCCGAGCTAAATGCTCTCTCAAGTTTCTTCTAGCTTTGAAGTTCAAATAACTCTCCAAGCTGAAGAGGTTCATTGGTGACACTCACCAGGCCTGTGCAGCGATCCCTGAGACCCCTCAACAAGAGGCTAAATACATCTCTTCCCATGGAGTCCAGGCTGACACCTCAAGAAGACCTGTACACCCAAGAAACAGGAGCTCAAAAAGGCCACTCAGGGTTCAAAAGGAACACAAAATGCTTTTCTATCTTTATGGTTCCTGATCAAATTTACAATGTATTTCATTGTCCATATACCATAAGAAGTATACTATTAAATTATTTCTTCCATTTTTCCTTTGCAGTCATTCCATCTTGGAAACAAAACATGAAAACCTTTCTCTTTGCAGAGCAGGTTGCTGACCCAGAGACTGCAGAAGTTTTCTTTTATTCTCATACATCTGGAGTACATGTACCAAGCATACCTGTCTTTATTTCCCTGACAGGGACGGACAGTGGAGTGTGCGCAAGAAGTCAGGGCTAAGGGAAATGAGATGATGATAGAGAATTGACCTAATAGAGACTACATACAGATGTGACTAGGCATTGGTGGGGGACATCTGGGAGGTCAGCAGGAAGGCCCTGCATTCAGGGAGGGAAACCTGATGGCCTGTACTGTCTCTGTACCATTTAGAAACACCACTGGTTTCTGAATCCCAGAGCGAAGGCCCAGCCCTGTACCAACCCCTGGAGGACCTTTCCTGGAGGAAGTTCCCTCTCAGGCCTGCTGAGAGCCAGCCAGGTGCCTCCTCCCAGCATCTCGCCTTGGCCCCGGGCTGTTATTAAAGATTTTACTCCCTCTATTCAGGCAGCTTTTTGCTTGCCTGGGAAGTGACAGGGAAAAGCCAGCCTCAAGTTGTCTACTTTTCTGTGGCCTCTGTGCCCTTCCTACCCCTGCCCAGTCCCATCCCTAGAAGGACTTCTGAGGGGCTGGCTCTCCCAGTAACAACTTCCACCTGGTCCCTGTGGCACTGGCCACTCTGGCCAGCAATCATGCTGAGGAGGGCTGAGAGCATAGGATGGAGGATAGAAAAGCAGAGAGTTCAGTTTAGAATAGCTTAGGAGAGAAAAGACGCTGGAGAGGCAGGGAAAACAGAAAACAGAAGCAGGAGATATTATGTAAGAAGGAGCAGAATTTAACTATTAATTAGCTTTGTGAGACAGGGAGTCAAAACCAGATCCCTGGGACTGGGAGCAGAATCTACTGTAGCCAAGAGAAGAGACAGCCCCAGCATGAGGGAGAATCCTGGCAGGGAGGCTGAGGGCTCTGAGGGTGTGGCTCAGCACTGGTCTGAGAATAGGGGTCCAGAGCCGGCATGGGCTCTGGCCTCCTACCCCACAGTATCTAATCATTTTTAAAGTGAGGAGGGATAAAGCCACCCTCAGCCCTGTCTGACCACAGAGGGGCATGGTGGGGATAAATGCAGTAAGAGCTTCGAAGCCACAGAGCTTTTAAGAAAAAGCCCTCATTGTAGATAAACCCAAGCAGCATCATCATCACCAAATCCCAGCCCTGGCCTGGTCCTCAGAGCCCTGCAGAGAAGCTGACAGTTTGCTAAACATTTCTCACTTGCTCCTCTCAGTTCTGTCATTTTGCCTCTTCTGCCAACATCTAATTTGTGCTGCCGCCCCTCCCCCTTAGAAGGCGCAGTATGCACACACAGGAGGAGGAAGTGCTTTGACGCACAAACAGGAGGAGGTGCTTTCTTGAGGTCAGAGGGCAGAGTAGGGTCAAGTTACCAAACTTCTCTAACAATTCCTTTGCAAAGCTTCTAGAGCAACACAGGAGTGACAGGGGTGAAGGGG